>NC_000002.12:232338102-232641133 GCF_000001405.40 Homo sapiens | reverse complement strand
GAGGTGGAGGTTGCAGTGGACCAAGACTGTGCAACTGCACTCCAGCCTGGGTGACAGAGAGAGACCCTGTTTCAAAAAATAGTAATAATAATACTAACTCCCACCATGAGAAGGCTCTTGCTTCCCGATGGCTGCAGCTTCCTTTCCTTGAGCCCTCACTGCCCTCCTTCTGCCATCCAAGGTCAAGCACTCACCACTGAGATCAAGTTCTCAGCCCCCATTCTCTGTCTCCAGGAGGTTCATCCCAAGGGCCTTCCCTGCTGCCTCCACCCAGGGCCTGAATCCCTTCACAGTCCTTGGTGGCTGCTCCTCCCTGGCTGTGCCCAGAACGACCAGGAGCCCCTGCTTTGAATGCAGCAGCCTGAGGTCAGAGTGTCCCCAACTCTCACATCCTCTCAGGGTCTGCTCAGCTACTGGAGTGTCCTCCTGTATGTGGGTGGTGGGTGGCTTCTCGGGGAGTGACATCCCTCCCATCCAAACAGCATCATGTTACATCCAGCTTGCTGTCAGCATTTGTTGAGCTTCTCAAGGGCCAAGATCCTTCCAGATTATACAAGTATATATAAACTGGCACCTGGCAGGTGCTTAGCTAAATGAATGAAAAAATGAATGAGTGAATGAATAGCTCATAGCAGGTTGGAAAGGGGCTCATGGTGATCATCGTCATCATCATCATGATATGGTACCACAGGAGCACACACTAGCAGACATATGGACAGTGCTGGCCACAGAAGCCCAGAGCTGGGAACACTGGAGGAGACCTAAGTGGACTCTTAGGTCATTCGCCCATCTTTAGAGACCCACTAGCTCAGCCACGACATGAACCCACACATAATGTAGCCCCATGCTAATCAAAGCCCCTGCAGGTCAATGGAAGAAGTATTCCTGTTTACCAGTTGGACCAGGGGTACCACAGAACCTCTGCAGCCTTGGAACGTGGAAGGCCATGTCTTGGCAGGTCATTGACCACAGGTCAGGTTTCATCTTGCTGGGAATGGAGGATCATGGTCCATGCTCCAATAACTCAAGGTTATTCCTGCCAAGAAGCATCTAGAATTTAGGATCAATGATGCCCTTTGGCCACCAACACTCAGGGGACACAGAAGCAGGAGGAGGCTATAGAGGGGTGTTCTGGGAGGACTGTAAAATGTGGAGGAGGCCAAGTGTGGTGAGTCACGACAGGTGAGTCCGCGACAGCCTCACCCGAAAAGTGGCTGTGGGAGTGAGCTAGTGTGTGAGCACGCAGGTAGGCATGTGTGAGTGTGTGAGGTTGCACATGATATACAGAGATTTGTGAAGTCTAAAGCTAAAGACAAACGTGTGCCAACCCCAGATGTCAGTGCCCTGAGGATGTGCTGGGCTCCTAACTAAGATGAATATCAATTGTAGACAGCCTGGCACCCTCTAGCTCCCAAGACCTGATTTGTGGACTCTTAGGCCATTCGGCACATCTTTGGAGACCCACTAACTCAGCCACACCATGAACCCATGCAGAACATAGCCCCATGCCAATCAAACACCCTGCAGGTCAATGGAAGAAGTATTCCTATATACTAGTTGGTCCAGGGGGTACCACAGGGCTGAGGGTATAAAGTTAGTTTGGTTGGTATACAACAACATTTAAGAAAAGAGAGAGAGAGAGAGTCTGGCCAGGCGAAGTAGCCCATGCCTATGATCCCAGCGCTTTGAGACAAGAGAATCACCTGAGCCTAGGAGTTCAAGACCAGCCTAGGCAACATGGCAAGACTCTGTCTTGAGAAAAGAAAAAAAAAAAAAAGTTAAAGTCTCCTGGACCTTACAGCTTTGAAATCAGGCACTTTTTAATAATCCTGCAAGGGAGAAGGGGGAAAGGACCTTTCTCTTTCTGTATAATGTAACACTTTAATAACTGTTTTCATCACTCAACTTCAAATTTCCATTATTCAAATTCTCATAAAATTCGATGGCTCTGTAACAAGGATGGTGGAGGAGACATCCCAGGGAGAGGGAGGTGTGGAGCGAGGAATGAGGAGGAAGAGGGAACTCCCTACAAAGATAAACCCACCAGCAACTGTGGAAGCTCCTTCCAGCTCCTCCTACATGGGTTAATCATGCGTGCTGGCAAGTAAAAGCAGCCAGCACTTAAACCCGTCTAAGACACAGTTCCAAGGCATGGGGTCTTTCTGCCAGAAACTAAGACCCAAAACAGAAGGCTGACCTAAAGCTATCCTCCAGAATTCAGACAAGCCCTAGGTCCTCTTACCCTACCCCCCAATTCAAAATTGTCAAATGTACAAACTCCAGTGCAGGTGAGAAAATTTCACATCTAAGGTGATCACTGTTGACTGAAGCTATAGCCAGGACAAGTCAGTACCTCTTGCCTTTCTCCAAGGAAAAAGAAAGCACTTAACTTCTTCCTTTTATTTCCACCCATCTTTCCCATTTTTAGAGTCAATTCACTCAAAAGATCAGGATGCCAGTATGCAGGCAGCCTCACCTCCACCTCCCCAGTAAGCCTCCCTAAGAGGGCTCACTTTACCTCTTTGGAAAATTCCCAGCCTTCCAAATCTACACCCGCTTCTCTCTCCTTTAGAGACAAGACTAAGGAGGAGAAAAAGAAACTGGGAGAGGAGAGGGGACGAGAAATGAAGAATTCCACGACAGCCTCACCTTTTTGGGTTTCACTGGTGTCTTGGTAACGCGGGACTCTGGCACTGGCAGGACATCCATGACATCACCGTTTCAGATTCTTAAGAAAAAGACAACTTTCCCATAGCCAAATGTTCCTCTTCCCACCCTCTCTTTGGGGAATTAAAACACAAGCTTTTAGTATGCTGCAAAAACCTTGCGGCTGCATTTTAAGATGTTGCATTGGGGTCCTGCCTTTAAGTGGCTGCCCTCATTGCCTCCCTTTGAAAGAGGCCTCCAGATAAGTCCAGGGTAATTAAAATTTCCTGTCTAACCTTGACTGCTCCACCAGCTCACGTTACAGCCACGGATACACGCTGTAGAGTCAGTTTCTTCTGGGCCTTCTCATTCTTTTAAAATCAGGCCACTATTCTCTTGGCTCAGGCTATCCAGTAACAGGCTTGGAAATGGAGAGGGAACTTTCTCTGGCCGGGCTGATGGTGCCTCTGGCTTCCCACACTCATTAGAAAACACTCTTTCTTCTACAACACACCATTTAGGAGCCAGCCTCATTTGTTAGGTCCTAAGGACTCACAAAGGACACCACTCCAAGCACCCAACAAACTCAGAGGCTGGGAAGGATCCAGTTTTTTTAAGCCTTGAAAATGTAAGAAATCCCTAAGCCAAATACTTTTAAATAGGAAAATCAAATTTAAACGATCAAAGCATGTCTCCCAGTATCTGTATGAATCTTTCTAGCCCCAAACAAAAAGACAGGGTGTACTTTGTACTGGTCTAATCAGGTTATATACTGCAAGGGGCCCAACGAACTAAGGCGACATCAGAACATGAATCTAGAAACTGCTTAAAAGTGAAATTCTTAAGCCAGGCGCGGTGGCTCACGCCTGTAATCCCAGCGTTTTGGGAGGCTGAGGCGGGTGGATCATTTGAGGTCAGGGGTTCAAGACCAGCCTGGCCAACATGGTGAAACCCCATCTCTACTAAAAATACAAAAATTACCTGGGCATGGTGGTGCGCGCCTGTAGTCCTAGCTACTCGGGAGGCTGAGGCAAGAGAATGGCATGAACCCAAGAGGTGGAGCTTGCAGCGAGCCAAGATCGCACCACTGCACTCCAGCCTGGGCAATGGAGTGAGACTCCATCTCAAAAAAAAAAAAAAAAAAGGAAGGCCATGTGAAGACACAGAAACACACACAGGGAGAGCACCAGGTGCTCAGGGTGGCAGAGATTACGGTGATGCGCCCATACCACAAGAAATACCAAGAATTCTGGCAACCACCAGAAGCCAGGAAACAGGCACAGAAGGAGTCTTCGCTGGCGCCTCAAGGGCAGCACAGCCCGGCTGACACGTTGGTTTCAGACTTGTCAGACTTCTGATTTCCAGAACTATGAGAGGATATACTTCTGTTGTTTTATGCTACCCACTTTGTGGCATTTCATTCAGGCAGCTCTAAGAAACAAACGACCTCACCCAGCAGCAGAGGAGCTAACGAGTTCCTTCCGCAGAACCCGGAAGGGCAAAGCACACAGTCCCACGGGGACCCGGAACTCACCAAGAGGCCAGGTCACCACTCCACAGCTCAAACTGTGGGCTAAATCAGGTTCAAAAGATAAAGTGGACTCAGCAAAGTGAATTATTAAACAAAAAAGGACAACACAAAATGTGTACTTTTTTTATTTTTTTGAGACGGAGTCGCACTCTGTTGCCCAGGCTAGAGTGCAATGGCGTGATCTCGGCTCACTGCAACCTCCACCTCCCAGGTTCAAGCGATTCTCCTGCCTCAGCCTCCTGAGTAGCTGGATTACAGGCGTGTGGCACCATGCCTGGCTAATTTTTGTATTTTTAGTAGAGACGGGGTTTCACCACGTTGATCAGGCTGGCCTCGAACTCCTGACCTCATGATCCGCCTGCCTCAGCCTCCCAAAGTGCTGCGATTACAGGTGTGAGCCACCACACCCAGCCAAATGTGCACATTTACCCAAATTATGGATATGTGATAATCTAAAAATTAGGGGCTAAAATCCACCTGGCCTTCACCATAGGCTGAAACATGGAGCTAAATGCATCACATACATGAATTAATTTAATCCCCACAATAACCCCACATGGCAGGTCCTGTGCTTTCCCATTTGACAGAAGGGAAAACTGATGGCACAGAGCTTTTAAATAAGCTGCCCAAGGAACCTTCCAGGGAGCAAGTGGTGGGGCTGGGGTTTGAACCCAGGAAGCCTGCCTCCAAGTGCTCACTCTTCACAGCCTCACAAGACTGCTGCTGCCATGAGTAAAATCTGGAAGGTAATCCAATAGAAAACAAATTGGTGTGTTACATTTTCTTTAGTGTTTTTAACATTCTTATGTTATTAATTTAAGCTGTTGTGGCCATACCACCACCACCAAGGATGAGCCATCTGAGAACGGGGACAACGCAGAGAGGAAGGTGGCTTAACAAAAAGAGAAACTAAGCACTGATGGCAGCACCTAAGCGCCTAGATCCAGCCACACCTGAAGCTAGTGATGGCTTTTTGGTTTCCTCAGCCAAATTATTCTCGTTTTGTTTATGCCAATTTTGGTTGCAAGTGACAGAAAACTCAACCTAGAAAGAAATACCAAGTACTGGTTGAACTGTTAGCTCTGCTGGGATCCCAGGCCACACACTGCCTTCCCCTTGGCTTTTTTTTTTTCCCCTTGAGACAGAATCTCCCTCTGTCACCCTGGCTGGAGTGCAATGGTGTGATCTCTGCTCACTGCAACCTTTGCCTCCCAGGTTCAAGCAATTCTCCCACCTCAGCCTCCCGAGTAGCTGGGACTACAGGCCCGCGCCACCACTCCCGGCTAATTCTTGGATTTTTAGTAGAGATGGGGTTTCACCATGTTGGCCAGGCTGGTCTTGAACTCCTGACCCCAGGTGATCCGCCTGCCTCGTCCTCCCAGAGTGCTGGGATTACAGCCGTAAGCCACTGTGCCCGGCTCCCCTTTGCGTGATCCTGGTCCAGTACCTGTTTGCTCACAGATGCCACCTTGCTTCGTCTCCCAAGACCCTCTGAGCATATGGACTCTTTTTATCACTCTTAGGTAGTCAACTACAAGTTGATCTTTCCAAAGATTGTTTTATAGGAAAAACAAAAGAAGCCTGAGTGGCCACAAGAAAACTTGAAGATAAAGGTCCCTCCCCAAGATCCCCTGAATCCAGCTGGACTGGGAGGAACTGGTGGGGTCTGGGAGCAGCCCGGCCAGGGCAGTCTTCCCATGAAAGGCATTACCCCAGAGAAATCAAAGGGCTCCAACAAACCTTGCCTCACCCATTGCTTTTCCATTTTCGCCCCAGCCGCATTCTTTAGCGCACTGGGCCTTCCTGAACTGCCCAAACTAGACCCAGAAAACGCCACAGATCAGTGCCTGGAAGCCAGACAAAGAAACCAGGGTGTCAGGGAGGCAGAGGAGGCGGAGGCTCCCAAGTGCCGGCTCTGCAAACCTCCATGCAGGGGCAGCGGAGGCTCAGGCGACGCAGCGCCAGTCACAGCGCCTTTAAATAGAACCTCCACGCGGAGGGCAAACACATTCCATGCGCTTTTAAAAACGCCCAAGCATGACCTGGCCGGCGGCCTCAGCTCCCCCAGGCATTTTTCCGGTCTCGGCTCAATTCTGGAAATATTAATAGCTCGGTTAAGAGCTTACCGGGTGCAAAATACTTTTCGGCCTTAAAAGGCAGGGACTGTTACTGCTCCCACTCTCCAGATGAGGAAACTGAGATCCCCGGAGGTTCCAGGCGACGAGGTGGACTAGTGGGTCTCTATCGCCTGCCTCTGGCTCAGTGTCTCCCCAGGTGAGCGGCTCCCCGCGCACTGGGGCTCACAGAGCAGGACCGCAACGAGCCCCCGCCGGACCGGTGCCAGCGGCCAAGTTCGGTTCCCACAACCGCCCCCCCTCCCCGCGCCCCCAGGAGGCTCCCGGGCCGCGCCTGCTCCAGGAAAGTCCTGAATCTCTTACAACGACTTTACCAAACTCCCCGTTCTCGGCCTCCGCTCATTCATCAGACCCCGCGCTGCAGCCAAGGATTAACTTTCCCCTTTTGTTTTAAAAGATAAAAGGCCAACAGGGGCTAATTTTTCCCTTGGGGGGATACAGTGAAAGCTGGCAGGTGAGGCGCGGCGACGGCTCCCTTTCCTAGAAGTTGCTTTCGGAGCAAATCTCCGGACTGGCGGGCGGAGGGGGCGGGACCAGTGGTCGGGGTTGGGGGACCTGGAACTCGGGCCCGGCAGCCGCCGAGAACTTTTGGGCTCCGTCCCGGAGAGCTCCTGCTCCTGGTGTCCCCCCTCTTCGGCCCCGTCCCCCACCGCGCCGAGATAGACCCGAGCACGCAAGATCTGGCTGCGTTGGGCCAAATGCTACCTGCACCCCGGGACCCCTCCCCACACAAACAGGGCCCGGGACTTCGGACCAGAAAGCCCTCCCGCTCCCTCCCTGGTCCCGGGGGCGAAGGGCGCGCAGCGGGAGCTCACAGTTTGAACATGCTCTCCAGGTCCTTGATGAGGCGGCGGCTGAACTCCGGGAACTCCGTGTAGGGGTTGAAGACCCTGCAGCGCCGGGGCCGCGCAGCGCCCTCGTTGATGTCCAGCCGCCGGCTCAGCTGGGCGCTCAGCTCCGCGTCGGCGCTGGCCGTGGGCGCACGGGCGGGAGGCTCGGGCTCGGGCTTGGGCTCCGGGGCTGGGGCGCCGAGGGGAGCCAGCTGGGGGCCACTCTCCTCGGCCTCCTCGCGCCGCAGCCGGCGCTCCAGCTTGCACGCCAGCTCCTCACTGGCCATGGCGGCGGATCGCAGGACGCGGGAACGCGGGGACGCGGGACGGGACGCAGGGAGCTGGCGGGCGGCGCGCTCCTCGCAGGCTCGAGGCTCTACAACACTCCGCCGAGGCGGCGGGGACCCGGCGGTTGGGAGGGTCTGAGGACGGACTGGCGGGCGGGGCGGTCGGGGCGGAGCTGCGGCTTTAAGGAGGCGCCAGGGCTCAGCGACTGCCAGCCTGGTGGGAGGAGGCCGCCGGTGTCTGGGTGTCTGCGCGTCCCGGAGACCCCGACCTGCTTCCTCTCCCCGCGGCTCCGGGCGGGAGGCTGACCGTCCCCCCGGGACCAGGCAGGGACCCTCGGATCAACTCCGACCTTGCTGCCCCTGTCAGCTCCGGGGAAAACCGTAGCGGGAAAAAGCGTCTCGACCGTTCAGACGGTGCCTTTCTTGTCCCCCAGAAGTAACCCGACTGGAAGCGCTCGCGGCCCGGGACAGGCTGGGTGGGGGAGGCGAGCGCCCCCGAGCGACACCCACGCGTCCCCCGCGTCTGGGAGTGGTGCCCACCCTCCCCGGGGTCAGGGAGTGGGAGGCGCCCGCCCGGAGCGTGGGGCGGGGGAGCTGCTTTTCAAACACTCATTGGAACGAAATGTTTCCAAAACATGCTAAAAATACTAAAAACAAATAAGCAAACAAAAAAGAGAGAGAGCAAACGAGCAGAAAAAACTCCCGTTTTCCCTAGAGGCAGGAAAGCAGCGTAGCTTCAGGGACTCGGGTTTTTTTGCGTGAAACGCACAAGAAAAGAGAAGAAACCTGGCGCGGAGACTCACATCCGCAATCCCAACACTTAGGTGTTGGTGGCAGGATCTTTTGAGCCCAGGAGTTCGAGACCAGACTGGGCAACATAGTTAGACTGTCTCTACAAAAACTTTTAAAAAATCAGCCAGGCATAGTGGCGCTCGTCTGTAGTCCCAGCTACTCAGGAGGCTGAAGTAGGAGGATGGCTTGAGCCCGGGAGGTCGAGGCTGCAACGAGCCATGGTCAGGCCACTGCACTCCAGCCTGGGCGACAGAGTGAGACCCTGGCTCTAAAAATAAACGAAGAAGAAGGAGGGAGAGGGGGAGGAAAAAAGAAAGGAAAGAAGGAAAAGAAGCTTGAAAATTAAATCAGCATTTTTAACAAGAGGGTAAAAACAAATACAGTCGTCATTCTCCCCAAGGAAGGCTGATGCCGCTGTTACATCAGCCAGGCGTTGAGAATCTTGTAAACACGGGTCTGTCCCCACTTGAGAACGACGCTGCTCTGACCCACCATGGGCTGATGACTGGGGCAGGTCAGTGACCCCGCTGGACTATGGTTGTCTGAGACCCAGGGACCAGCCTTTGGCATGCGAGTGCAGGGCATGCGGGGGACCTGGGTTAAAATGTTATTTTTAAAAAGTTATAAAGGAAAATACGTTTTTTAAAGAAAAGTATAAAAATCTTTAACATTCCTACTGAACAACTTGACTTGGTACAGAGAATACGGGTTTTACATATACAATGGCAACCCTGCAAATAGATCACGGGGCGCTACACTTCCTGACCTGGTGGTGGTGACTAGAAGGTTGGCTTTGTTGTCACATCTGTTTTGACCACTTTATGTGACACATTTCAGAGAAATAAGGTCAAAAATTTTGTGTAATTAAACTTTTTTTAATTTTATATTTTAAAAACTTTTTTTTTTTTTGAGATGGAGTTTCATTCTTGTTTCCCAGGCTGGAGTGCAATGGCATGATCTCGGCTCACTGCAGTCCCTGCCTCCTGGGTTCAAGTGATTCCCCTGCCTCAGCCTCCTGAGTAGCTGGGATTACAGGCGCCCACCACTGCACCTGGCTAATTTTTTGTATTTTTAGTAGAGACAGGGTTTCTCCATGTTGGCTAGGCTGGTTGTGAACTCCTAGCCTCAGACGATCCTCCCACCTCGGCCTCCCGAAGTGCTGGGATTACAGGCATGAGCCACCACACCCAGCTGGTTTTGTTTTTGTTTTTTTTTTTTTTTAATGTTCTTATTCCATCGAGCTCTCCTCAAGAAAGAAAAAGTTCAAAATTCTTAATAGTCTCCATCAACAAGAAACTCTGGGGCTGGGCGCGGTGGCTCACACCTGTAATCCCAGCACTTTGGGAGGCAGAGGCAGACGCATCACTTGAGCCCAGGAGTTTGAGACCAGCTTGGGCAACATGGCAAAACCTTGTGTACAAAAAAAGATAAAATAAAAAATAAAAATAAAATAAAAAACAACTAGCCAGGTGTGGTAGTATGCACCTGTAGTCCCAGCTATTTGGGATCACTTGGGCCCGGGAGGTGGAGGCTGCAGTGAGCCATGATCATGCCACTGCACTCTAGCCTGGGTGGTAGAGTAAGACCTGTCTGAGAGAGAGAGAGAGACAGAGAGAGAGAGAGAGAAAGAAAGAGAGAGAGAGAGAGAGAAACTTTGCATGAGTAGGTAATACAATTTTTTTTTTAAGACGGAGTTTTGCTCTTGTTGCCCAGGCTGAAGTGCAGTGGTGCGATCTCGGCTCACTGCAACCTCTGCCTCCCAGGTTCAAGCGATTCACCTGCCTCAGCCTCCCAAGTAGCTGGGATTACAGGCACCCACCACCAAGCCCAGCTAATATTTTATATTTTTAGTAGAGACGGGGTTTCACCATGTTGGCCAGGCTGGTTTTGAACTCCTGGCCCCAAGGAATCCACCTGTCTTGGCTTCCCAAAGTGCTAGGATTACAGGCATGAGCTACTGTGCCCGGCCAGTAATAGAATTTTTAAACCATTTTTTACATGCTGAAATTTACAACAGTTAGTGTTAAAAAAATCTAACAGCTCTTTTTATTTATGAATATAATGTTGAAAATTTTTTAAATTAAAAATGACTTTTTTTCTTTTCTTTCTTTCTTTTTTTTTTTTTTTTAATAGAGATGAGATCTCTCTATGTTGCCCAGGCAGGTCTTGAACTCCTGGGCTCAATTGATCCTATTTGCCTAGGCCTCCCAAAGTGCTGGGATTACAGGGGTGAGCCACGGTGCCCAGCCTTGAAAATTCTGAAATTAATGGGAGTGGATTGTGAACAAAATTTCACTTTTTCATTGAAGTGTTTCCAAATGAGGGAGTGCTTTTAGATAATGCGCTTGCATACTGTGAGCAGTCACCTGGTGCCTCTCAAAAGGCACATCATCTGCAAGGGGCAAAGATTGAGGGCTGTGTCCACCAGGCACCCAGCCTAGACAGAACGCCCTCTGAGCTATGTCCCGCCCCTGAGGGAAAATAGCACAGGCCCACAGTATTCACCAGGCAACACCTGGCCACCCCTCAGAATGAAGTGTTAGTATCTCACTAGTGACAATTCCAGGTGGTCACCGTTACGGCCACAGCCCAAAGCCTGTTCTCCTTCTCCTCTTTTCCGATGTCCAGTCGGGCACCTGACAAAGACTCAAACATGCTTGCTGGGCCGGCTGTGGTGGCTCACACCTATAATCCCAGCACTTTGGGAGGCTGAGGCAGGTGGAACATTTGAGGTGAGGAGTGCAAGACCAGCCTAGACAACATGGTGACAGCCCGCCTCTACTAAAAACACAAAAATTAGCTGGACATGGTGGCATGTGCCTGTAGTCCCAGCTACCTGGGAGGCAGAGGTGGGAGAATCGCTTGAACCTGGGAGGTGGAGATTGCAGTGAGCCAAGATCGAGCCATTGCACTCCAGCCTGGGCGACAGAGACCCTGTCTCAAACAAACAAACAAACAAACAAAAAACATGCTTGTTGAATCATGGGCCAATATCAATCTTACTGTACAAATATGACCCATGTTTTGTAAAACAAATATCTATATATGGAAAAAAAAAACTAAAGGGGGCAAATTATTAACAGTTATAAATGCTAAGAGTCCAGATAATTTTCATTTTCATTTTTTAAATTCTCATTTTTTTTTGGCCGGGCGTGGTGGCTCATGCCTATAATCCCAGCACTTTGGGAGGCCGAGGCGGGTGGATCACCTGAGGTCAGGAGTTCGAGACCAGCCTGGCCAACATGGTGAAACCCCATCTCTACTAAAAATACAACCGTTAGCCGGGCGTGGTGACACGCACCTGTAGTCCCAGGTACTCGGGAGGCTGAGGCAGAAGAATCGCTTGAACTCGGGAGGCGGAGGTTGCAGTGAGCCAAGATGGCACCACTGCACTCCAGCCTGGGAGACAGAGTGAGACTCCATATGAAAAAAAAAAGAAAAAGAAAATCTCATTTTTCTGAATTTCCTACAATGAATGTATAAAACTGTAATCAGAAAATGAAACTTCTTGTTTATAGTGAAGAAGAATGGAGGGCGGATGTTTTGCTGTAGAGCAGCTGAAAATGTTTTGTCTGTGTCATCCCATGAGCTCATTTATTTCACTAACATTCTGGGGTGGCCAAAGGAGGTTCTGCCTTTCCCAGGGAAAATAAAATCATTGTTTTCACTCCAAGACTTCTTGTTCAGTTCTATTGCTGTGTAACAAACCATCCCTGAAGGTAGCGGCTTCAAACATTTATTTTGCTCACAGATGTCCAATTTGGGCAGAGTTTTGTGGGGAAATCTCTGCTCTAATACACTTATCAAAAGCAGGGGGCTGTGCTAAGGCTGGAGGCAAGAACCACCTGCAGACTCCCTCCCTCACATGTCCCAGGATCCGTGCCGGCTCCAGCTGGGCCCTTCACTGGGGCTGTTGGCTGAAACACCCACACGTGGCCTCTCCACGTGGCCTGGGCTTCCTCTCAACATGGTCACTAGGCTCCAAGGGTAGGCTTTCCAAGAGGGAGAGTCCGGTAGCAGCTGTATCACCTTTTGTGATGTAGCCTCAGAAGTCACATAGCTGAACTCTATAGGCCAAGCCAGTGACAAAGGGGAGGGAGCATAGTTCGAGGAGAGGGATCATAGACCCCTACCTCTCCAGGGAGAAATTGTGGCCATTTTTTGGATGTTATAATCTGCCTGCCCGCCCTCTGAAAATCCCTGCAGAATTGAGTCAGAATGGAGATTTGAGTCTCAAATCCCTGCGGAATTGAGTCCATTTCTGTGGCATCTGGACAAGAAAAGATTTCTCTTTCAGCCCCGATAGGTCAGTACGGGCCTCTGAGTCCTGTGGGAAAGTCTGATCTGCAAGTCACAAAGAAGTCAGAATGAACTAAATTCCAGAAAGGGAAGAGCAAAACCCCAGGGCTGCTTTCATCCCTAGAGGTATTCCCTCCCACTTGTTTTTGGATTGTCAACTTCTTTCTTGAACAAGTCAAAATTTCAGGATTTTGATTTGTTTTAGAGCAAAAGGTTTTGACTTTTATAAACATTGTTAAGCATTTCATGTCATGGCCAGGCACAGTGGCTCACATGTGTAATCCCAGCACTTTGGGAGGTCAAGGTAGGTAGATCATCTGAGGTCAAGAGTTCAAGACCAGCCTGGCCAACACGGTGAAACCCCGTCTCTACTAAACATACAAAAATTAGCTGGCCTTGGTGGCAGGTGCCTGTAATCCCAGCTACTCAGGAGGCTGAGGCAGGAGAATCACTTGAACCTGGGAGGCAGAGGTTGCAGTAAGCCGAGATCACGTCACTGTACTCCAACCTGGGCGACAGAGTGAGACTCCATCTCAAATAAATAAATAAATGTAAATAAATAAAACATTGTTAAGCACTTCATTTTGGTGCAGAGTCTTCATTCCATGTTTCTTCCTGCCGTGCCTCATTAAATTGTAAATATTCTAACATTAGATAGTGACGATGGTTTTACAACTCTGGAAATACACCAAAAACCACTGAATTGTACACTTCAAAATGATTAGTTTTACAAAAAAATAACAAACAAAAAAAGGATGAGTTTTATGATAAGTGAATTATATCTCCATAAATCTTAGTTTAAAAATAATATAATAATAAGCCATTACATATTAACATAAATAACATTGATAAGAAGAGAGAAGAGAGGCATTGTTTTACATTTTTGCAAGTATCTTTTGCAAATATAGAAGACATTTGCAAAAATTTCTTTTGCAAATGTCTTCTACATCTGGCTTAATAGAAGATAGTTAGATATCACATCTGCTCCTGCATTTGATTTGTTGCAATTTGTTTTGTTTGAAGTATATGAAGAAAATCCAATCTTCCACAGGTCGCTGGAAATACAGTTGGATATATAGCTGAAAAAAGGGAGGTGTCATTTAATAGGCTTTTCAGATAATGGTGGATATTCTTCTTTGATATGACACCAAAGCTTAGGCAAGTAGTGATTTCTTGAGGTTTAGTTGCAATGTGGAAACTGAAAGTACATGAACAAACTTTACGTACTCTGTTTCAGAAAAATCTGTTGCTCTGTCTTGCACATTTAAGATCCATGACCTATGCATATTTTTGTACCATTGGCTATGTTGACATATTTTACTTACATGATATTAAAGTTTTCCAAAATTCTAGTTTTTTTTTTTTTTCTGTTTGTGTTTTTTTAAGACAGGGTTTCATTCTGTCACAAAGGCTAGAGTACAATGGCACAATCATAGCTCACTGCAGCCTCAAACTCCTGGGGTTAAGTGATCCTCCTACCTCAGCCTCCCTAGTAGCTGGGACTACAGGTGTGTGCCACCACAACTGGCTAATTAAAAAAAAAAAAAAATATATATATATATATATATATATATATAGAGAGAGAGAGAGAGAGAGAGACAGGATCTCACTATGTTGCCCAGGCTGGTCTTGAACTTGGGGCTCAAGTGATTCTCCTGCCTTGACCTCCCAAAGTGCTGGGATTACAGGCAAGAGCCATCATGCTCGGCCCAAAATTCTAGTTTTTCTCTGAAGCTCACATTTTATTGTTATTGGAAAGTACTATCAATTGTTTACCTTGAAGTGACAGGCTCACTTTGTTCATTGTTCTAGACAGTGTCTCTGAATACCCAACTGTGAATAGCCATGGATTGTCAGCTGTGCTTCCAGGCAAAATTCATGTTTCCTGAAAGGGGAGCTAGTTCAGCTCACAAACAACAGCACAAATGCTTTTCTCAAGATGACTAACAGACTTTCATCTGCAGCAGAAGGGCTTTATGTTCACTTTCCATCCATTACACCAAATATTAAAAAGGTGTGTACTTAAGGATCAAAATTTATAAATAAATAAATTAATTAATTAATTTTAGGCAAGTTATCATTCTGTCACCCAAGCTGGGGTGCAGTGGCTCAATATTGGCTCACTGCAACCTCCACCTCCCGGGTTCAAGCAATTCTCATGCCTCAGCTTCCAGAGTAGCTGGGATTATAGGCATGCACCACCACGCCCAGCTAATTTTTTTGTATTTTTTATAGAGGTGAGGTTTCACCATGTTGGCCAGGCTGGTCTTGAACTCCTGATCTCAAGTGATCCGCCTGCCTCAGCCTCCCAAAGTGCTGGGATTGCAAGCGTGAGCCAACATGCCCAGCCTCAAAATTTAATAAAATTAAAAACTATTTTCCTGCTTCATCAAGGATATATATATATTTTTTTCTTTTTTTGGACACAAGGTCTTGTTCTGTCACCCAGGCTGGAGTGCGGTGTTGTGATCATGGCTCACTGCAGCCTCAACCTCCCGGGATCAAGCAATCCTCCTACCTTAGCCTCCCAAGTAGCTGGGACTACAGACAGGTACATGCCACCAACCTGGCTAATTTTTGTATTTTTGTAGAGACGTGGTCTTGCCATGTTGCCTAGGTTGATCTGGAACCTTGAGCTCAAGCAATCCTCCCGCCGCAGCCTCCCAAAATGCTGGGATTACAGGTGTGAGTCACCACGTCCAGCCTCAAGGACATTCTTAAATGCAATTAATTTTTTTTTAAATGAGGAGTGTATGATGGTGAAGAGTACAATAACTCCTGGTATAGTTTGATGCCACTGCCTTAATTCAGGCTAAGGTGATGTCAGGTTTACCCACCATTCCTTTCGCATCATGGGTACAAATGTCAACACATTGAAAAAGGCAAATACTGTCTTAGTATTATGAAAATGGTTCTCAGAGGTATGTGGAGCACTTTGAGGAATCATTAATCTACCTTATTTCTTTTACTGGCAGCTGAGTATTCTGTTCTCTGTGTGTAGCATCCGTTAACTAACCTGTCCCTGTTGGTGGACATTCAAGGTCATTTCTATATTTTGTTATCTACACAGTATTGCAAAGAGCAGAGGGTAGACTCCCATCCTAAGCGGCTTTTGGGTTGGAAGTTGAAAAATCTCATATATTCAGGCATGCATATATTGCTTCAATCAACAAATAGGAAGTCAGACCGGGTACGGTGGCTTGCCCTGCACTTTGGGAGGCCAATGTCGGAGGATTGTTTGAGCCTAGGAGTTCAAGACCAGTCCTGGGCAACATAGCGAGATCCCATCTCTGCCAAAAAAAAAAAAAAATGTTTAAATTAGCCAGGCATGGTGGTGCGTTCCTGTAGTCCCAGCTACTCCGGAGGCTGAGGTGGGAGGATTGCTTGAGCCTAAGAGATCAAAGCCGCAGTGAGCTGTGATTGCGCCACTGCACTCCAGCCTGGGCGACAGAGTGAGACTTTGTCTCAAAAAACAAACAAACAAATATGAACCCAGTACCAGCAAAATAATACAAAATCCCTGCCTTTATGGCCCACATTCTAATGGGGGAAACAGATAGTCAACAAAATAAATAAAAATCTAGCTTGGATGATAAGTACTAAGATAAAAATAAGTCAGAAAAGCATCTAAGAAAAGTGTGTCGGGAGTGGTGGGGCAAGTTGTAATTTTAGGTAAAATGACCAGGAGGGGCATCATGGAGTCGGTGACATTTAAATCATGACCAGCAGAAAGTGAGGGGGTCTAACAGTGAATTGAGGGCTAGAACTGAAAAACAGAGGCTGTAAGCGTGGAGCTCCTCCTTTTTTGCCAGCATCTTCTGGCAATTGTGTCCTTTCCTCTAATTCTTTCCCTATAGATGTTTCTAGATAGCCCTCAATGACTTCACCTTTCCTCCAGGGATGTCTCCTCAAGGGCAAGTTTCAAGCCTTTGTTTACATTTGGGAAACCCTTAAAGTGATTCACACAACTTTCCCCGGCTTGGCTGCCAGTGCCCAGTGGATAGCCCCCAGGCACTAGCTAAATGCGGTTCTCCCCATCTCTTTTATTAGCACAGACTGTGTAAATGAATCCCAGCAAGCCAGACACAAGGGTGCCCCCTGGCATAGGCCCTGGAGCCCCTGTGTTGGCACAGCTGCTGGAGAAATTCCTGGCAGAGAATCAGAGAATCAGGCATCAAGAATAGGGGAGCTTTTAAACTTAGACTCCAGGCGCCAAGCCAGACCCACAGGCTCTAACCCCCAGGTGAGGCCTGGTTCCCAAAGCCCCCTGTGGCTCCTGTCATCCATGTCTGTGGTCTGGGGGGCAAGCTGGGGCTGGGGGACTTTAGGGACTTGATAGGGAGCACCCCCAGGGGGCTGATTAGCAAAGACCTGGGTTCCCTGGGTAGGCTCAGCTCCCCACAGGCTCAGAGAATCAAGAGAACAACAAAGGATTCCAAAATAAAGAAAACATCAGTCTTATTCCTCACCCGACAGGAGCAGCAAAAAACCTATGAGTCCTAAACGGCTGCAGGGAGGGAGAGCAGACCCCACCCCCACAGCCCTGGGCATGGCTATAAGAAGATGACCCACCTGGCCCCATCTTGTCCCCACCCATGCCCTTCAGGGGCTGGCACCGCCCTAGGAAGCTCCATCCTCCCAGCTGTCTGCCCCTACATCTGGTCGGTCAACTCTTGGTTCTGGCCCCTGGGGCGATTCTGCTCTCTCTTCCCCTTCTCTGCACAGGCCTGCACACAGCTCTCACCTGGGGGGCCAGGAGGCAATGCTTTCCTCTGAAGGAGCTCAGCCCTCTGCCCACTTGTCCTCCCTTCACTCACGCAGGCAGGAAGGACTGGTCGAAGACAGCGCTGTCCAACAGAAATAGAATGAGCTATTTCTTTTTTTTCTTTCTTTCTTTCTTCTTCTTCTTCTTCTTCTTCTTTTTTTTTTTTTTTTTTTTTGGACAGAGACTCACTCTGTCGCCCAGGCTGGAGTGCAATGGCATAATCTTGGCTCACTTACAACCTCTGCCTCTCGGGTTCAAGCGATTCTCCTGTCTCTGCCTCCTGAGAAGCTGGGATTACAGGCACCTGCCACCACACCTGGCTAATTTTTGTATTTTTAGTAGAGACGCGGTTTCACTGTGTTGGCCAGGCTGGTCTCGAACTCCTGGCTTCAGGTGATCCACCCGCCTCGGCCTCCCAAAGTGCTAGGATTACAGGCATGAGCCACAATACCCGGCCTCAGAATGAGCAATTTCATTTGTAATTTTGAATTGAAAATTTTCTAGGCCGGGTGCCGTGACTCACACCAGTAATCCCAGCACTTTGGGAGACTGAAGTGGGAGGATGGATTGTGTCTAGGAGTTTGAGACAAGCCTAGGCAACATGGTGAGACCCCATCTCTACAAAAAATAAAAAATTAGCCAGGTGTGGTGGCACACACCTGTAGTCCCAACTACTCGGGAGGCCAAAGTAGGAGGATCGTTTGAGCCCAGGAGGTCGAGGCTGTAGTGAGCCCTGATCGTGCCTTTGCACTCCAGCCTGGGCAACAGAGCAAGACCCTATCTCAAAAAAAAGAAAAGAAAAGAAAAGAAAAGAAGAAAAGTTTTCTAGTGGCCATATGCTTTTAAAAGTAAAGGAAGAAAAATAAAACAGGTGAAATTAATTTTAATAACATTTAATGTAATCCAATATATGTCCAACATTATCATCCCTACATGTAATCAATATAAAACTATTAATGAGATATTTTACATTACTTTATCTCATGCCAAGGCTTTGTAATGTAGGGTGTATTTTACACTTGCTGCTCATCTCAATCAGACTGGCCACATTTCAAGCACCTGATAGCCACGTGCAGCTGGTGGCAACCTCGTGGAATAGCTCAGGCCCAGAAGGCAAACCGGAGCAGCTGCTGCCTCTCCTGCAACCCTCACTGGAGAGGACGTCCCACCACCGAGCGGCTCTGATCAGGCTTCATCTCTGGCCTCCATTACTTCTCCTCTGAAATCTGCCCCACTCATTACTCCCTCACCTCTCACCAAGGTGTTCAGATTCACACAAATCCGACCCAGGCTCCAGGGATGCTAGACCTGGGGTCTAAATAAATAAAACCCACTGGTCCCAGTTCCCAGATGTCTTCCCCCCCACCCCCGCCCCCAGCGAAACGGAGCTTTGCTCTCATTGCCCAGGCTGGAGTGCAGTGGTATGATCTCAGCTCACTGCAACCTCCGCCTCCCAGGTTCAAGCAATTCTCCTGCCTCAGCCTCCCAAGTAGCTGGGATTACAGGCGTCCGCCACCATGCCTGGCTAATTTTTTGTATTTTTAATAGGGTCGGGGTTTCACCATGTTGGCCAGGCTGGTCTCGAACTCCTGACCTCAGGTGATCCGCCTGCCTCGGCCTCCCAGAGTGCTGGGATTACAGGCGTAAGCCACCATGCCCGGCCCCAGATGTCTTTTATTGTTCAAGTCTGGGTCCTGGGCAGCAGGAATTCCGTGGTAGTGGGTAGGGCTGTCTACCCTTTGTAGAGAAGGGTCATGTCCAAAGTTCAAAGGTTTGCCTCGTGCTAGGCACCTGCTGACGGGAGCATTTCTTAAGGAAGTTTGGGGAGATGATACTTCATTCAATTCCCCAAATTCTCTGGCAGTTTTTATATACAGCACAGGACAAATTAACCTTTTGAGTTCTGGTAATAATAAACTATCCTGGCTCTTCCCTTCAGACACAACCAGGAGCCCTCTGTCATGGGCACAGAGGGGTGAGAAGAGGAATTGTATAAATCCTGGCTGTGTCACTCAGAGGCTATATGACTTGGAGTAAGTTACTTAACTTCTTTGAACTTCAATTTCCCCATATATGCAATAGAAATAATGCCCACTGGGCCAGGCACAGTGGCTCACGCCTGTAATCCCAGCACTTTGGGAGGCCAAGGCGGGTGGATCACCTGAGGTCAGGAGTTCGAGACCAGCCTGGTCAACATGGTGAAACCCCGTCTCTACTAAAAATACAAAATTAGCCGGGCATGGTGGCGGGTGCCCATAATCCCAGCTACTTGGGAGGCTGAGGCAGGGGAATCACTTGAACCCGGGAGGTGGAGGTTGCAGTGAGCTGAGATTGCGCCACTGCACTCTAGCCTGGGCGACAGAGTGACACTCCATCTCAAAGAGAAAAAAAGAAAGAAAAAACGAAAGAATACCAATCACAAGACTTAGAAGGATGTTATGACAATCGATGGCCTGTAAAGCACTTAGCTGTTCAGTAAATGTCACTCTGCCGCTGTGTCCCTGTTGCTACAGGCTCAGCACAGGTGGCGGCTGAGGTTGGGGATGGGGGAAATTGGTTCCAGCCACCAGAGATTCTCTGTGTACCCCTTTCATATCTGCAGGCACAGACTACGCCAATTTTGGAGGGAGCGCCTTACAGCCTTCACCCACATCCCTGCTATGCAGACAGCCACTCAGCCACTCATGATTCATGATTTCAAAAGCCCACAGCAGTCAGGGTGGTTTGGAAACAGCAGGGAGCCATATTGCTGCATGACAATGACTTCCATTTGACTTTTGGAAAACCTTGGCCTTAGCAACTGCTTCCATTCCAAATTGGCTGTGTGGCTCAGCTCTTCCTCCCCTTCATTCCTTGCCATCCGTGCCCCTCCCTCTTAGAGAACCCCGACACTCCCTCACCCTGTCCCAAATTCCTCCTATATTCCTAAGCAGATGTGTCCACACCTCCCCAGAACGTGGAACCCAGTTCCTCAGCCTTTCTAAGAATGTGGCTGCTGCTTGGGAATTATGGCCTGTGACATCCTTAGACAAAGGCCCACTGGGTCTGGAGATGAGCGGGGATGGTTTGGCTTTTTCGGAATCTGCAGCACAACATTCACCTATTTACAATTTCAGTTAAGAACAGTCTGTTCCAAGAAAATGTATTTCAAGATTTAATTATGTACACTTAGAGAAGGTATCTTCAATAAATGTATCAAAGTATCCAGAATCTTAAAGGAAAGGGAAGCTCTTACAAAACAATAATAAGGCCTGGCTGGGCAACACAGCCAGACCCTGTCTCTACCAAAAAAAAAATCAGACAGGAGTGATGGCACACACCTGTAGTCCCAGCTACTCAGGAGGCTGAGGCAGGAGGATCGCTTAAGCACAGGAGTTCAAGACTGTGATGAGCTATGATTGCACCACTACCCTCCAGCCTGGGAGACAGAGTGAGACTCTGTCTCTTTTTTTTTTTTTTTTGAGATGGAGTCTCGTTTTGTCGCCCAGGCCGGACTGCAGTGGCGCTATCTCTGCTCACTGCAACCTCCACCTCCCGGGTTCACGCCATTCTCCTGCCTCAGCCTCCCGAGTAGCTGGGACTACAGGTGCCTGCCACCGCGCCCGGCTAATTTTTTGTATTTTTAGTAGAGACGGGGTTTCACTGTGTTAGCCAGGATGGTCTTGATCTCCTGACCTCGTGATCCACCCGCCTCAGCCTCCCGAAGTGCTAGGATTACAGGCGTGAGCCACCGCGCCCGGCCGAGACTCTGTCTCTTAAAAAAAAAAAAAATGACATCATTATGCTAATTAGCAAATCAAGCTTAGATTATTGATAAAGCTATGGATCACAGAAAGACTTGTATTAGCCACATCTGGAGTGAGACCCTGCTGATACGATAGTGGCTCATACCCCTGGAGCCTGTGCATTCTTTTGTTTTTTAATATATATTTTTTATTTTAATTGAGTCAGGGATCTCGCCCTGTTGCCCAGGCTGGAGTGCAGTGGCCTGATCATAGGATCATAGCTCAATGCAGCCTTGAACTCCTGGGCTCAAGTGATCCTCCCACCTCAGCCTCCTGAGTCTCTGGCATTACAGTTCCAGGCCACTGCACCAGGCTCCAATTCACCATTTTGATGCGTACAATTCAGTGGCATCCAGAGCTTTCCTAGTGTTGCGCAACCACCACCTCTTTCTAGTTTCAAAATTTTTTCATCATTCCAGAAAAATACCAAGTACTTCCTTAAGAAATCACTCTTGGCTGGGCACAGTGGCTCACACCCGTAATTCCAGCCTTTGGGAGGCTGAGGCAGGTGGATCACCTGAGGTCAGGAGTTTGAGACCAGCCTGGCCAACATGGTGAAACCTCGTCTCTACTAAAAATACAAAAATTAGCCGGGCATGGTGTCAGGCGCCTGTAATCCTAGCTGCTCCAGAGGCTGAGGCAGGAAAGTCACTTGAACCCAGGAGGCAGAGGTTGCAGTGAGCCGAGATCGCGCCATCACACTCCAGCCTAGGGAAAAAGAGCGAGACTTCATCTCAAAAAAAAAAAAAAAGAAAGAAAGAAAGAAATCACCCTTTATTTCCCCCTCCTCCCATCCCCTGGCAACAACCAATCTGCTTTTCTGTCTTTACATTTTGCCCATTCTGGTTAATTCTTATTTGTTTGTTTGTTTGTTTATTTATTTATTTATTTATTTATTTATTTATATTTTGAGATGGAGTTTTGCTCTTGTTGCCCAGGCTGGAGTGCAATGGCGCGATCTCGGCTCACTGCAAATTCTGCCTGCCTCCCAGGTTCAAGCGATTCTCCTGCCTCGGCCTCCGGAGTAGCTGGGATTACAGATGCCTGCCACCATGCCTGGCTAATTTTTGTTTTGTATTTTTAGTAGAGATGGTGTTTCACCATGTTGGTCAGGCTGGTCTCAAACTTCTGACCTCAGGTGATCCACCCACCTTGGCCTCCCAAAGTACAGGGATTACAGGCATGAGCCACCACGCCTAGCCAATCCGGTTACTTCATACCAAAATAATTATATAATATGTGACCTTTTGTGTCTGGCCTCTTTCATTCTTCATAATGTTTTTGAGGTGCATTCAAGTTGTAGCATGTATTTCCCTTTTTTCAAAATTTTTTTTTTTTTTTGAGACAGAGTCTTGCTCTGTCACCCAGGCTGGAGTGCAGTGGTGCAATCATGGCTCACTGCAGCCTCTACCTCCTAGGCTCAAGCAATCCTCTTACCTCAGCCTCCCGGGTAGCTGGGACTACAAGATGCATGCCACCACACCCAGCTAAGTTTTGTATTTTTAGTAGAGACAGGGTCTCAACATGTTGCTCAGGCTGGTCTCAAACTCCTGGACTCATGTGATCAGCTGCCTTGGCCTCCCAAAGTTCTGGGATTATAGGCGCACGCCACCACACCCAGCTGCATGTATTTCCTTAATGACTAATAACGTTGAGCACGTGTTCCTGTGCTTATTAGCTATTTGTATATCTTCTTTGGAATAATGTCTGTTCAAATCCCTTGTCCATTTTAAAACTGGTTTATTGCCGGGCATGGTGGCTCACACCTGTAATCCTAGCACTTTGGGAGGCCAAGGCAGGTGGATCACCTGAGGTCAGGAGTTCCAGACCAGCCTGGCCAAAATGGTGAAAGCCCATCTCCACTAAAAGTACAAAAATTATCCGGGCACGGTGGTGTGCACCTGTAGTCCCAGCTACTCTTGAGGCTGAGGCAGGAGAATCACTTGAACCCAGAAGGCAGAGGTTGCAGTGAGCCGAGATCAAGCCACTGCACTCCAGCCTGGGTGGCAGAGCGAGACTCCATCTCAAATAAATAAATAAATTAAATTAAATTGGTTTATTTATCTTTTTACTGTTGAGTTATAAGGGTTTTTAGAATATATTCTTTTTTTTTTTTAGACTGAGTCTTGTTCTGCCACCCAGGCTGGAGTGCCGTGGCACGATCTTGGCTCACTGTAACCTCTGCCTCCCAGGTTCAAGCGATTCTCCTGCCTCAGCCTCCGGAGTAGCTGGGATTACAGGCACCCACCACCACACCTGGCTAATGTTTTGTATTTTTAGTAGAGACAACCATGGCTGGTCTTGAACTCCTGACCTCAGGTGATCCACCTGCCTTGGCCTCCCAAAGTGCTGGGATTACAGGCATGAGCCACCGTGCCCAGCCCTGGCAGCATTCTTTTTTTTTTTTTTTTGAGACGGAGTCTCGCTCTGTTGCCCAGGCTGGAGTGCAGTGGGCGATCTCGGCTCACTGCAAGCTCCGCCTCCTGGGTTCACGCCATTCTCCTGCCTCAGCCTCCCGAATAGCTGGGACTACAGGCGCCCACCACCACGCCTGGCTAATTTTTTTGTATTTTTTTTTAGTAAAGACGGGGTTTCGCCGTGTCAGCCAGGATAGTCTCGATCTCCTGACCTCGTGATCCACCTGCCTCAGCCTCCCAAAGTGCTGGGATTAAAGCGTGAGCCACTGCGCCCGGCCAGCATTCTTGATACATACTGAGTTAAGGGTTTACCAGCATACACATAACATTTCACTGTTGATGCTGAAGTTTGTTAAAGTACGTACATTGCAGTAAAGAAGCAATTCATAAAAGTGGTGACTTTGTCACTTCTGAGACTAGGTCATAAAAGGCCACATGGCCTTACCTGCTGGGGACACTTGTTTTGGAACCCTGAACCACCGCGAATGGAATCTGATTGCTTGGAGGCTGCCATGCTGAAAGTGCCACATGGAGGGCTCCAGTCAATGGGCCCCGAAGAGCCCGTCCTTGGGCCATCCCAGCTCAGGTCCCACACGTGTGAGTAAACGCATGGTCTTGGAAGTAGATTATCTGTCTCTAGCCCTTCCAGCCCTACTCACTAGGGTCGCCTCCAGATGAGGCCTCAGACATCCTAGTGCAAGAGAAGGGCAACCTTGCCTGTGCCCAAACTCCTGACCAGGGAACCCAGGAAATCACACAATGGGGGTGCCTGCTTTATGCCACTAAGTTTATGTTTTAAATTTGTGGTAAATTACAGCTAAAATTTACCATCATCTTAACCATTTTTAGGTGTACATTTCAGCAGTATTAAGTACATCCACATTACTGTGCAATAGATCTCCAGAGCTTTTGTATCCTGTAAAATTGAAATTCTTACCCATTAAATACCCACTCTCCATCCCCCATTCCCAGCCCTATGCAACCACCATTCTACTTCTGTCTCTCTGAATTTGACTACTTTAGAGACCTCATATAAGTGGCATCATGTGGCTAGGTGTGGTGGCTCACGCCTGTAATCCCAGCACTTTGGGAGGCCGAGGTGGGTAGATCACCTGAGGTCAGGAGTTCAAGACCAGCTTGACCAATATGGTGAAACCCCATCTCTACTAAAAATACAAAAATTAGCTGGGTGTGGTGGCGTGTGCCTGTAATCCCAGCTACTCAGGAGGCTGAGACAGGAGAACTGCTTGAACCCGGGAGGCGGAGGTTGCCGTGAGCCGAGATTGTGCCACTGCACTCCAGCTTGGGCGACAGAGTGAGACTCTGTCTCAAAAAAAAAAATAAATAAAGTGGTATCGTGCAGTATTTGTCCTTTTGTGACTGGCTTATTTCACTGAGCATGTCTCAAGGTTCATCCACGTTGTCTCAGGTGTCAGAATTTCCTCCCTGTCGAAGGCTGAGTAATACTGCGTTTTCTCTATACCCCAGGTTTGATTTCTCCATTCATCTGTCGGCAGACTCTTGGATGGTTTCCACCTTTTGGCTGTGTGAGTAAGTCGGCTATGAACATGGCACGCCACTAAAATTTTGATTCTAGGTGTTGTTATACCACAACAAACGGCTGGAACAATGTTGCGCCTCAATAAAAATGTATTTTAGGGGCTGGGCTCCGTGGCTCACGCCTATAATCCCAGCACTTTGGGAGGCCAAGGTGGGCAGATCACCTAAGGTCGGGAATTCAAGACCAGCCTGACCAACAAGAAGAAACCCCATCTCTACTAAAAATACAAAATTAGCCGGGCCTGGTGGCGCATGCCTGTAATCCCAGCTACTCGGGAGACTGAGGCAGGAGAATCACTTGAGCCCGAGAGGTGGAGGTTGTGGTGGGCTGAGATTGCACCATTGCACTCCAGCCTGGGCAACAAGAGCGAAACCTCGTCTCAAAAAAAAAAAAAAAAAAAAGGAAAAGAAAAAGAAAATGTATTTTTAAAAACGACTACACTATTTTTTAAAAAGTGTTACTCAGCAAAGCCTTCCTTCAAAGGTCAGGCGTCCTGCAGACTCTCAGAGCATGCAGGCCCGTGATCTCTTGAAGAAACAAAACCCCTCTGTGCCTGACAGTACCATCCAGAGGTCAATCCACATAAACAAGAGCAGGCAGGGAAAAGCTGCAGAAGGTCGAGGTGAGCACCAAATCTATTTAAAAGTAAAGGCGAAATAAGAGGGAGAATTATGGTTACTCTGGTGCGTAAATACAGTATCAACCTTGACCTTCTAAGAAAAAATATGTAAATACACACACACACACACACACACACACACACACACACACACTATAGTTGACACTTGAACAATGCAGGGGGTTAAGGATGCCCCCCCAACAGTAAAAAATCCTAATATAACTTTTCATTCCCCAACAAGTTAACTGCTAATAGCCTGCTATTGACAGAAGCCTTGCCTATAGCGCAAACAGTCAGTTAACACATATTTCGAGCTGTAAGTGGTGGTGGGTGCATGTAGTCCCCTCTACTTGGGAGACTAAGGTGGGAGGATTGCTTGAGCCCAGGAGGTGGAGACTGCAGTGAGCCATAGTCCTGCCATAGCAACTCCAGCCTGGGTATCAAAGAGAGACCCATCTTTAATAAATAAATACAAATCATTTTTCTTTTTTGAGACACAGTCTCACTCTGTCACCCAGACTGGAGTGCAGTGGCGCAATCCCGGCTCACAGCAGCCTTCATCTCCTGGGCTCAAGCGATCCTCCTGCCTCAGCCTCTCGAGTAGCTGGGACTACAGGTGTGCACCACCATACCTGGCTAATTTTTGTATTTTTTGTAGAGTCAGGGTTTCACCATGTTGCCCAGGCTGGTCTCGAACTCCAGGGCTCAAATAATCCACCTGGCTCAGCCACCCAAATTGCTAGGATTACAGGCATTAGCCACTGCGCCTGGCCAAATGATTTTTAAAACTAAAAATAAAAACATTTTAAAAGACCACTCAGCTCCTTTGCCAGAACCTGGGACTCCACAATTGCCAAACAATCCACTCATTCTAATTCTTGAGGGGATTAGAAAGCAGACTTATTTGGTGGGTTCCGTGTACTACACACTGCTTTCCTACAATAAAGTCAGCTACAGAAGACAAAACGTTATCAAGGAAATTGTAAGGAAGAGAAGCTCTATTTACCATTCATTAAGTGGAAGTGGATCATTGTAAAGGTCTTCATCCTGGTTGTCTCCACCTTGAGGAGGCAGAGGAGGAAGGGGAGGGGTTGGTCTCGCTGTCTCAGAGAAGGCAGAGGGCTAAGAGATGGAGGAGGTGGGAGGAGAGGCAGGAGAGGCAGGCACACTCAGGGTCACTTTTACTGAAAAAAAATCTGAGTATAATTTGAGGCATGCAGTTCAAACCTGTGTTGTTCAAGGGCCAACTGTATTTAGAAATATATATGTGTGTGTGTGTATAGGTGTGTGTGTTTGTATATATGTGTAAATGTGTGTGTGTATATGTATGTGTGTACATATGTATGTGCATGTGTGTATAATACATGTGTATGTGTGTATATATGTGTGTATAATGTGTGTGCATGTGTATGTATGTGTGTGTTTGTGTATGTTTGTGTGTGTATTTGTGTGTATATGTGTATGTGCACATGTGTATGTATGTGTGTGTGTATTCACGTGTGTATGTGTGTGTATATTTATGTGTGTATATGGGTATGTGTATATATTTGTGTGTGTATATTTGTATGTGTTTGTGTGTGTATATGTGTGTGTATATTTGTCTATGTGTGTATATATTTGTGTGTGTATGTGTGTATATTTGTGTGTGTATATGTGTGTATATTTTTGTGTGTATATGTGTGTGTATATTTGTGTGTGTATGTGTGTGCGTATTTGTGTGTGTATGTGTGTGCGTATATGTGTGTGTATATTTGTGTGTGTATGTGTGTGTATATTTGTGTATGTGTGTATATTTGTGTGTGTGTATTTGTGTGTGTGTGTATGTGTGTGTATATGTGTGTGTGTGTGTGTGTGTGTGTGTGTGGTTCCTCTTTGTCCCTGTGCAGTAGTTCATTGGATGGATAGTCCACAATTTGCTTATCTACTCATTATTCATGGTGAGCATTGGGGTTGTTTTCAATTTTGGGGCTGTTACTAGTAAAGCTGCTGTGGAAATTTTCGTCTCTGTGTTTGAGTCTTTGTGTGGACATATGCTTCTTTCTTGAGACAGAGTCTTGCTCTGTTGCCCAGGCTGGAGTGCAGGGGCGTGATCTCGGCTCACTGCAACCTCTGCCTCCAGGGTTCAAGTGATTCTTCTGCCTCAGTCTCTGGGGTAGCTGGGATTTCAGGTGCATGCCATCATGACCAGCTCATTTTCGTATTTTTAGTAGAGACAGGATTTCACCATATTAGTCAGGCTGGTCTTGAACTCCTGGGCTCAAGTGATCCACCCACGTCGGCCTCCCAAAGTGCTGGGCTTACAGACATGAGCCACCACGCCTGGCCTGGACATATGCTTTCATATATTTTTTGGTGGGGGGCAGGGGGTGGTTAATTACCTAGGAATGGGATAGTGTATGCTCTAAATGTTACATTTCAATTTTTTAAAGAAACTGGCCAGGTACAGTTGCTCACACCTGTAATCCCAGCACTTTGGGAGGCTAAAGCGGGTGGATCACCTGAGGTCACGAGTTCGAGACCAGCTTGGCTAACATGGCGAAACCCCATCTCTACTAAAAATACAAAAATTAGCTGGACGTGGTGGTGTATCCCTGTAGTCCCACCTACTTGGGAGGCTGAGGCAGGAGAATTGCTTGAACCCAGAAGGTGGAGGTTGCAGTGAGCCGAGATCACGCCACTGCACTCCAGCCTGGGCAATAGAGTGTGACTCCATCTCAAAAAAAAAAAAAAAAGAAAAGAAAAAAAGAAACTACCAAACTATTTTCCAAAGTAGTTGTACTATTTTCTATTTCCAATAGCAGCGCATGAGAGCCTGCCTTGCTCCATATCCTCACAAGTCTTGGTGTGGTCAGCCTCTCAGACTGCAGCCACTCCAATGGGGTGGAAATGGTATCATCTCATTGTGGTTTCAAGGAGCATTTCCCTTATGTCTGATGATGGGGTCCGTTTTTCATGTCTCTAGTGACTTTCCACATATCTTCTTTGATGAAATGTTGATTCAAATCTTTTGCCCATTTCTGTTGAGATGTTTGTCTTATTATTTAGTGAGTTATAAAAGTACTTTGTATATTCTGGATACAAGTCTTTTACTAGATACATAGATTGTGAATATTTTCTCCCAGTCTGTGGTTTGTCTTTTAAAATATTTTCTCCCAGCTTTTGGGTGTCTTTTGAAGCCCATGCTTGCTTTTAATGTCCACAAAATATCCAAAAGAGGGAGAAATTCAGTGTGGGGATGGTGCTCCAGGCCTAGCTGATTGGGTATTGCTCAGAAATTAGGCTAAAGCAAAGTTGCAATGCTACAAACTGACATCAAGCTGGGCACAGTGGCAGGTGCCTGTAGTCCCAGCTACTTAGGAGGCTCAGTTGGGAGGATCGCTTGGGCTCAGGAGTTGGAGATCAGTCTGGGCAACATAACAATACTCCTAAAAAAAACCCAAACTCTGACATCATAATCCATGTCTGCTGTTAAGGTTTCCACATTTTGGGTGGGCTAGACAGGAAAAACACCCAAAAGGTAAAGGCCAGGCTGGTTCATGCCGGACACCTAACCCCCTGCTACCACATGCTGTTTTCCACACTGGGTGCTGGCCTGTGGGAACCTGCACAAGTCGGGGGCAACATGGTCCCAGGAAGTCTTTGACAGGCTGCCCCCTGCTGGCTGCTGCGGGAACCACATGGCAGATGGCTCCTGGTGTCCCCTGGAAGGTTGGTGGGAACCCTGGGGCGGGGGCCTCTCACTTGCCCTCTCTCTTGGGCGTGGGCAAAGGCTTCCTGTTGGCAGAATAGGGCTGGAACTGTTCTTGCCTTAGGGGTATCAGATTTCCTTCGTTCTTGGAATCTCTGCGGTTTGGGAAGACAAACAGAACTGTTCTGCCCCGGGGGAGGGAGCTGCAAATGCAAAAGAGGCTCCATCACGCGGTGCAGAGCTGGGGGCACCGCTGGCCCACCCATCCCTGTCGAGTCCTCTGACCCGTTTCTTCATTTCTCAGGTGACTGGGGTCCTCCAATGATAGAACGTCTCATCGATGATGAGAACTCCCATGGCCCCCTCTCAAGATCCACTGTGGGCCAAGATGCAGAGCTGGGGTCTTCACTTGGCTTTAGGGCTTCAGAGAGACTCAGGAGGGACATTTTCTAATCGGGATGCCCCCCCCCCGACCCCCAGGATGCTTGTTCTATCAAGAAGCCCCTGGAGGCCGGGCACAGGGACTCACGCTTGTAATCCCACACTTTGGGAGGCCTAGGTGGGAGGAACTCTCAAGGCCAGGAGTTCAAGACCAGCCTGGGCAACATGGTCTCATGCTGTTGCCCAGGCCAGAATGCAGTAATACAATCATAGCTCACTGCAGCCTCAACCTTCTGGGCTCAAGGGATCCCCTCATCTCAGCCTCCTGAGTATCTAGGACGATGGGTGCACACCACCACGCCTGGCTAAGTAAAAATAAAATTTGTAGAGATGAGGTCTCATTATGTTTCCCAGGCTGATCTCGAACTCATGGCCTCAAGCGATCTTTCCGCCTGTGCCTCCCAAAGTGCTGAGATTACAGGCGTGAGCCACTGTGCCCAGCTTAATGTCAGTATTTTCTTTTAGTCAGGTCTTGCTCTGTCACCCAGGCTGGAGTGTGTGGTGCGATCATGCCTCACAGCAGCCTTGACATCCCCAGGCTCAGATGATCCTCCCACCTCAGCCTCCTGAGTAGCCGCGACTACAGGCGCATGCCACCACACCCAGGTAATTTTTTAATTTTTACAGAAACGTAGTTTTGCCATGTTGCCCAGGGTGGTCTCGCACTCCTGAGCACAAGCAATCCACCTGCCTCAGGTTCCCAAAGTGTTGGGATTACAGGCGTGAGCCACCATGCCCTGCCAGCCCAGTATATTTTTTCGGGGCGGGGGGACGGAGTCTCACTCTGTCGCCCAGGCTGGAGTGCAGTGGTGCTATCTCATTGCAAGCTCCGCCTCCTGGGTTCAAGTGATTCTCCTGCCTCAGCCTCCTGAGTAGCTGAGATTACAGGCATGTGCCACCACACCTGGCGAATTTTGTGTTTTTATTAGAGACCTGTGTGTTGCTCCCTGTGGAATGACAGGGGCAGGGTCCTGACCAGGCCCTCTCTCCTCAGTGGCTGGAGGAGCTCACCTGCCCCTACTCCCCAGATAGGCCCAGCCTCAGGGATGGGAGGGCTTTCCGTCCCCAGAGGGGCACTCCCACACCCAACCTCCACAAGGAGCTGATGGCAGGTGGGCCTGGGGCCTCAGCCTTGCAGAACAAACCTGCTGTGATATAAACAAACAGGGACAGACACAGGCAACCCTGTCTGAAGGGTCCCCATTTCCCCAACTCGGGCTTTGGAGAACCCACAAGGACTACCCAGCCCCTCCTGGTATGTGGCGGGACAGGCGCTGTGCCCTGAGCCCTCTCCTTTCACCTTTGGGGTTTAATGCATGTGTGAGGGTTGGAGAAGGAGCCAGTGTTTTGGGGACGCTGCCCCTGTCATTCCACAGGGAGCAACCACAGTGACCTTGGTAAGTATCAAAGGCAAACGGTGCTTCTCCCACGTTACTCTCTCCTCTGAGAAAGGAGACCCGGAGGAGCTTCAGCCACCACTCCCCTGGCCGGGTCCCTGCAGAGGCCTCAGGGCACACCTGGAGTTTTTGTGTTGTGTGCCAAAAGGTAAGGCCAGAAAGGTGAGGATTGATTGTGTGTCGGGACTGTTTCCGTCTCATCTTGGGTGAGTCTTGCATCAAGGGAGATGCCTGGGCTGGGCTGAAGGTGAAGGAGCAGGAGGCCTTTGGGAGTGGAAGAGGCTGAGTGTGGCTCAGGTGAGGAGGCCGAGACTTCCTCCTTGGCTGTCTCTGGGTTTAACTCTGGTCAAGACAGATATCCTTCCTACTGGGGGGCCACTTAGGGGGGCTTTAGTCAATTCATCTCTGAATCCCTGGTACCCAACACCATGCCTGGCACACTTAGGCACTGCAACAAAATGATAAAGGAAGGAACTAACAAATAATTGAAGTGAAAATTTATATTTCACTTGACCTTGCCTTCCCTGATCAGACTATGTTTGCAAACACTTCATTTTCACTTTAAGAACTCATGCATCTTGGCTGGGTGCAGTGGCTCATGCCTGTAATCCCAGCACCTTGGGAGGCTGAAGCAGGCAGATCACCTGAGGTCAGGAGTTCAAGACCAGCCTGGCCAACATGGCGAAACCCTGTCTCTACTAAAAATATAAAAAATTAGCCGGGCATGGTGGTGGGCGCCTGTAATCCCAATAACTCGGGAGGCTGAGACAGGAGAATCACCTGAACCCAGGAGGCAGAGGGTGCAGTGAGCCGAGATTGCACCACTTCACTCCAGCCTGGGTGACAGAGCAAGACTCCATCTAAAAAAAAAAAAAAAAAAAAAAAAGAACTTATGCATCTCATGTTTTAAACATTTTTTTGGTCTTGTAATAGAAGAGATTCATCCATTCAAATGTATTGTGATAGTGATATGTTTCAAAATGCTTTTTCATTGTATTTTATTTTATTTTTTGAGATGGAGTCTTGCTCTGTTGCCAGGCTGGAGTGCAGTGGCGCGATCCCGGCTTACTGTAACCTCAGCCTCCTGGGTTCAAGCGATTCTCTTGCCTCAGCCTCCTGAGTAGCTGGGACCACCGGCATGAGCCACCACACCCAGCTAATTTTTGTACTTTTTAGTATAGACGGGGTTTCACCATATTGGCCAGGCTGGTCTTGAACTCCTGACCTCATTTTCCGCCCGCCTCCGCCTCTCAAAGTGCTGGCATTACAGGCGTGAGCCACTGGGCCCGGCTGTTTTCTGGTTTTTCTTTCCCTCTCTTTGCAATGCTGATCAAGTGTTTTCTTCTCTTTTTCCCAAGTACAATTGGCTCCCCATTCCCATGGGATTCAACCAACCATAGATCAAAAATATTCAGGAAAAAATATAACAATAAAAATCATACAAATAAAAAACAATACAGCAGGACAACTATCTACATAGCATTTACATTGTATTAGGTATTATAAGTAATCTAAAGATGATTTAAGTATATGTAGGTTATATGCAAATACTACACCAATTCATTTATTTATTTATTTTGAGATGAAGTCTCGCTCAGGCTGGAGTGCAGTGACCCAATCTTGACTCACTGCAACCTCCGCCTCCCGGATTCAAGTGATTCTCCCACCTCAGCCTCCTAAGTAGCTGGGATTACAGATGTGCACCACCACGCCAGGCTAATTTTTGTATTTTTAGTAGAGACGGGGTTTCACCATGTTGGCCAGGCTAGTCTTGAACTCCTGACTTCAAGTGAACCACCTGCCTTGGCCTCCCAAAGTGCTGGGATTACAGGCATGAGCCACCACGCCCGGCCTACAGCAATTTATATAAGGGACTTGATTCCATGGATTTGGTATGGGAGTCCTAGAACCAGTGCCTCCTCAGATACTGAGGACTGTAGTTCCATATTATCTTGTTAGTGGTTACCTTCAATTCATTTTATTTGACTTTTAATTAATTAATTAAAAAAAATAGAGACAGGGTCTTGCTGTGTTGCCCAGGCTGGTCTAGAACTCCTGGACTCAAGCTGTCCTCCCGACTTGGCCTCTCAAAGTGCTGGGATCATAGGCGTGAGCCACCACGCCTGGCCCTAACCTTAAATTAAAAAAAAAAAAAATTTTAGCCTGTATTTTCTTTCCTTTTTTTTTGAGATAGGGTCTTGCTCTGTTGCCCAGGCTGGAGTGCAGTGGCCCAATCACAGCTCACTGCAGCCTTGATGCTGGGCTTAAGCTATTCTCTCACCTCAGTCTCCTGATTAGTTGGGACTATAAGCGCATGGCACTACACCCAGCTAATTTTTTTTTTTTTTTGAGACATTCTCGCTCTGTTACCCAGGGTGGAGTACAGTGGTGCGATCTCGGCTAAGTGCAGCCTCCGCCTCCCAGGTTCAAGTGATTCTCCTGCCTCAGCCTCCCGAGTATCTGGGGTAACAGTTGCCTGCTACCACGCCAGGCTTTTTTTTTTTTTTTAATTTTTAGGAGAGACGGGGCTTCACCATGTTGGCCAGGCTGGTCTTGAACTCCTGACCTCAGGTGATCCCCACCCGCCTCGGCCCCCCAAAGTGCTGAGATTACAGGCCTGAGCCACCGCGCCCAGCCCGACCGGCTAATTTTTAAATCTTTTGTACAGATAGGATCTCACTATGTTGCCCAGGCTGGTGTCAAAATCCTGGGCTCAAGTGATCCGACTGCCCTGGCTTCCCAAAGTGCTGGAATTACAGGCATGAGCCATTTAGAAATAAAATGGGCCAGACGTGGTGGCCTGGACCTGTAGTCCCAGCACTTCGGGAGGCTGAGGTGGGAGAATCGCTTTAGCCCGGGAGGTGGACGTTGTAGTGAGCCGTGATCGCGCCACTGCAGCCTGGGCGACAGAGCCAGACCGTCTCAAAAGAAAAAACATAATAAGAAAAAAAAAAAGTTATGATGTGTCTCCAGATTGGGGTGTGCCACTGAGGCCCATTCCGTGCACCCCAACTTTATTTTTTTTTAATTTTTATTTTATTTTATTTTTTTGAGACGGAGTCTCGCTCTGTCGCCCAGGCTGGAGTGCAGTGGCGCAATCTCAGCTCACTGCAAGTTCCGCCTCCCGGGTTCACGGCATTCTCCTACCTCAGCCTCCCCAGTAGCTGGGACCACAGGCGCCCGCCACCACGCCCGGCTAATTTTTTTTTTTTTTTTTTTTTAGTAGAGACGGGGTTTCACCATCCACAGGATGGTCTCGATCTCCTGACCTTGTGATCCGCCCGCCTCAGCCTCCCAAAGTGCTGGGATTACAGGCTGAGCCACCGCGCCCGGTCGCACCCCAACTTTAAAGATGAGGGTCGGTGCAGGTGAGGAACCTGCTCAGGGTCCCCCAGCCCCAGCGCCGGGTCTACCCACGACTGGGAGCGGAGGATGGCGGTGAGTAAAAAAAGAAACCTTCCTCATTCACTGACATTCCAGGGGAGGACGATGGGGACTTCAGCACACCCTGGGATTGCTGCAGGCTGGGGTGTCTCTCAAGAGTTTCGAGTTTAGATTCTCTGGGAGACCAGCCGGCGCGGAGAAGGCTTAAAAGCCCAGCCGATCGCAGACCGTGCGCGGGGCAGGGAAGCGAGGGCCGGGAGTGCCCTCCGGTGGCGAAAGCCAGGAATTACCGCGCACCTATTCTGGACCAGAGTAAAAATCGCCTGGAAAACGTCGAAAATCGTAGACTCTCAAGGGTGAAAGGGGATTTAAAGAGCACTTACTGCAACTCTCCCATCGTATGTCTGGGGACTGTCAGCGTTACAGATCTTGGCCTTCACAGGGACAGTACGGAGAAAGGCAAGCAGCCGCCAAGGCCGGGGTATCCGCCTGCACTTAGCGGGGCTCTCGGAAGCCGGCCTGGGGATGAGCCAGGCGTCCTCGGGCCTGGTGCTGGCGCCTGGCGCGCCCTCTGCTGGATACCGCCGCCTTGTCAGTGACTCGAAATTTGCTCAGAACCGATTTTTTTTTTTTTTTTTTTTGATATGGAGTCTCGCTCTGTCGGCCAGGCTGGAGTGCAGTGGCGCAATCTCGGTTCACTGCAACCTACGCCTCCCGGGTTCAAGCGATTATCCTGCCTCAGCCTCCAGAGTAACTGGGATTACAGGCGCGCATCACCACACCCAGCTCATTTTTGTATTTTTAGCAGAAATGGGGTTTCACCATGTTGGCCAAGCTAGTCTCGAATTCCTGACCTCAAGTGATCCTCCCACCTTGGCCTCCTAAAGTGTTGGGATTACAGGCGTGAGCCACCGCACCCGGCCCCGAACCGAATATCATACCCACAGCATTATTCATTCAGCAATGTTTTTCTGGTACTGAGGAGCCACGTCCTTACGGCGAGAGGAAGCTGGGGGGCCACAGAGCAAACTGTCTGATCACTTGGTTTCTAATCCTTCCCTCCCTCCCTCCCGCCCTCCCTCTCTCTCTCTCTCTTTTTTTTTTTTTTAGACAGAGTCTCGCTCTGTTGCCCAGGCTGGAGTGCCGTAGCGCAATCTTGGCTCACTGCAACCTCCGCCTCCTGGATTCAAGCAATTCTCCTGCCTCAGCCTCCTGAGTAGCTGGGATTACAGACCCATGCCACCACGCCCGGCTAATTTTTGTATTTTTAGTAGAGACGGGGTTTCACCATGTTGGTCAGGTTGGTCTCAAACTCCTGACCTCGTGATCCACCCGCCTCGGCCTCCCAAAGTGCTGGGATTACTGGCGTGAGCCACCACACCCGGCCTCTTTTTTTTTTTTTGACGGAGTCTCCCTCTGTCGCCCAGGCTAGAGTGCAGTGGCATGATCTCGGCTCAGTTGCAACCTCTGCCTCCCAGGTTCAAGAGATTCTCCTGCCTCAGCTTCCCGAGTAGCTGGGATTACAGGTGCGTGCTGCCACGCCTGGCTAATTTTTTTGTATTTTTAGCAGAGACAGGGTTTCACCATATAGGTCAGGCTGGTCTCGCACTCCTGACCTCAGGTGATCCACCCACCTCAGCCTCCCAAAATGCTGGGATTACAGATGTGAGCCACTGCACGCGGCCTGGCCCCTAATTCTTTAACATCCCACTAAGACAGGGGGCTCTGGCATAGCATCTGGGTGTCTGACTCCATCACCTCTGGGGAAGAAAGCAAAGGTGGTGAGAAGACGCTGGAACCGGCCAGCCCTGGAGGCGGGGTCGGCTGGGGCACCTCCTTCCTGGCCTCTGCGCCTACTAGACGCCTAGGCTGGTAAGGTGCTTCCTTATCTGTAAAATGGGACCACAATGATCTGGCTATCAGGGCTGGGAAGGCTTGAATGAGCTTATGTACTCGGAAGAGCCTGCTGGGCCTGAAGGGGAAGGGCACTGTGGGAAGCGTGGTGTCAGTGCCAGGACTTAGGGAGAAAAAGAGGCCTCAGGCTCCTGGCCCCAGGCATGTGTGTTTCCCCATCTTGCTGAGCTGTGGGAAGTGGGAAGCTGGAAGAGAAGGGAAGAGGATGAGCCGTGTTTCAGACCCTGAATGTTGAATGTGGGGTGACAGTGAAGTCTCGTGTCTACTGGGCAGGTAGGGTAGGGAGAGAGACAAGAGCCTGGGTACCACAGAAGACGACCACCTGAGGTCTTGTTGGCATGAGATGGAGGAGCAGAGAGGGGAGGATCTGACCCACGGCCCAGGCAGGAGATCAGGAGACCCACCCTGAAATGAGAGTGAGACGGGTGTTCTCCAGGCCACGGACGATGCAGAACCCGGCAGGGTGGGCTGGAGGCTCCAGGAGAGAGCGGTGGCAAAAGAGTGGTGTCTGCTGCCCCAGAGCGTTCATTTCAGAGGCTGGAGAGGGAAGAAAATCAAGAAGGAAGGAGGTGGCCGCGAGCAGCTGTTTTTAGCTGAGAAAGGAGAAATCAGTGAAGGGTAAGACGAATAAAAGATAGAAGGGGACAGGAAACTGTCTTTTTAAAGGAAAAGATCATTTGGTACCTATGAAGAAGCATCTGATGAAGGTCAACATCCACCCCTGATAGAAACTTTGGGTAAATTAGCAGTAGAATGATTCCTTGAGTGAATATGAAGAAGAATCCTCTCTAGGTAGCTGTAGGAAATCCTAGAAGCACTGAAGTTCAGTCTACAAGGAATAAATCCCAGTGGCACTGCAATCATTTGACATTTTTTTCTGGATATTGTGGCCAACGCAATGACACACAAAAATAAAGTAGTGTAATGACTGGGAAAGGGAGAGGCAACAATTATCATGATTTAAAGCCAAAAAACTCAGAGCCACCAGCCTCTCCACAAAACGAAATAAAACAAAAGTCTCACAAAAGCCAAAGCATTGTCATCCGAGGAGAGCGAGGGGGAAGAAAACTTAGTAGTTTTTCTTCTTCTCTTCCTCCTTCTCCTCCTCCTCTTCCTTCTTTCTTCTTCATTTCTTCTTCTTCCTCTTCTTTCTTCCTCCTCCTCCTTCCTCCTCTTTCCTCCTCCTCTTCTTCTTCCTTCCTCCTTCCTCCTTCCACCTCCTCCTCCTCCTCCTCTTCTTCTTCTTCTTCTTCTTCTTTCTTCTTTTTTTTTTTTTTAATAGAGATGGGGTCTCACTTTGTTGCCCAGGCTGGTCTCAAGCTTCTGGGTTCAAGCAATCCTCCCACCTCAGCCTCCCAAAATGCTGGGATTACAAGGGTGAGCTGCCACACCCAGCCAATTGATTGGTTTTTGGTGGGGAGAAATTCACACACATTTCTTGATAACCCGAGGTCATAGAAGATTTTGTATTGTTGAGAGTGCAGTAGGAAGAAAATATTCCGGGTGCAGCGGCTCACAGCTGTAATTCCAGCACTTTGGGAGGCCGAAGGTGGGAGGAGCTCTTGACCCAGGAGTTCCCAGACCAGCCTGGGCAACAAAGTGAGACCCCATCTCTACAAAAATTTTTTTTTTAAAACCAGCCAGTGGTAGGGCACGGTGGCTCATGCCTGTAATCCCAGCACTTTGGGAGGCCGAGGTGGGTGGACCACAAGGTCAGGAGTTCAAGACCATCCTGGCTAACACGGTGAAACCCTGTCTCTACTAAAAATACGAAAAATTAGCCAGGCGTGGTGGCATGCGCCTGTAGTCCCAGCTACTTGGGAGGCTGAGGCAGGAGAATCACTTGAACCTGGGAGGCGGAGGTTGCAGTGAGCCGAGATCATGCCACTGCACTCTAGCCTGGGGGACAGTGTGAGACTCCATCTCAAAAAATAAACAAACAAACAAACTAGCCAGGTATGGTGGCATGCGCCTGTAGTCAGTCCTAGCTAGCTGGGAGGTTGAGGCAGGAGGATTGCTTCATCCTAGTAAGTTGAGGTTGCAATGAGCCACTGCACTCCAGCCTGGGTGCCAGAGCGAGATCCTGTCTCAAACAAACACAAAAACCAATCAATCAATTCTGCAGCGAACACCAACTGAGTGTCCTCTAATTCGATTACATTCTTCCTTTTTTTTTTTAACATTAAAAATAAAAAATAAAGACGAGGTTTCTCCATGTTAGCCAGGCTGGTCTTGAACTCCTGGCCTCAAGTGATCCACCTGCCTTGGCCTCCTGAAGTGCTGAGATTACAGATGTGAACCATCGCATGAGGCCCTTAATTCAATGAAATTCTGACACTATCTGGAGACAGTTTCAGATCCCACAGGTTGAGGGCTCAGTCCCATAAGACTGTCCCTCGCTTCCGATGCCAATTGCAAACTCATGGTTCTTTTACCTGATTCTGAACATCTGGGTATAAATCAGGGTTCCCACGAACCCCTCCTTAGGTTTGATTAATTTTTAGAGCAGGCTGGGTGCCGGAGCTCATGCCTGTAATCCCAGCATTTTGGGAGGCCGAGGCGGGCGGGTCACCTGAGGTCAGGAGTTCAGCCTGGCCAACATGGTGAAACCCCATCTCTACTAAAAATACAAAAATTGGCCTGGCGTGGTGGCTCACGCCTGTAATCCCAGCACTTGGGAGGCCGAGGCAGGTGGATCACCTGAGGTCAGGAGTTTGAAATCAGCCTGACCAACATGGAGAAACTCTGTCTCTACTAAGAATACAAAATTAGCCAGGCATAGTGGCATATGCCTGTAATCCCAGCCACTTGGGAGGCTGAAGCAGGAGAATCCCTTGAACCGGGAGGCAGAGGTTGCAGTGAGCCAAGATTGCGCCATTGCACTCTAGCCTGGGCGACAAGAGCGAAACTCCATCTCAAATAAATAAATAAATAAAAATACAAAAATTAGCAGGGCACGGTAGCGCATGTCTGTAATCCCAGCTACTCAGGAGGCTGAGGCAGGAGAATTGCTTGAACCCGGGAGGCAGAGGTTGCAGTGAGCCAAGATCGCGCCACTGCACTCCAGCCTAGGTGACAGAGCGAGACTCCGTCTCAAAAAAAAAAAAAAAAAAAAATTTGCTAGAGCAGCTCACATAACTCAAGGAAATCGGTTTGCTGGTTTATTATAAAAGATGTCGCAAAGGATGAAGAGATGCACAGGGCGAGGCACGCAGGAAGAAAGGCGGAACCTCCACGTCCTCTCCAGGTTCACCAGTGCTGATGCTCCATCACTAACTAAAGCCCCTAGTTTACATGAGGCTTCGCTGCTTGCGTTGCACATTCTGTGAGTTTTGAGAAATGGACAATGACATGTACCCACCCTTATAGTCGCATACAGAATAATAGTTTCCCTGCCCTAAAAATCTAGTGCTTTACCTGTTCATCTCTCTCTCCCTCTCCCCAATTTCCAGCAACCACTGGATCATAGTGTCTCCATAGTTTTACCTTTTCCAGAATGTCACCGCTGGAGTCATACAGAATGGGGCCTTTTCAGATTGGCTTTTTTCACGTAGCATTATGCATTTACATTTCCTCCCCGTCCTTTCATAGCTTGATGGCTCATTTCTTTTTAATCACTGAATAATATTCCATTGTATGAATGTATCATAGTTTGTCTAATTTGTAGTTTGTCTAATTTTTGTCTTGTTTTTGAAATAGGAAAAAAGTCCTTCATTTAGAAAGGAAACAAAGTTGGTCAGGAGTGGTGGCTCATGCCTGTAATCCTAGCACTTTGGGAGGCTGAGGTGGGCAGGTCACCTGAGGTCAGGAGTTCGAGACCAGCCTGGCCAACATGGCAAAACACCTTCTCTACTAAAAATTAGCTGGGCGTGGTGGTGCATGCCTGTAATCACAGCTACTCGCGAGGCTGAGGCAGGAGAATCGCTTGAATTGGGAGGCGGAGATTGCATTGAGCCAAGATTACACCACTGCACTCCAGCCTGGGCAACAGAGTGAGACTCCATCTCAAAAAAACAGTTTTGCAGGGAGAGGAGGCATTGAATGCCGGCGCTGGGGCCACCTGGTGAGGTGGGGAAGTGAGTAGAGCAGGACATTCCATGGGAGGGGGCGAGGCGCCAGGCTGCCTGGCGGAGGGGGCTGCAGAAGGATGATGGCCACAGGAGGTGCTTAGCTGGAGCCCTGGGTCCTGGGAGATAGGGCGGGGGTGGGACAGGTGCAGGAGCCGCTGGGATCTGATGTCCCTTCATGTTGACCTGTGTCTTGAGGGATTTCCTGTCTAGCTTGTGGATGGTCAAATCACCCCTTTTGGCCCCATCCTGGCAGCTGCGGTCTGGGAAGCTAGACAGAGCTATCCTTTTATCCATAAGCTGCTCACATTTCCCAGGAGGCCAGGGGCTCAGAGCTGGGATCTTTAGCACCTTCCGGGCCAAACCGGCAGTCTGCCAGGTTGCCACTGGTGCCAGGGCCTAAGTCACCAGCTGCGACAGCCCCTTTGACACCACTGCATTCCCAGGGCTGGGGTAGCTGCCGGAGAGGGGGCTGTTAAGCTCCCCCCAGTCTCGGTTCTGAGACCCTCAGATCTCATGACTGAATAGGGCCTTAAAGGTCATCTGGCCTACCCTTGGGTCTACCACTGGCATCTCAGCAAATCCCCTAACAGGTGACCTTCCGGGCTCTGCTTCTTCACCTGCAGCGCCTGAGCCAGCCACTCCATTTTTAGACAGCTCAAATGGTCCGGGAGCTTTTCTTAAACCTAAAGCCTCATCACTGTAACTTCTACCCAGAGGTGCTAGTTCCACACACAAGGCCATTTTCCATGATTGATCATTTAGATATTTGAAACCATTCCTCTGGCACTGTTCCCTTCTCAGGGCTAGAGGGGTTCAGGGCCTCAGCTGTGCTGTGGGTGGTACTGGTGGGGTGCCTCCGAGACCTCAGATCTTCCGCTGGATCACTGAGCAGAAGCCCCTGGAGAGGTAGCTGACACCCCCTCCCCACTTCTGGAGAATTGGGTGTAGCTTTTCCCACCTGGGTTAGTGCTGGGACCCATGATTTCCCAGGCATGACTTCTCGTCTGCACCATGCTGAGCAGCCCGCCCTTTCCACACTGATGACCCATTTTCCAACAGGGAAGGCAATTTGTCTGCCTGTGTTAATCTCACATCAATTGCCTCTTGTTCTTTTATGCTCTGATCATCAATTAAAAGATACAGTACTGCCCTTGGTGGTTTTTGCAAGCCTCAGCTCATTCTGGACTGGCATCTTAGCAACAGTTGTCCTAGAGAGTCAGCCTAGGATTGGTGTGGTGCCTTTTTTCGAACTTTTTTCCATGATTTGGTTGACCCGTCACCACCTTAGCATGCCCTTGACCTGGGAGGGGACAGTCTGACCATTAGCTGTGGCTCACCAGTGACCCAGAGCTGGAGGCAGTTCTCCCCTTATTTTGGACTCTAGCCACCTGTCGTGTGTGGACCACCCAGAGCCCACCCAAGGTGGGGGGTCGAGAGGGGTTCCCTGATGGGCAAAGTAGGCCATGCCTTCCACTCTCGGGACTGCCCATCTCCTCTGTGGGGTCCCTCTCTTTACCACCTGACACTTTGGGTCCCACCGCTTCTCCTCCTGCTTAGTGTGCACCCTGCCACATATCAGGGAAGTGGGGATCCTATCAGGCCTCATAGGCATGTACTTTTTTATTTTTTATTTTTTTGAGACAGAGTCTTGCTTTGTCACCCAGGCTGGAGTGCAGTGGCGGGATCTCAGCTCACTGCAGCCTCTGCCTCCCAGGTTCAAGTGATTCTCCTGCCTCAGCCTCTCAAGTAGCTGGGAGTACAGATGCAAGCTACTACACCTGACTAATTTTTGTATTTTTAGTAGAGACGGGGTCTCACCATGTTGGCCAGGCTGGTTTTGAACTCCTGACCTCAGGTGATCCACCCGCTTCGGCCTCCCAAAGTGCTGGGATTACAGGCATGAGCCACCGTGCCTGGCCAGGCATGTACTTTTCTGACTTGAGCTCATGGAAATGTTTCCCTGTGCCAAGTGGGGCTCTCATTCATTTGCTGTCAGGCTGAGCTTGCCTAGATGGTAGGGGCTAAAGCACCTGCAGGCTCTCACCTACCTGCAGGCTCTATGCTGACTCAGGACATGCGGAGGGGTAGATGGAGCCTGGGGGGTGGAGCAAAAGGCAGACTCTCCCTGAATAAGAGGCCTGTCAGCCAACAATGCCCTGGTGCCGGTACTAATGGAGCCAGTTCGGAGAGCAGGAACCCAGGCCCTGCTTTAGAGCAAGAGCCAAGCATTGAAATCAAGCATACCACTGTGTAAGTTTTTGTACTTACTAATTAATTTATTATTTTATTTTATTTCTTTGAGGCGGAGTCTCGCTGTCGCCCAGGCTGGAGTGCAGTGGCGCGATCTCAGCTCACTGCAACCTCTGCCTCCTGGGTTCACGCGATTCTCCTGCCTCAGCCTCCCTAGTAGCTGGGACTACAGGCACGTGCCACCATGCCTGGCTAATTTTTTGTGTTTTTAGTAGAGACAGCGTTTCACCAGGTTAGTCAGGATGGTCTCGATCTTCTGACCTCGTGATCCACCCACCTTGGCCTCCCAAAGTGCTGGGATTACAGGCGTGTACCACCGTGCCTGGCTGTACTTTAATTTAATGTAATTCACTTATTTGTTTAGAGATGGGGTCTTGATCTGTTGCCCAGGCTGGAGTGCAGGGGCTTGATCATAGCTCACTGCAGCCTCAAATTCCTGGGCTCAAACAATCTTCCCACCTCAGCCTCCTGAGTAGCTGGGACTACAGCCACACGCCACTATGCCTGGCTAATTTTAATAAAATTTCTAAGAGATGGGGTCTTGCTATGTTGCCCAGGGTGGTCTCAAACTCCTGGGCTCAAGTGATCCTCCTGTCTCGGCCTCCAGAGGAGTTGGGATTACAGGCAGGAGCCAAGGGGTCCAACTTGAACTTTTATTTTAAAATAATTTTAGACTTACACAAGAGTTGCTAAGATAGTACATAGAGTTCCAAAGTACCCTTCACCCTGCTTCCCCTAATGTTACCACTTTACCTAAATATGGCACATTGATCAAAACTAAGAAATTAGCATTGGTACACTACAGCTAACTAAACTTCAGACTTTATTCCGATTTCCCTGGTGGACCTTCTTCTGTTCCAGAATCCTATCCAAGATTCCAGATCATAGTCATCAGGTCTCCTCACTCATCTGTGACAGCTTCTAGGTCTTTGCTTGTCTTTTATGACATTCATACTTTTGAATAGTGCTGGTCAGGTATTTTGGCATTTTGTAGAATGTCCCTTGGTGTGGGTATGTCTGACATTGTCTCATGAGTAGACTAAGGTTATGGATTCGGGGGAAGAAGACTTCACAGGTGACTGCCTCTCTCAGCACATTCTCCCGAGGCATGCCGTGCCAGCGTGCCTCACTGATGCTGTTGACTCTGACCACTTGGCGAAGGTGGTGTCTGCCAGTTTCCTCCACTATTAAATTACTGCTTTTCCCTTTCTGCTCTCATTCATTAGAAGCAAGTCACCAATCCAGCAGCACATATTTTTTTTTATTATTGTACTTTAAGTTCTAGGGTACATGTGCACAACGTGCAGTTTTGTTACATATATATACATGTGCCATGTTGGTGTGCTGCACCCATTAACTCGTCATTTACATTAGGTATATCTCCTAATGGTATCCCTCCCCTCTCCCCTCACCCCACGACAGGCCCTGGTGTGTGATGTTCCCCTTCCTGTGTCCAAGTGTTCTCATTGTTCAATTCCCACCTATGAGTGAGAACATGCGGTGTTTGGTTTTCTGTCCTTGTGATAGTTTGCTGAGAATGATGGTTTCCAGCTTCATCCATGTCCCTACAAAGGACATGAACTCATCCTTTTTTATGGCTCCAGCAGCACATATTTAAGGGGAGGGGAATTAAGCTCCCTCCCCTGGAATGAGGAATATCAAATATTTGTAAACATACATTCAAACCATCACCGTAATTAGAAATATTTTCAGGGGAGATACTCGGAGGCTATGGGAAATATCCTGTTTCTCCTTGAAGTCTTACTCACTATTTTTAGCATTCATTTGCAGATCTTGCCTGTAACATTTATTAATAAGGTGTTCTGGCTGGGCACAGTGGCTCAGGCCTGTGATCCCAGCACTTTGGAAGGCCAAAGCGGCTGGATCACCTGAGACTGGGAATTCGAGACCAGCCTGGCCAACATGGTGAAACCTGGTCTTTACTAAAAAACACACACAAATTAGCCAGGCATGGTGGTGTGCACCTGTAATCCCAGCTATTTGGGAGGCTGAGGCAGGAGAATCGCTTGAGTCTGGGAGGCGAAAGTTGCAGTGAGCCGAGATTGTGCCACTGCACTCCAGCCTGGGCAACAGAGTGAGACTCCCTCTCAAAAATAAACAAACAAACAAATAAATAAATAAATAAATAAGGTGTTCTGAGCCAGGTGTGGTGGCATGCACCTAGTCCCAGCTACTCAGGAGGCTGAGGCTGGAGGATCCCATTAAACCAAGAATCTGAGGCTATAGTGTGCTATAATCACGCCTGGAATAGCCACTGCACTCCAGCCTGGGCAACATAGTGAGACCCCTGTCTCTTAAAAAAAAAAAAGTCCATACTTTATTCAGATTTCCTTAGTTATTACCTGATGTCCTTTTTCTGCTCCAGGGTCCCATCCAGATACCACATGACACCCGGTTGTCCTGTCTTCGGAGGCTCCTCCTGGCTGGGACAGCTTCTCAGACTTTCCTTGCTGCGATGGCTGCTCAAGCTTTGAGGAGTACAGTCAGTGTTCTATAGAACGTCTCTCTCGCTACTGAAATTCGTCTAATGTTTTTCTCATGATTAGACTGGGGTTGGGCATGTTTAGAAAGAAGACCACAGAAGTAAAGTGCCTCCCTCATCACACCGTGTCAAGGGTACACACCACCACGTGACTTCTCCCTGTCGCTGCTGACCTGGCCACCTGGCTGAGGCAGGATTGCTCAGCTTCCTCCATTCTCAGCTTTACACTTGTGATCTCCTTTCCACGCTGCACTCGCTGGAAGGGAGTCACTGTATGCAGCCAACACTGAAGGAATGAAGTTATTCCACACAGGATTTAGAATGCTCCACAGACGATTTTTCTGCTCTTCCTATTTATTTTACATCAGTACGCATTCAAAGACACTTATTTTATCCTTTGGGCTATAATCCAATACCACTTTTTACTTTGTTGCTCAATTGTTTCAGCTTTGGCCATTTGGCACTTTCAGGTGGCTTCTGCGTCCCTTTGACATGTCCCATCAATGTGGTTTCTTTGCTTGTTTTTGTTTTTAGCACTTTTTTTGGGCGGGGGGGCGGGACAGAGTCTCACTCTGTGGCCCAGGCTGGAGTGCAGAGGCGCAATCTCGGTCACTGTAACCTCGCTGCCTCCCAGGTTCAAGCGATTCTTCTGTCTCAGCCTCTGGAGTAGCTGGGATTACAGGCACGTGCCACCTACACCCAGCTAATTTTTGTATTTTTAGTAGAGACGGGGTTTCACCATGTTGGCCAGGCTGGTCTCGAGCTCCTGGCTTCAGGTGATCTGCCCACCTTGGCCTCCCAAAGTGCTGGGATTACAGGAGTGAGCCACTGCGCTGGGCCTTGTTCTTAGCACTCCTTAACTTTCCGGCTCTATAAAATGCTCCAGGCTTATCTTATATTTTTCCTGCCCAGCCCTATAATCAGCTCTTTCACCAAGGAGTCTGGTTCCTTGTATTGGATAACTGTATTTAGAAATCAAGATCTAGGGCCAGGTGCGGTGGCTCATGCCTGTAATCCCAGCATGTTGGGAAGCTGAGGTGGGCAGATCACCTGAGCTCAGGAGTTCAAGACCAGCCTGGGTAACATGGCAAAATGCCATCTCTACAAAAAATACAAAAATCAGCCAGGCATGGTGGCATGTGCTTGTAGTTTCAGCTACTTGGGAGGCTGCGGCAGGAGAATCACTTGAGTCCAGGAAGCAGAGGTTGCAGTGAGCCAAAATCACGCCACTGCACTCCAGCCTGGGCGACAGCGAGAGAGACCCCGTCTCAAGATCTGGGTGTAAGGTGTACTCATTGCTACTGGGTGTCACTGCCTCTAGTCTGTCTCAGAGGACAAATCTAGGGAATATGTCTACCTATATTAACCCCCATATACCCACATATCTATATGTCTGTATCTATCTGTGTGTGTGTGTCTATTAAACATGATTGTAGGCTACGTTCTACTCTAATCCAGCATTACATGGTTCATTCTAGTCTCATGCAGTTTTGAAGGCTGTGATGGTGGTAGTTAATGTTGTAGGTTGCTGGGAGGCTACAGTAAACGGCAATTATCCCTGATGACTTCAGAGTCTTTCATCTCCACGTACCCTTGACCTGGCAGGCATTTTGCTGCTTGACACTGGACTCATCAAGATGAGCTGATGTGCTGCCAGAATGACCCTTCTGCGCCCAAGCTCATCCTGGATCCGCCCTGAGGCTGCAAGTGATGTCAACTAAGCAGAAACAGAGCCGGGACTAGGAAATCGGGTCTGGGCTGTTAGCACCTGCACCTGCACTGGGCTGCCCTGTGATTGTTGAGGCACCAGGAAAAGGCTAGGAAGTCCATGTGGTTAGGCCTAAGATGAAATGACAGGGTCTCTTGCATTTAATTCATGCTCCTTACTTCAGTGGAAAGCTTAACAGGGACATAAGTTAGGACAGCAATTTATAACTGCAGCTGACACTGGAATCATGAGTGCCGGGTCCAGACCCTGCCGATTATAAGGCACCATCGGGACTAAGCTGTGCTGAGCTAAGCGATGGTGATGGCGGGCTTTAACCCTGGCTTTGGTCTTCCTTTGAGCTTCAACACATCATCATCCTGGGAGACATCCCGGACCCATACCTCCCTGCCTTCGTGGTTCCTTGGCCTAAAGCATCCGGCCTACCAGCCATCCTCTCCCGTGCTTGTCCTCTGGCCTTTGCCATCACCTGAAGTTGCTTTTTCTGGAATCACTTTCCTTCTAGTCATCTTCTTCTCTGACTCTTATGCTACCTGCTGTTTGCCTCACTAGGGCCCCCAGAACCCCTAACCCTCCCTGTTACACTGCCATAACCTCCCTCACCTGCTGAGGCCCCTTGGCCAATCACTTCAGGTACCGTGACTGGGGCCTTCTCCAGCTTGTGCCCTCTGTCTCCAGCCCACCAGCTCTGCCAATTCCTGAACCTGGGGATCCAGACTGGATTAGTTCCTTCCTGGTTTGAGCCACCAATCCATGCCCTCGGCACTCCCCGAGCATCCTTGTGTGCAGGTGTAGTGGGTTTCCATCTCCCCACCCCCTGCCCTATGGCTCTTTCAAACCTTTAGTCTTCTCTATAAATAGATCCAGGTTTTACAGGAAAGGGCTTTCAAGTATGAGTCAGTCTCCAGAAGCCATAAAAAGAAAGACTGATTCATTCAGATACATAGCAACAAGACTTTGGATGCAAAAACATGTTGGGCAAAACAAGACAAGCTTGGAAAGAACACTTGCAGTGCTGCTGGTCAGTGATTTCAAGGAGAGCAAATAAAATCACCTGACACCCCAGCAGACCAGAGCAAAGGACTGTCCATAGAAGATAATGCTCATTAGACGGAGGACAGAACTAAGCAAATCAGCAATTCATGGCCAGAATCCTCATTCACCCAGTCCAGAGGGACAAGAGACAGTGGAGCTGGACAGGTCATCAGTCCCCACCAGCAGGAGGCAGCTGGAACTCCTCCCACTAGGAGGAGAGGCAAAATGCTTGCATCACCTTCTTGGTACCTGGGCTGCTTATATCCTGGAGGCTCCAAAATAACTTATATAGGCAGCCACTTTAGAGCCAAGCTTGCCTGCAGAACAACAGGTTTTCCTGTTCAGATACAACTCATCTTTGACTCTCTCGCCCACCCTCAGCCACCAGCACGGTAAAGGCCTCATCCTATAACATTGGGTAAGCCATCCGGGACTCCTCATTTGATTGTGTTGGTTCCTGCTCTGGTCAAGCTCATATTACAAACAAAGGGATAATCTCCTTAATATATAAAATACTCCCGTTAGTCAATAAGAAAAAGACCACCAACTCAATAGAAAAATTGTCAAGTTACGAACAGAAAACCCAACACAAATTGTCCTTAAATATATGAAAAGAAACTCAATTTCACTCATAAAAAGAATGACATTGAAATATCATTTTTTACCTATCGGATTAGCACAAATCTAAATTTTATAATATATTCTCTTTGTGGAGCTGAGATAAAACACATGCATTGCTGGTGAGAGCGTAACCTGGGGAGCAATTTGGCAATATTTATCAAATCAAATATCATGTACTCTTTGACCCAGCATATATGTATATATATGAGGAGATTTATTATGGGAATTGGCTCAGGTGATTACGGAGGCTGAGAAGTCCCACCATCTGCCGCCTGCAAGCTGGAGGGCCTGGGAAATGCAGTCTGAGTCTTAAAGCCTGAGAACCAGGATCGAGAACCAGGAGCTCCAGTGTTGGAGGGCAGGAGAAGATGGATATCCCAGCTCAAGAAGACAAAGCAAGTTTGCCCCTACTCTGCCTTTTTGTTCTGTTCAGCTCTTAATGGATGGATGATGCCCACCTACACTGGTGAGGGTGAATCTTCACTTAGTCTATCAACTCCGATCTTCATCTTCTCCAGAAACATCCTCACAGACACACCCAGAAATCGTGTTTTACCAGCTATGTGGTCATTCCTTGGCCCAGTCAAGTTAACACATGAAATTAACCATCACACAGCCCAACAATTCCAGTTCTAGAACTGATCCTACAAATGCAAAATGATGGGTATATATACCAAGCCATTCACTTCTTTCAGCAAAATACTGGAAACAATCGAAATGTTCATGAAATCAGTAGATGGGGCCAGGCACAAAGGGGAACCCCTGTAACCCTAGCTACTTGGGAGACTGAGGTAGGAATATTGCTAGAGCCTGGGAGTTCAATGCTGTCGTGCACGATGGTCATGCCCGTGAATAGCCACTGTACTCCAGCCTGGGCAACATTAGCGAGACCTCAATCTCATCTCTTAAGAAAAATTAGGTTACAAAAAGATGGTACATCCATATACTCTCCCATACAACTTTTAAATCTTTTCTTCTCTTCTTCTTTTTTTTTTGAGACAGAGTTTCTGTCTTGTTGCCCAGGCTGGAGTGCAATGGCGGGACCTTGGCTCACTGCAACCTCTGCCTCCTGGGTTCAAGCGATTCTCCTGCCTCAGTCTCCTGAGTAGCTAGGATTACAGGTGTGCACCATCATGCCCAGCTAATTTTTGTATTTTTTTAGTAGAGATGGGGTTTCACCATGAACAGGCCAGGCTGGTCTCGAACTCCTGACCTAGTGATCTGCCCACCTCGGCCTCCTAAAGTGCTGGGATTACAGGTGTGAGCCACCACGCACGGCTCTTCTCTTCTTTAACAGGACAGAATACATTTCAGCTCCAAAACCAGCATTGTCTTTAATGGGGACTCCTAGAGGCATTCCCACCAAGTTAGGAACAAGACAGCACGCCCACTGTTACCAGCGTAAATCAACAATGTACCGGAGGTGCTAACCCACACAATAAGGTAAGGCAAAGAAAACAGAGATAGGAAAGTTGGAAAGGAGAAAGTAAAACCTTCATAATTTGAAGATAATAAGATTATAAAGCCAGGCATGGTGGCTCGCACCCGTAATCCCAGCTCTTTGGGAGGCTGAGGTGGGAGGATTACGTGAGTGCAGGAGGTTCCAGACCAGCCTGGGCGACATAGTGAGACTTCATCTCTACAAAAAATACAAAATTAGCTGAGTGTGGTGGTGTGCGCTTGTAATCCCAGCTACTCCAGAGGCTGAAGTGGGAGGATCCCTTAAACCCAAGAGGTGGAGACTGCAGTGAGCCAAGGTGCTACCACTGTACTGCAGCCTGGGGGACAGAGCAAGACTATGTTAAAAAAAAAAATACACACACACACACACACACACACACACACACACACACCCCTGGCAAATGCAAGCAAACGATCTGTGAAATGCTACAAATAGCAATAATTTATTAATTATCAGTGAACAAAACTCAATCATAGAGGTCAGTAGCTCTCACATTCCCGCTTTAGGATGATGGGGTACCAGTAAGACCAGGGACCTCCATAAACATGAGCCTGAGGGAAGAACATGTAATTTCCCTCTACCTTCCTAAGTTGATAGCTGGAACAAGCCTTCTGTGACAAAAGATAGATTAACAAGAGAAAAGCCATTTTTATGTTAATGCGCACAGTTTACATCTTGTGGGAGGAGCCTCAGTTCAAAGGTGTAGCTCTCAAGGAAGTGGCTTGAAGCTCTGCCTTAAATAGTATTTTATCAAAAAGCCGTAATTTTTTTTTTTTTTTTTTTTGAGACGGAGTCTCTCTCTGTGGCCCAGGCTGGAGTGCAGTGGCGCGATCTCGGCTCACTGCAAGCTCCGCCTCCCGGGTTCATGCCATTCTCCTGCCTCAGCCTCCCGAGTAGCTGGGACTACAGGCGCCCGCCACCGCACCCGGCTAATTTTTTTGTATTTTTAGTAGAGACGGGGTTTCACTGTATTAGCCAGGATGGTCTCGATCTCCTGACCTCGTGATCCGCCCACCTCAGCCTCCAAAAGTCCTGGGATTACAGGCTTGAGCCACAGCGCCCGGTGAAAAGCCATAAATCTTGGAGTGGTGACACGACAAAGGAGAGTCTTGCGAAGGCAGGAAAACTCTGGGAAGGGAGTAAAGTTAGCTCCCAAATTTCCCTGGTCCCATTGGCACCATCTCTGAGTTGATGAGCAAGTTGTTTGAGGAAATTTTCCATCTCTGGTTTTACACAGGAAAGCTGGAGGGGAGGTAGAAGGATCTCGTCTTTGTGAATTGCTGTCCTGCCATCGGGCAAGCAGAGGGAAAGGCTGAGTGCCCCCCTGCATTTAGCCTTCTTCAGCCCAACAATCACAGTGTTTTATTATTTATTTATTTGTTAATTAATTTGTTAATTAATTTATTCATTTAGAAATGGAGTCTCACTCTGTAGCCCAGGCTGGAGTGCAGTGGCACGATCTTGGCTACTGCAACCTCTGCCTCCTGGGTTCAGGTGATTCTCCTGCCTCAGCCTCCCAAGTAGTTGGGATTACAGGCATGAGCCATCACGCCCGGCTAATTTTTGTATTTTTAGTAGAGCTTGGCTACGTTGGCCAGGCTGGTTTCAAATGTCTGAGCTCAGGTGATCCGCCTGCCTCGGTCTCCCAAAGTGCTGGGATTACAGGTGTGAGCTACCGCGCCTGGCCGGCAGTATTTTAATTAGTTTATTTATGTAGTGTTTTACGCTTATGTAATACTCAGTATTTTAGAGAGAAATATTTAGGTTTCCTTCAAGCCCACTGCTGCACTTCATTTGCTGTGAAATGAGTTCTTCAGCGAGAGGCAGTGCTGGATGGAACAGCACACGATGACTAAGGCATTTTATAAATCTGCTTTTGGCAGGAATTTCTCCGCAGCCAGCATCCATGCCAGGCCTGTTCAGAGATGAGGGAGGTGTGGCCCCTGCCTTCCTGGAACCTATCCCAGCAGCCAGAACAGACAAGGACACCTGCAGTTCCAGTCTCTTGGGCCTAGTGCTGTGGGAAAATAGGAGGTGCCCATGATTAGGGCAGGAGGGGACCAGGGGCTGCCTGGAAGAGGCAATATGTGAAGGGTGGTGGAGGTGGGCAGGGTGAAGGGTGGAGTGAGGGCCTTCTACAGCAGGGAATGAATGGCATGACAGCAGGGGACAAGGATGTATCTGCGGAACCCCGGGAAATCTAGTCAAAACTGATGTGGCAGGGCTTTCAATGAAGAAGCACGTGAGGTCCTTCAACAGTGCCAGGCTCAATGGCGTGAGCACGACATGGGCTGGGGCTGGTGAGGATGTTGCAGGGGGCAGGAGCACATTGATTAGATGTGGGGAAGATACTAGGGATGTGTGTGTGTGAAGTTGTCCAAGGAGGCCAGGGCATAGGTCCAGGGGCAGTAATGAAGGAGGGTCTCTCCAAGATCATAGTCCTGACCTGGGCTGCCCATTAGAACCTCCCAAGAAGCACTGTGCTAAGTTGAGGAGCAGGGTCTCCTCTGAGGGCCACTGGCCATTCTGTCACATAGGAGGGACCAGCCACCTGTCCTCTGTAAAAGGGTCTTGGACATCACTCGGAGATAAAGTGGGAACTGGTCAGGAGACAGAGGTGTGTGTGCGCCTGTGGGTGGGACGGGAGTGAGCTGAGGTGAACCTGCAGCAGAACTGATGACAGCAAAGGAGCCTGGCAGTGAGTCAGCCAGGGTGGCTGGAGCCAGGGCATGGTGGGCACTGCGAGCCAGAGAGCATGGGGTGGGAGGCTGGACCTCCAAACCCTTCCAGGAGCCTGGTGCTGGGTGGTGCCCGGCCAGCCCGGCCACAGATGAGCTCAGCCTCTGCAGGGGCTCTTACCATGTTCTGGAAGCATCCTGATGGGGGTCGGGGGGCTAGGACCCTGCAAAGAGCACACGAGGCCACAGGGCAGGGCTCTGGCTCTTGGGTCAACGTTAACAGTCCTCTTGTCAGGGACAGGAGGAAAGTCACCTGGAGGGGGATGTTGGATTAACCTACCTGCCTTCTTGGGCTCACAGGGGACAAGGCCTTGATGCCCCTCTCTCTGTCCATTCAGGGTCCTGACTGAAAGGGTGGAGGATGGCAGGTAGAAGGTGCTCTGAGCATTCCTCCCCTGCCTCCTCACAGAGACGTCAAGGTAGAGGGCAGGCCCTGGTGTGAAATACTATTGTCTATGTTTAGTACAAGGAAGAGGCTGGGTGAGATGGAGAAAGGGAAGTTTTGCTCTCAGCGTGGGAGTTTTACTTCCCATACAGTTCACGGAGAGGGTCTGACTGGGCCCGCTGGACAAATGTGGAGAGAATAATTTGGGCAGAGCCAGGAATGGCAGCATGTGCCTATAATCCCCGCGACTCAGCAGGCTGATGCCAGAGGATCACTCAAATACAGCCTGCGCTACACACCAAGACCTCACCTTAAATTTTTTTTTTAAATGAGGCCAGGCACAGTGCCTCATGCCTGTATGTAACCCCAGCTTTGGGAGCTTGAGGCAGGAGAATCACTTGAGGCCAGGAGTTCAAGTTCAAGACCAGTCTGGGGAACAATGCAAAACCCCGCCAGGGACCTCCATAAACAATGCAAAAAAAAAAAAAAAAAAAAAAAAAAGGCGGGGGTTGGTGCAGAGGGACTTTAAGGAAGTCTGGTTGTGGAAATAGGGAACAGAGACGCCTGGAACCTACATGCCATGATTTAGGGTAAGGCCAATACTCAGGCCAGGAGGAGGGTGTGGGATTAGGGGAAAGGACAGAAAATGTCACCTTGCTGGCAAATCCCTGTGCCCTCTTGGCCATTCCCAGAGCCCCAGGGGGAGCTGCCTTGCTCATGGCTCTTGATCCTCCTTGGCCAGTGGGGTGGGGCCTCTGATCTACTAGGATCACACTGCAGCAGCAAGAGTCATTTTGGAGCTACCGGCCCTCATCTGTTCCGAAGCCCTCTTTCCCAACAATCAAAATAATGACTTGCAGACTAGGTGAGCTATAATCTATCAGTGTGGCAGGCTTAAGAGCTCTGGAATTCTAAGTCAAGTCCCATCTCTGCCCTTACATGGTGAGTGACTTTCTGTGTTAACCTCTGCCTGTTTCTTCATTTGTGAAATGGGGAACCCACAGGGCTCTTGTGAGATTTAAATGAAATATGCATGTAATTTTAGTGTCTAGCAGTTTTCAATAAATGGTACACTTTACTACATACGATACTACTCTCACCCATAGGCAACATCTCCAGCATGAAGCCCACTGGCCTCATGTCTGTACTTCTGGAGTCCAGGTGAGCAAAGGTCACCTGCCCACTGGACTTGGCCCACATGGACTACACCTGAGCCACCAATCCTCTTGGAGGCCTTCTTGCCTCTATTTGCTGCATTCCTTCTTCTCCCCTTTGGACTGCGAGCTCCTCAAGGGAACAGCCTATAGCTTCCTATTCATCTCCCACTCACCCGACCTGCCACACTGGCCAGCCCACTGGATGGGAGGTAACAGTGTGCTGGACATTCTGAGGGCTGCAGGGGCCTCCTGTGGACCCTGCTCTCTTGCAGGTGACCCATCAGTGCGCTGTACTTCTACAAATTGTTGGAATGGAGACTTTTTTTTTTTTCTAAGTTATTTGAGTCAAAACGATCTTGACGGGAAGCTGTTAGAGGTCTCATGGAAATAGGCCTGGAGGACAGGATTTGGCTGAGGCTTTCAACTGACATCAGACAAGACTGCAATCAAGGGAAAGCAGACCTGGGGCCCACGGGCAATCACATGGGATGAGAAATACCAAAGAATGTGACCATCCAGGTAGCCGGGGGACACAGCTCCAAAAAAGTGAGAGTGGTGCTGGATTAGCTCCATTGGAGGAACTGGAGGTTCCATTGGATGGTGCTGGATTAGTTCCATTGCCGTTTGGCAAACCAGGTAAATAATGCATATTCTATATGTGAATTTGCGTTTCCTGCTTCTCCCAGCATGATCACCCGTGGACTAATGGAATGCCTTATTCACCAGCATGTATTCAATATTGCTTTTAATCAAGAAACAAATTTCACAGCAAAGAAAGTGAGGCAATGGGCTTGTGACCAGGTAATCACAGTCATACCACGTATCTCAGCAGGAGGAAGCAGCTGGACAAACATTAGAGTGAAACGGCCTCGTGAAGACTCCGTTACAGCACCACTTGGGAGACAACTTTTGGGTGCTGCCCCCAAGGTTCTGCTTTGCATGTGTTGTCTCTCCTATAACCAGGATTCACGGGTCCAGGAATCAAGGGATAGAAGTAGGAGTGGTTCCTCTCACCTGTCCCCTCAACTGGAGTTCTACTGGTTTGGAGGGCTTGGTTTTTACAGGAGGAATGCTTCCGGGGAACACAAGACAACAGCTCACTGAATTGTACATTGAGGCTCACCTGCTGTTTTGGGCCCTTCTGGGCACTGAACCAACAAGCAAATAAGGGGTTTACTGACTCGGGTGTATTACCAAGGGGAAACAAATGCTGCTGCATACTAGGGGCAGGGAGAACTGTCTAGAATCCATACTTTTCTGAGGTCCCTCTTACAAATAGCAAAAACGAAAGACTGTAACAAAGGAAGGACAACTAATTCAGACACCCTAGGAATAAAGGTTTGGATCAACCATACCAAAAAAAGAATCCTGACCAGCGGAGATCCTGGGTGAGGGCAAAGGAAATACAGAATAGGCAGTGGAAAAGAAAGTGATACATAACTACAGCCTCATGATCATTACAGATGATACATAATCTTTTTTTTTTTTTTTTTGAGACGAAGTCTCACTCTGTCGCCCAGGCTGGAGTACAGTGGCGCTATCTCAGCTCACTGCAACCTCCTCCTCCTGGGTTCAGACGATTCTCCTGCCTCAGCCTCCTGAGCAGCTGGGACTACTGGCGCGCGCCACCACGCCCACCTAATTTTTGTATTTTTAGTACAGATGGGGGTTTCACCATATTGGCCAGGCTGGTCTCGAACTCCTAACCTCATGATCCACCCACCTCGGCCTCCCAAAGTGCTGGGATTACAGGCGAGAGCCACCGTGCCCGGCTGATGTACATATTCTTGCTTGTTATGTGCACAATTTTCTTCTCTCATTATTTCATGCAATTTTTGCTGGAAGTAAACTTTACCCTTTAGTGTTTAGGTACCATTCTCTTGTTCTGTATTCTATTCAGATGGGATTGAAACTGAATTAGAAGAGTCAACACAGCTCAGAGATTGACAGTGACTGGTGAGCTTTACATGTCCTCATTTTTGAGAGAGGGTAACAGCTTCCAATTAATTACATCTCCTTGGGCACAAAGAATTGCTTTTGTGGTGGGACAGAAGTTCAAAGGTGTAGAAGGCTGTGTGCAGATGCTGAGTGGCTAACAGGGGCTGTGCCAGTTAGGAAGCTCGTCTCTCAGTTCCACACCCGCTCTTTTTAGCTCTGCTTTTGTGATACCAGCGACAGAACTCTGCAAACATCTCTGCTTCGCAGCTGGCATCCTGTTGGATTTTTCCAGTAGAGGGAAGCTTCCATGCTGCAGGAAGAAGGGGCGTGCTCCTTCCCGTTCCTGTCAGCACTGCTGCAGCAGTTTGCTCTCACAGCTGCATGTGATCCCAGCTGCCATTTCTGACCTGCTCAGAACCAGCTTCATGATGGGCTCAAAGACCCAGGACCAGGTGAGCAACACCCATCCTTAGAGCACTTCTGGAAGTTGCTACTTCCTTAATTCTTGTGTGGGTTTTTTGCTTTTTTGGTTACTGTGTCAGTAATTCTTTTTATCATATTGTTGAAATAACTGGAATGGTTTCTGTCTCCTATTTGGACCATGACTGATAGACAGAGAGAGGAGATTTCTATCTACAGAAACTAAGTCTCAAGACTGTATTGTTTTAAATCCTTTGTCAACAATAACTGAGGCTCAGCAAAGCCTCTTTCTCCCTCAGTGTTTCATGTGGGCACCAACCGTCGGCATGCCCCATGTGTCCCTCTTTAGGCTAAGATACTTAATATAACTAAAACATTCCAAGCTTAGGCTGAGTGATTTCTTACAGTAAAATCAAATTCTTTAAACTTTCTTCTATTCCAATATTCCTTATCCCAAGTTAAGGAGCGTTACCAACTATATTTTGATAATAAAAATGTAAACTGAGTTGTGGCAATGATTAATATCAATTAGAGAATATTTTCACAATAAATTTGTGTCATTGAGATTGACATTGCCTGGACTATTCCACATATTTTGTTTTGGAATGCAGTTAAGATTGGGACTTATACACTGTAGGGTAGAATGAGTAACAGTACCCCCGGTTCCCTTGTATTGACAAGTCCACGACCTGGTTCTTGCTGATATTTTCAATTTATTACTGCAGTAGATAATTGCTCTGAAAGTGCAACACTAAATCACTCTTGTCATAGCCTCTGCTCCGTTTCCACTGGCAAATACTTGGAAATTCATTCTTCGAGCATTGTGGACCACAAGCTTCTCTCTGGGTGGAAAATTATTGCCACTGCCAGTATCATAGGGAACACACACACACACACACACACACACGAACAGAAGGATTCAAAAAGCAGACACTGGAGAGGAGTAGGGGCCAATTTCAAACAGAAAACCCAGTAAAGGGCTGGAGAGGAGTAGGGGCCAATTTCAAACAGAAAACCCAGCAAAGGAGTTAGAGGAGAACAGCTCCAACTGTGCAAAGTGGAGACCGACTCTCCACTCTCCAGTGGCAACCTCACATTCTGGTACTGTGCAAAGCGGAGACCGACTCTTCACTCTCCTCACATTCTGGTTACGTTGGCCCTGGTAGACCTTTATCCCTTTGCCTCTGTAACGGTGATACCATAATCATAACCGTGCCACATCTCAGCATATCAGAGGCCCATGGAGTAAAAATAGATGAAAAGACCTCTCAAGCTAGTTTGGAAAAATAGAGGGTTTAGATAAACTGACTATTTAATCTCCTACTTAAACCTGTTAGGCAGAATATCTGGGAGAACACTGGGCGTAAGATGCTGCCTAACAGGCATAACCCCTTGCTCTAACCAGCCTAGGGCCAGTATGTTTTTGATGGAAAAGACAACTGTCAAATACTACAACGACAAAAAGGAAGGGAAAACATGAGCAGCTCTAGAAAACGTAAGATTCAAAACTCTGAACAACAACAACAACAACAACAAAACTATGGACAACACACCTAGCCAGGAGGCCTGACCACTCACTCACTCCTAAGCACACTCTACACATACACACTGACTTTCCCACACACACAACAGTCAGGTAGATGCCCAAAGGAGGGCAAATCCAAATATCTGCTCTCTTTGGAATTTTCACGGCAAATCTGAATTTAGGCAAAAGTGAAGACCTCCCTGGGGTCTTCAAAGACAGCCTTTGCTCTCCATGTAGCCAATGGTGCTCTTATATTTGCCGAGCCCTTCACAACTGTCTGGACACCAGAATGCACTCTTCATATTCCTGGAGTTTAAATCACTGCTAGATCTTCTTATCTGATCTAACTTGCCCTGTAATAGAAGCACCTCCCTTTTGGCCCCTGTACTCCCCGTTCTTTCAGAAAAAAAGCATCCCCAAAACAGTGGTAATTAGAGGGTGTTCAGGAATGGAAAAGTAGGAAGAGTGTAGTACAAATACAATAAGGAAATGCCTGTTACTCTCATATGATTTCTCTGAGACCAGGTGGCCAAGGATCCCCTAGTCTTCCACATATGTTTTAAAGAGAGGCCTTAATTTAAGGTACTGCAGTCTTTGCTCACAAGAGCCAAGTAAGACGGTGCTACTTGGAGGTTGCTATAGGACTCTGACGCTATTTATTTGAATCCTAGGTGCTCTTGTGACTTCTCTGACTTCAGTCCTTCTGGAGTCAGATCACCCAGCTTCTCTGATGAGTGACTGGTCATTTTTAAAGCATGCCTGCAGCAGTCTTCAAGAGGTTTCTGCCTGGGCATCACAATCAGCACACATTTGCTCATACACATACCAGGTGATGAGGACTCAACCACTGCAGACAGGCAGAGCCATGCAAATAAAGCCATCCAGCAAGGTCACCTTTTCCTCAGATGCCCCAGTTTCAGGATGATAGAATTTGCATATTAAGTGTTAATAGGCCTGGCAATAACCAGCTTTTGCTTCCCTTCCTCAATGAGGGACATGCCAGAAACAGACTTGCACACAGGCTCTGCTCATATGGGAAACAGGCCTGACACACAGGGTCTGCTCATATGGGAAAATGATTTCAGTCACAGTCCTTAGCTCCAAATTCTGTACTTGGAACCTAGATTATAATCTAGCTCCTAATCAAACTAGATTCTGCTCCAGTTCAGTTTACTAAGGCATTCCCTCTAAGCTGCCTCAGTGAAACCAGTGAGAGCCACTGGATTACAATTCTAAGTGCAGCTGTGCCTAAGAAGGAGAGAGTCCCACAGGAGAGGAGACCGGAGGGCATAAGGCAGGGGATGATACAAAATCCTGGACAGTCATCACATCAGTAACACAGCTTCAGAAAGTGGTGGGCTTGGAGGAGGGGAGAGAAAGAAACAAAATGTCCCAATAATTTAATGGCAGAGCTAGAAGAGAGCATTTACAGCTATTTTGGGACTCTCCAACAGAACACTTTTCCTGGATGCACAGACATTCATAATACTGGTAACTCTCATCAACAGCTCTGGCATGTACACGTGGCCACGGTACCCTTCGTACAACACGGGAAGAGAACAACAGGACGCCCAAGAGGCATCTGGACAGCACACAGCAAACAGAAAGGCTGAACGCCCCCCCATGGAACCCCATTAAAAAACAATGTTTGTCTATTACAAAGTCACGTTTTCCGTTTTTCCGCTTTATAAAGTCAGCGATGCTGGAGGGTGTCTAGCGGAATCCGTCCTCCAGGAATGAGTGCAAAAGGAGAGCGCACGGCTCAGGGACGTCCCTTCAGTGAGCAATGGAAGGACTGGCTGGAGGCCTCCCATCCATTTCGGACAAACACACACATACAGAAAAGGATTATTGCCAGCTTGTGTACTCTCACAATGTGATTTTTGTATTTCGAAAGCTTGAATTGTCCCTGAAAGAAAAAAATGGGAGAAAATAGAGTGTTCAATACAAGGATCATCTATACAGAAGCACACATATACAGGGGGATGCTGACTCATCAGCCCTCGGGGTCTCCATGACATATCCCGGGGCCTTCTTCACTTGCCAATCTAATGCCAAAACGGCAACCCACCTCCCAAGTCCCTTGCAAAACTTCCAGTCAATTTTTTGCAACAGCAAAAGATTAGAAACAATTCAAATGCCGATCAAGAGAGGACCGGTTAAATATTAATGCTAGGGCACATTCGTAGAAATAAAACAAGGAAGCTCTCTACTACTGTGGAAAGGGTTCCAAGATAAACTGATAGCTTAAGGTGTAGTGTGTACACACGGTATACTACCTTCTGTGTAAATGGGGGTAGGGAAACAAGGTTATAGGTTCATACTTGCTCATATATACATTATGAAACTTTGCAAGGCTACACAGGAAACCAACAACAGTGGTTACATGGGGCAGTGGAGGTGGAAGGGGCACACTAGAAACTGGGCAGATGGAGGAAGCCTGAGAAGGAGATGTTCTCTCTCCCCCCCTTTCTTTTTATCTAACACACACTTTTGAAAACATTGTATGATTCACCTGGTCTTATATGAACAAAAAACCAACCAACCAACAAACCAACCAACCAAATAAGAATCCTCAGTTTAAAACTTAGAGCTGCTTACAGAAGGAAAGGATATTCCAGGAAGTAAAATCTGGGTACCTTTCACTTTACTTTAGAAACATGGCTCTAATTCTTGAAAGTGTGTGTGTGTGTGTGTGTGTGTGTGTGTGTGTGTGTGTGTGTGTGTGGTATGTATGTGGGGGATCCCAATATGTGTCCTCTTAGTTGCCTTTTATTGGATGCAGACAGGCTTGACCAGCCACTAGTGACTTTTCCTGTCCCACCCTAGAAATCTAATGACATCCTAGCAGGTCCTGTCACCATCTGAGTCTCAACATTTCAGGCTGGCAGGGACTTTAAGGCTGCTGCCCTTGCCCAGTGCTGTGGACTTCAATTTGTCAGAAAATTTTACCTGGATTCTGGAGTCATTATTTCTCTTTGATTTTAAAGGGACATTCTAGAAGCTCTGGCTTTAACTGACCTAGTATCTCACTATGTTGCCCAGGTTGGTCTTGAACTCTTGAGCTCAAGTGACCCTCCTGTCATGGTCTCCCAAAATGCTGGGATTACAAGCTCAGCCTGACCTATCTTAAAATTGTTATAATTAATGGGACATATGGCAATTGGTTCAGAGTAAATATGTGCTAAGGAAAGAATATGCTCAGCCCAGCCAAACAGCAGTTTCTTTCTGTTACTGGCTAACAGATCCTCCTCCATGATGGCGGTCAGCTGACAGTGACCAACAGCCCCCGACTACACAAAGAGAATGACTGCAGACAAGAACTGAGAAGAAAAACTGGAGCTGGTATAGGTGAACTCAGGCTGGGAATAAACTGATGTTATCTCAAAAGTCCACTGGTATTTTATAGCTGGCATGCATGACCATGTGGTTCATTTATCAATGGCTACTTAGCACTTCAACTATCTTCAACTAAAGAGCTGAAGGTTGAAAACAAAGTTAATAGGGTGGTCATCTTTTTAAAAGGCTAATGGTATTTTTAAAAAATTCTTTTCAAAAGGATAGACCCCTCTGAGATGCCACAAGTAGCTAGCAAAGGATAAGGAACATATCTGATCATAACACAGAGAAAAGCAAGCATAACTGGTGTGTGTGTGTGTGTGTGTGTGTGTGTGTGTGTGTGTGTGTGTATTTCTGAGTTCTCTTAGGGAAAATATGCTGTGTTACAGAGATGCATTACAAAAGACACTTTTTTTGTACCTACACTTAATACTAAAGAAAGTGATTTCACAGGAACAGATGGCTCTGTTCCATTTCTTCCCTTTTACAGGCACGTCTATGCCCACCTAATCATTGGACACCACAAGTCTATCAGGAGGGATTCTGCTCTTCTTATTAAAAGAAACTAGAAAGGCAGGGATATGGGAAGGTAGGAGCAGAGAATTTGCTGACTTGGGCAATTATCTATCTTGGAGTAAAGGAGATGGCAGGCAAGTGTCTGGCCCCAACTCTTTCAGCTGTTTAGTGACGGAAAAAGGATTTTCAGGGTAATCATTACCATAAGCAGGTCATCTTATCTTTTGGAAGAATTTCTCTATTGTACTAGGTGGGCCAGAAATAAATTCTTTCTCTGTAGCAGATAAACTGGAGAGCTCTAAAAACACTTTCTCATTCAGATTTTTTTTTTTTTTTGAGATGGAGTGTCACCAGGTTGTAGTGCAGTGGCACAATCTCAGCTCACTGCATCCTCCGCCTCCTGGGTTCAAGCGATTCTCCTGCCTCAGCCTCCCAAGTAGCTGGAACTACAGGCGTGCACCACCACGCCCAGCTAATTTTTGTATTTTTAGTAGAGACAGGGTTTCACCATGTTGGCCAGGATGGTCTCGATCTCTTGACCTCATGATCCGCCCACCTCAGACTCCCAAAGTGCTGGGATTACAGGCGTGAGCCACCGTGCCCAGCCTCATTCAGATACTTAATATTTTTGTTAATATAGACCACTTTATAGTCAGAAAACCTAAGAAATCATATTCTAAAGTCCACTTGCAAAGTGAAAAGGGGGAGGAGAAGAGTAAAGGAAAAGCCAGGAGAATCCAGCTGAGTTTTTCCAGTTTGATTTAAGAGGAAAACAGAACAGCAAATGGGGGTGGCCTGCTCCTGACAGTGACAGACTAACACAGGCTGGTGGCAGTGATGCCCTATGGCTTTGGTCCAGCCTTCTTTAAAAAAGTGGGTTGAGAACAGCTTGATGCCAAATTTGGTCTGAGGAATGTGTTCACCTCAAGCCAGCTGGGAAGTGATACTCCATCACATCCCTCACCCTAGGCTCAGCGCAGAGAGATTAGGAGGCAGAGAAAGGGAGAATGTAGAAAGGAAGGGGCAGAGGCCACAGGCGACCCCTTAAAAAACAATGTGCTTCTGTTCTTTTAAAAGCAAACTAAAATTTAGCAAATCCACAGTGAGTTCCTGAAAGCTAGCCCTCTAGCAATCTGGCAAAGCTGTGACAGCAAATGGGCTATGCTTAGGACACCAAAGAGGACACAGAAGCTGACAGTCCCACAATGCTGGAAGAAAAAAAAAGAATTATTTCTCTACCAGATGTTCCTTTGTCCTGATGATGTCTCAGAAATATCCGAGAGCCCCATTCAGACTGGCTTCCAACTTCACATTCCCAGGTATCTTGGGGAAAATCGTTGTCCAAATACTCTGAAACAGCTTTCCAATCTGCTCTACCTTAAAATGGTCATCTTTTAGTACTTTTAGAGAAATGGACAAGTTCCAACTCTGAAAACAATGAACTACGGCAGAGATTAACTCCTGAAAATGGATGACAGGGGGGCAAAGTGGTCATTCAGAATGTCCTCCCCTCTCTTGGGAGTTAACTGCCACTGTGCTGGTGCCTGGCAAAGGCACCTGAGTGATTCTGGGTTCTCAAGTGAAAGCTGGGAGTCATCCAAGGAGGAAGGCTACCTATGTCTCTGCTCTGAAGATTGGCTCTGAGGGGTCCCGTAGACCTAAGTGCACATGGTCTTCAGGAGAACATTCTTTGGCCATTAGCTGTACACCCCAGGCCAGTTCTGGCTTCCTCTTCTCTCCCTGCATATTCAGTAAAGCTGCAAACTCTTTCTAGTTTCAGTGAGGCAAATTCCAGTCTCTCGTCTTCAACTTTATTTTATTCCAACTTCATTTCCCAACAATACAGACTCACTGCTCTGTGTATACCAGCCTAGACAGCTGAGTAATCAGAATCCTTTCCTATCAGCTCACTGAGAGTTTTACTGAAGTCATAGTTAAAAGGGCAACACTTATTTCCAACAGGAGTCAAATGAAATTGTCCTAAAATACTAACAGTCACAGGTAATGACATAAAATAGCAGATAAATTGAGGAAAAATATTTGTGATTCATGAAGAATTATTTAAATAGCAGTTTCTCTGCCAAATTTCTTCATAGATCACAATCTATTTGGAGGAAAAAGAAAAGGGAGAGAGGGCTAAAATGTTAAGGGGCCTCTAAAATGGCAGACCCAACAAACGTAAGCCAGGGATGCATATCTTCTCGAACATCTCTTTCACTTACAGCGAGGTTAAATCAATAGAAATGCGACATGAAGTCCTTTTCAAGTCTATTAAGACAATGAAGTGAGTGGATTTTTTGTTGTTGCTGTGTAAATTCATTTTTCCCCCCTACTTTCAGAATAATTTTTGGTTTAAATTCAAACACTCTTCACGGACTTCCAAGCCTGTGCTTTAAGGAAAATACCTGAACCACGAGTGTTCTCTTCGTCTGCCTCCCACACTGTATAAAAAAAGACACGGGGGCCACAAAGAGACCACAAAATGGCAATTATGCAAATATATGACTTTTTACGGCAATTCAAAGATATTTTTCCTAGGGGATTAAATCTGCCAAGAGGGGTGGGAGTTATTTTGAGTTTTCTTCCATTCTGACTATTCCGCTTTCATTTTAAAGACTTTTCACTGAACCTCAGATGCCATCAATTTTTAAAGGTACATCATTTTATGTACTTTAAGAAGTAAACACTGCCCATTAAACTATGACAAAACCTTTTAAAATCACATTCACTGTAAGCATCCCCAGTTTTTTTTTTTGAGATGGAGTCTCGCTCTGTTGCCAGGCTGGAGTACAGTGGCATGATCTTGGCTCACTGCAACCTCCGCCTCCTGAGTTCAAGCGATTCTCCTGCCTCAGCCTCCCAAGTAGCTGGGACAACAGGTGTGTGCCACCACGCCCAGCTAATTTTTGTATTTTTAGTAGAGACGGGGTTTCACCATGTTGGCCAGGATGGTCTCGATCTCTTGACCTCGTGATCTGCCCGCCTTGGCCTCCCAAAGTGCTGGGATTACAGGCGTGAGCCACTGCGCCCAGCAAAGCACCCCAATTTTAAGAATATTAAAAGGCTTACAGAAGGAACAGGATTGAAAAAAAATATTAAAAGCCAAAAAAATCTTAGAAATAACTAAATATGGTAGTATTTTAAAAACAGCTCCATTATAGCACCTGGCTTCTGAAAATTTAACTTAATATCTTATTTCAAATATTTACTATTTTTTAGCCTAAAAATCAATGATTTATCTACTATTAAAGCTGGTACCTTTTTCCTCCCTCTTTGTGTATACTAGCAGCACTCCTGGAATTCTATGTTGACTATATATACAGACACTTATATATATGCACACATACACAGACATATATTTAGAAACAAGGGTCTTACTATATTGCCCAGGCTGGCCTTGAACTCCTGGGCTCAAGTGATCCTCCCACCACAGCCTCCAAGTAGCTGGGACAATAGGCGTGTGCCATGATACCAGGCACTAATGTTGACTATATCTTAAAGAGAATCATTTTAAATTTTAAGCCACCAGAAGACTGAATTTATAATAAAGAAATCAAACTATCAAAACAAAAAAGGTATGGGTGGCATCACTTGTGTGTGCAGGAACTCTGCAACTGTGTTTTATCTGTATATCATACCTACACCCCTGAGCTCTCAGGCCCTGGCCACCTGCTGCTGTCCCTCAGAGTGTCATCTTGTCTCTTCTAGCCCACGGGAGGGATGCAGGTCTCCTTTTCTGGAAAACGCTCGTCTCCTTCTAGGGAAGGGGGAATTTTGAGGTAGCTACTACAGTTGACATGTTCTGTTCCAATTTTACAACTACTCTATTTCTTAGGGATGTTAGTGGCAGGGGTAGTTTGATGTCCAGGAAAAGGCTGTCATCTCTAGCTCATGCAGACATTGGCCTTTCATCCATTCCTCTCATTCAGAATAAATTTACCCAGCTCCCTCTGCTACAGAGACAAACATGGACTTGATACTCTCTTAACTGAAATACAAATATTCCCAAAGTCAATGCTTTAGTTGGCCCAGTCTTTGTACCTCAGTGCCTCTCCCTACTAGTACAGTTGTGCTGGTCTAGTGAAAGTACAGCTTGGAACAACTGCTACTCACACAGTCCTGAAATCCAGCCCCGTTACTGACATTGCTGAAACGCTGAATTTATATTACTGTTTCCTCACAACTGACACATGACACCAGCAAACAGGAGACATACCTCTCATGTAACTCATGTTGGGGCCTGTGGAACTGCCCTTTTACTCACAGGACATTGCCAGATGGCTTAAAAATGGCCACATTTGAGCAAAAAGAAAAAGCATCTGTGGCACATTTACCATCATGAAATGTTAGCATCAAAAGAGATCTCAGAGACTTGTTCATCCATGGAGCCTCATTTTCCAGATGAGAAAATAGGGGCATAATAAGGTGACGTAGCCTGCTCAGGGGTTCACCAGGAGACATGGGACCCAGGGAGGATGAGAATCCAGTGGTTTGGGACTTATATTTTTCTCTGAGGCTCAATGTTGGTAGAGGCAAGTTTGGGGGTAAATGGGAAGAGGGGTCCTATGGATGAGAGGTATGTCACAGGGTTACAGAGAAGATAGACAAGGCCCTACCCTGAGTGTGAGAGACAGAGGGGGAGCGTCCGATCAGCGGCCGCTGCTGTTCACCAGGCCATGAAACTCCTCCCAGGCCCTGGCAAACCAGAGACAAAAAACACAATAGCACATTCAGATCAAAAGCTTTTGAACACAGAGAGCAGACACAATAACCCCACATCCCCCTTCAGATGCCCTCCAAGCCGAGTGGAGCCACAGGTACCTGGGAGCAGAGCAGCGAGGTCCCACTGGACTTTCCTTTCCGAGGAGCAGAGCAGCCTACCCTTTCAGGGCCAGCGGGCACTTCTGCTTGCTTCACTTGAGAAGTCTGCCCCTGTTCCCTCAAGGATTTGCACCAGTGTTCCTTCAACAAGGCTCCAGGGGAGGCCAGTAAGGTCAGAGCTGATGCTCAACTGTCACCAAAAACACTTCCAATTTACAGTGGCACTCCCTGTACTTTCTGCCTTGCCTATGTGTGCACAGGTGGTAGAAACAATTTTTCTTCATCAGGCCTCACTGAGGGTAAAGGCCAGTTTCCAACAGCATTATGATGTCTAAAGATGCAAGGAGGAAAGTATACACTTTCTCTGTTTTCATATTTCCGACCTTCTAACCCTTCTACACTCAGACCTTCAATGTGTCAGGTTCCACCTGTTTCTTAAGTGCTTATGTAACTACTATCTGAAAATTTAAAGTCACGGCAGTTCAAAATTTCCAGGGAACAATGCCCATTACAATTTTCATGCTGACTAGCTTAACTATGAAATTAGGGTTGGGAAGGGATAAGAAATGTGACAGAAGTGGTACGTGGCCTTTCGCTTACAGAGAAAAGACTCTTGGTGACTGCTGGACTAGTCACAGGAGAAAATCAGACCCCCTATGCTTCTGGAGGCTCAAACTCAAGTTTTCTCAGGGGAGCTGATTTCCTACCTAAGCCCTAGCCACTTTTCAGCCCCAAAATGAGGAGTTCCTTGGGAATTATATATAAAATATGGTGCTTCTAAGTCTGAAGTTCCTCATTATTGTTACTCCATTCTTGGTTTAATTTGGTGACACAGTACCCAGGGTGACAATACACTACATTTATGAGTTAACCATTTACCTCTTAGAGGAGGTAGACCTGCAGTTCATGGCTTCTTCAGAGAATTATTACCAAAGCTCCTAGTGTATGTGCTAACTAAATTAAGGAAAAATGTAAGAATGCCAAACAAGTGTGCCAGTCTTTGTCAATTCCCAAACTCAGTGTCCACAGCAAGACACCTGTTTCAGAGCTCTTTCTGGAAAGATGGTGATGTGATGTGCTTTGTGAATCCCTGAGTGACATCAGAAGGCAATTTGACTCTTTACTCCAAATGAAGACAAGGGCAAAGCAAAATCCAATGCTTTGGCAATGACCCAGGGAAACCCCTCACTGTAATGCTGAGATTTAAATTCCTTTTTAAACCACTTAGGTGTCAACAAGAAATTACATGGCTGTGTTGAAGCTTCATGTCATTTATCCTTTTATTTCCAGGAAGGGCCATCCTTACACTAGCCTACACCGAGCAGTTCTCTCTGTCAAGAACCTGAAGAAATATGGACTTCACAGCTCCCTCCTACTCCATTCCAGTATTACATTCCCCTCCCAGTTTCTTCATTAGTCTCTTCACTATATGTTAAACCTCAACATGAAGAACCTGGGTTAAGAAATTTCCTCACAGCCGGGCACCATGGCTCACGCCTGTAATCACTTCGGGAGGCTGAGGCAGGCGGAACACCTGAGTTCAGGAGTTCGAGACCAGCCTGGCAAACATGGTGAAACCCCGTCTCTACTAAAAATACAAAAAATTAGCCAAGCATGGTGGCGGGCACCTGTAATCCCAGCTACTCGGGAGGCTGAGGCAAGAGAATCGCTTGAACCCAGGAGGCAGAGGTTGCAGTGAGCAGAGATCGCGCCACTGCACTCCAGCCTGGGTGACAGAGTGAGACTCCATCTCAGAAAAACAAAACAAAACAAAACAAAAAAAGAAATTTCTTCACATGGAATCAGTGGAAATAAAATAGTGGGCCATAATCTTTGGTATAATCACTCTTATTCTCATAGGCCCACAGCTCGGCCAAGAGGCAAATCTACCACCTAAAACTAGGTGTGAATAGTCTAGCTATTTTCCATCTGGCATTCCAGGCATACTGGGTAATATTAAAACTTCCTTCTTTTAAAGGTAAAGAAAGAACAAGTTAAATGTAAGAAGTGTCATGACTGGAGTTTCTAAAAACAGAAAAAATTAATTAGAGGTTAATATAGGCAACAAGGAATTCTGAACAGATTCAAAAGACAGAGGAACAAAGAGCTCTTTTAAGACCACTCTTGGCCCATCTCACGTACCAGAAAGCAAATCCTGTGCAATTCTACACTTCCCCCTACCTCTACCCAAAGGCTGCAAGGTTCATAGCCTTGCGCTCACTGCTCTCTATACTTAGGGAGGGGCTCAGCCTCCTGCTAATCTGGGCTCTCTTCGCTTTGCCTACCAGTTCGGTGGTACATATCACAGATGCAAAGCCAGGCCAGCAATTAAGCTGGGGTAACCTGGTGCTACTGGACTATGATTTAGCCATGCCAGGAGAAGGGAATGGGTTGGTCCTTGCCTATAAAAGTTCAGTGTTGAAATACAATGATATCTAGATGTGGGAAAGCCTCCACAATTTGACCTGTCTCTTCTCTGAGATAAAGGAATAAAGAGAATCACCCACCCTCCACTCCTGCAGAGAAGCCGGGCCAGTCTTTCCCAGTGCTGTAGCCCACTATGGGAATTTGGCCTGTTTTCCTTTTCCATTCCAGGCTAGATGCACAAAAGGAATCAGTGGGACTAATCCAAAGAGGAGTTTCTTCACAAAAGACATTGCTGTTTCATATGGCTCCGAGCCCAGTTTTATCCTGGTAGCCCCACGATTCTGACTGTATTATGAGATTTCTCCTCAAAGCAGAGAATATGGGGAACCCACATCTATGAAAACTCGACTACAAGTTGGCCTCATTAAAAGGAGCTATGACCTGAGCAAGAACTCAGTTTAACAAGTTGTCCACGTCTTAGGGGTGAATGAACTGTCAGCAATAAACAAGAGCAGGAGCCCTCTGCAGCACAGCAGCTCATCACCCGCCTGCTCTGTGCGGCAGGCAGTGCCTTGTAGCACACTGAGGGGAACAGCAGGAAAAGGCCACAAGCAGTGTGACTGGGGAAAGGCTGGAAAAACCCAACGGTTGAAGAAGGACATTGGGAACTGGGCCAAAAATAGCAAGCAGGAATCAGGAACACCTGACTGAAAAATCTAAGCTACTCTTAAAAAACTCCCCTCACCACCAGCAGCCCTATCTCCAGAGTACTCGGAGGAAAACAAATGTTGGCTCCTTCTTCCTTCATTTTCCTTGGAATTCTTTGTTTTTTGAGATGGAGTTTTGCTCTTGTTGCTCAGGCTGGAGTGCAGTGGTGCAATCTCAGCCCCCTGCAACCTCCACCTCCTGGGTTCAAGCAATTCTCCTGCCTCAGCCTCCCCGAGCAGCTGAGATTATAGGCACCTGCCACTATGCCCGGCTAATTTTGTATTTTTGGTAGAGATGGGGTTTCACCATGTTGGCCAGGCTGGTCTCCTGACCTTGTGATCTGCCCACCTCGAGCTCCCAAAGTGCTAGGATTACAGGCGTGAGCCACCTCGCCCGGCCTCCTTGGAATTCTTAAGTCTCAGTAGCAGCTGTTCCTTGGCTCAAACCAAGTCATATCCATGGAAGAGCCACAAGGAATAGAAGAAAGCAGAAATAGTTCTGACTTTTGTTCATATTGACAAGGATCAGAAGGGTCTCAAGGTCAGTTTGGTGCTTCTAATCAACTCTTACTCTGGGAGGTGACATCAAGCCTATCCCCTGGAGCAGTTACAATACAGCTGAAATTAAAGTTAATGTATGTAACAATTTTTGAAGGCAAGAGGGAAAGAGCCAGAGAAGGTAATTCTTTGACAAATACTAAAAACGTAGAGAATGGGCCTTTCCATATTCCAGCAAATCTCTCATTTTATAGGTACTTCAACCAATTTTGGATATGTAATAAACAAAGATGCAATGACACAAACACCCCTAGAATACTGAGCCCACAGTGCTAATCCTAATAGGTGTTATGCAGGATCTTGGGCCACATGGAGATCAGAGGTAAGTCAGGATGGTACAAGCACAGGGTATCACTGCCAAAGTGGAACAGCCACTCTGGAAAACTCAACCTTAAGTCCACAGACACTTTCACAGATCCTCTCAGGCAGGCTGACCCAGTGTTTGCAAAAAAATGATTGTTTATTATGTTTTTGGTGGTAGCTCCTAAGAAAACCTAAAGTAGCATGAGGCTTGCTGAAACTCTACATGCAGGTTAGGGGCCTAAAGGCCAAGCTGCAGCACATACAAGCCAAAGCCACAAAGCACACAAGGGGTCCGTACGTGCTACGGTCAGATATCCTACAGAGCAAACTCACACGGGATGAAGACGTTTCCCCTACCCCAGATCCTGATGTGCAGTAACACCGGGCCCAGGAGAAAGGGAAGGGCTGTAACCCTGAGATCTTGCAAGCAGGGCTGACTCAAAGAGGAAGATGACCTGGCTCTAAAGGGAAAGCAGAAGGGAGAAGGCTGGAAAAGAGCTGTGGCTTGGGCAGCTTTGGCACCAGCGAGAAAACCCCATTAGCACAAAGCAAGGAAGCTATATACACACAGCCACACAGACAGAAGCAGGGATTTACCTCCAAGCAAGAGATTTCTTTGAAGTAAAGGCGAATGGAAGTCAGCGAAGCAAAGGCCAAGGATCCCCCTTTCCAACCTGAACAGACTTTCAAGCTGAATTCTATATCAGAAATCACTCTGTTCTGGTCATCGGTGTGACTAGATGGGAACTCAAATTTAAGTACCAGAAAATGGGGTCTTATTTTCTAAGCTAGATGTCACCTTATTATGTCAGGCCTCAGCAGTCCTGGAACAAAATACCACATGACACTACACAATGGGCTTATGGAAATGAGGCTGCATTCCCCGGATGGCCCTCCATGGAAAAGTCTGTGCCATCCCTTAATATGGTGACAGTCAGTCCGAAAGGCCACATCTTTGATGCACCATAAAGAGCAAGAGCATGAGACAAGCTAGTTTAGCACCATTTATTAAGTGATCTCAGCTGTTGTTGTAGCTGCTGCGTGTCAGCCTGTTCTTAAAACATAAAATGCTCTTCCAATTCCTCTTGTCCAGGACAGAAGGATCTTCCAGGTAGCACGCCAACAGAACAAGAGACTCCGATGACGCCAGCTTCAATGATGGTGCCATCCAGAGAGGGAGAGGGTCATGGCACATTCAACCGCGGCTTCCAGAGGTTTTGAAAAAGGAGCCTTTGGGGGCCCAGCCTGCCTGGCATTCTAGTGGAAGTGCAAAAGGTTGGCTCATTGGGAGAGGAAAGAGAGGGGGACGCAAGGGAAAGTAGCATCTGGGTCTCAAAGAGGGTTGGTCTTCTGGTCTCTACAGCTACAGGGCTGAAGTCCCAGAGGCAGACCTCTGGATAAAGCAGAGAGCAGCAGGCCAGTCTTTCTAGCAGACTAAGGCAAAAAGCCCACAGGCTCTCCTAAACTCTGTAAGGACGTGTACATATGTTTCTGTAAAAGTCACGAAGAACTGCCTTATGGTATTAGAAAGGGAGAAGAGCAGAGAAGGGGAGAATTGATGAAAAATACCTCTTTCCCTCTCCTATCCAGGTAAAAAGCTTATTTTGGGGGTAAGTGGGAGTAGGGGATATTCAGAAACCTTGAAAACGAGAATCCTAGAAACAGGTGTAGATCTCTCCAGCCTGGACTGAACGTGGCTAGAAGTCAGAAACTACTTCTATCCCAGAATAGAGAATAAGAAAAATGTGCCCAGAGTAAAGCAATGCTAACACAGGACTGCTAAGGCAAGCAACCACAGCCATGGCTGGCTAATAACTGTTCGTGACTATGATGAGTCATGCCAGCCGTTTGATCATGGACCAACGCCCATAGCAGTGTTCCCACTTAAAAACTGGCACTTAGCTGGTTTAAGCCAACTCCACTCCACATTATCTATGAATGCATGGGAAAGAGATTCCCAAATGGTCTGTCTGCTGAACATAATTGCTGGGCTCACTACTAGCCTTCAATAATAACAACATGATGATATTCTTACTAATGATGATGATGATGATAGCAATACTACTACTTGGCCCCGTAAAAGCATTCTCCATCTGAAGACCCTCAGTTAAAGATTAAATCAGCCTCACAATAGCCTTGTTAGATAAAGTACTGTCTCCCACTTTACAGATGGAGAAACTGAAGCAAAGTTGCAAAGACACTTGTCAAAGGCACATATTGGTATGGGGCCATATGAGAGAACTAAACCTAAGAGTCCTAACTCTTAGCTGGCTAGCTCTCCCTCCAGCTTTGAGACAATCTGACAGCCACTCCCCACACTTTTTCACAATAGCCTGAGCTTACTTCTGACACTCAATCACTGAGGAGCAAGCCTAACAGTGATTCTCACTGTGGACAGAGAGCTCTATTTCCCTGAGTCCTAGGGAGATTGCCAAGCTTATTTTCCCTGTGGCCTTCATGCTTCCCTTTGATTCTGCTCTCTCACACACACACTATCCCCCTTCTTCTAAGAGTCAGCTCTATACACAAGGAAATGGAGTCATTCCTGATAAGTAGTCAGTATCCCAGGACAAAGAAAATAGACTGAAGCTAACAAGTTAAAAAGACATGCAGAAGTGGGGTGAGGGTGGGCAGGGTGAAATTATCTTAAAAAACAGCAAGAAAAAGAAAAGCACTTGTCTTTCATTTTAAGATAGTGGTTAGCATATGAAAGACAAGACAGCCTGTAGAAATTAAGCAAGCCCAGGTAGTACAACTGGGTTTCTGCAGATGGGCTCTCTCTGCTACAAAGCACCTGGTAGTATAGGTGGCAGGGAGCCTCGCTGACAAAGAACTGCAGCAAGTAGCCAGAAGCCCTAGAGGGAAGGCCTGGTCTGTCCCTTCTCCACAAGTAAGTCTCCTGTCCGGCCATATTCCTCTGGGCCCAACTACAGATCTACTTATACTAAGCTTAGGGACACGTCCTCCCATAACCCCCCAACACGTACTTGATGCTGTCGGTGTGAGTTTTGTATTCCATAATGGTGTTGGGAGGTAGGTTAAGCACTCGCCGAAGTGTGTCCCGGATTCGGGCTGTGGTTGCTTGGTCACTGGCAGTCTTATTCCATATTGAAATAATGTCTTCCTACCAGAGGAACAGAAGGAATCATCAAAGCAAATCAGGGGCAGCGAGGAGAGCAAAGGCAACACAAGAAACCAGCCTGGCTCATGGGTGGCTTACCTGAAAGCGGACAGACACCACAGCCCCACAGATCTCCTCCCCAACCATGAACTGTTCCCCCAGCATGGCCAAAATGAGATTCTCCCAGCAACGGGAGGCCAAGCCCTTCCGCAGCCGAATAATCCACTTGCCACCATTTTTATTTGCATCATCCTGTAAAAAGACAGAAAGCACTGAAGTTAAAATATGGTTTCACAGCCTTTTTTTGTATGAAGGCAGTAAAAAGCCAAGAATCTCTTAAACACTAAGAAGTCATATCACTTTCCAATTATTCAACTCTATAGAAAAACTGATGGTAGGACTAGGGAGAGAAGAAATGGGGAAAAAAAGAAAAACAAGGCTGGGATCCTTGGCATAAGCCATTTATTAAAATGGCTAAACAGACCTTTTAAAAATAATCCCCTTTACTGGAAATACTTTAGGAATCAAAACGAAATGATGTCATATTTCAAGCACAGATCATCCGTTTACTTGCTAAAAGTACTGAATGTCTGCTGGGCGCAGTGGCTCACGCCCGTAATCCCAACACTTTGGAAGGCTGAGGTGGGCGAATCACGAGGTGAGGAGATCGAGACCATCCTGGCTGACACGGTGAAACCGCGTCTCTACTAAAAATACAAAAACAAAATTAGCCGGGCATGGTGGTGGGCGCCTGTAGTCCCAGCTACTCGGGAGGCTGAGGCGGGAGAATGGCGTGAACTCGGGAGGCAGAGCTTGCAGGGAGCCGAGATCGTGCCACTGCACTCCCGCCTGGGAAACACAGCAAGACTCCGTCTCAAAAAACAAAACAAAACAAAACAACAACGACGACAAAAAAAAGTACTGACTGTCACTACATACCAAGTACACAGACATGAAGCCCCAATCTAGTTTTTTTTTTTTTCTTTTTTGCGATGGAGTCTCCCGCTGTCACCCAGTCTGGAGTGCAGTGGTGCGATATCGGCTCACTGCCACTTCTGCCTCTTGGGTTCAAGCGATTCTCCTGTCTCTGCCTCCTGGGTAGCTGGGACTACAGGCACATGCCACCACACCCGGCTAATTATTGTATTTTTAGTAGAGACAGGGTTTCACCATATTGGCCAGGCTGGTCTCGAACCCTTGACCTCGTGATCTGTCTGCCTCGGATTCCCAAAGTGCTGGGATTACAGGAGTGAGCCACTGCGCCTGGCTGAAGCCCCAATCTCTACTCAGATCCAGTCCAGTAGAAGAGACAGCCAAGGATATTAATTACAGCAATGATACTATAATTATAAGTGCTGCTGTTAACAGATATGCACACTATGTTAAGGAAGAACAAGATAGTTGGAAACAGTCAAGAAGTGGGTCTTTTTTTTTCTTTTCTTTTTTTGAGATGGAGTCTCGCTCTGTCACCCAGGCTGGAGTGCAGTGGCACAATCTTGGCTCAGTGCAACCTCCACCTCCTGGGTTCAAGTGAGTCTCCTGTCTCAGCCTCCCGAGTAGCTGGGATTACAGGCGCGTGCCACCACACCTGGCTAATTTTTGTATTTTTAGTAGAGACGGGGTTTCACCATGTTGGCCAGGCTGGCCTCAAACTCCTGACCTCAGGTGATCTGTCCACCTCGACCTCCCAAAGTGCTGGGATTACAGGCATGGGCCACCATGCCCTGCCAAGAAGTGGGTCTTAAGGTCAACGGGAGTGAGTCAGGAAAAGCAGCTGAAGGGCACTGCGGGCACTGGGAAGAACATGTCTGTGCATAAACTGACAGGAGGGTCCACCTGCAGGGAAGGGAAGATTTAGAGATGATGGGAGATGAGGCTTGAAAGGTAAATGAGGTGCAAGATCATGTGAGCAATGAGGAGCTGTATAAGATGGGTGGCGTGGATGTGACCACATTTGTCTTCTCGAAAAATGCCATGGCACCAGAATAGAAGATGCACTACACCAGGGCGCAGCCGAATACTGGCTCTGCAAAGTTCTAGGTCTCCAGTTCCTGCCTTTAAACTTATTTTCTTACCCACTTTAATCATATGTGTACTATGTAAAAATATTACACACACGCACAAACAAGTTCTATAAGGATAAAGGTAACTGAAAACAAAAATCCTTTAATGTTCTAATACCATTTTAGTCATAAAACAGTCTTTAAAAAACACCCAGCACCAACCCACACAGACAAAAAATGGCATCAGTGCATTTCTCTAGAGGCTCGGGTTCCAAGGATATACTGGAGAGTGATGCAGTTTTGAGAGACTTTAAAACACTTTTAACCAGCTGGGCACGGTGGCTCACGCCTGTAATCCCAGCATTTTGGGAGTCCAAGGCGGGCGGATCACGAGGTCAGGAGATCGAGACCATCCTGGCTAACACGGTGAAACTCCGTCTCTACTAAAAAACACAAAAAATTAGCCGGGCGCGGTGGTGGGCGCCTGTAGTCCCAGCTACTAGGGAGGCTGAGGCAAGAGAATGGCGTGAACCTGGGAGGCGGAGCTTGCAGTGAGCCGAGATCGCGCCACTGCGCTCAGCCTGGGTGACAGAGCGACACTCCGTCTCAAATAAAATAAAATAAAATAAAATAAAATAAAATACTTTTAACCTTGGCAGGGCTAAGAGACAAAACAAAAAAACCCAAACTTGCTCAAAAAAGCAGTCAGAAGCCATTAGTCCTTACCTCCCACATGGGTTTAATTCCTTCTTTGAAGAGATGGAAGTCACTGTGGCCTGTCAGGTCCCCAGGACGTACCATGTGGCTATAAAACCTCCAGAACTGCTCCACCTGCAGAGAGAAGACCCCAGAGTAAAAAACATGTGTCTTTTACTTTTCTTTGAATGCATCCCAAGGTTGAGATTTAGTTAAGAACATAAGCATGGAAGACACTATACTACAGGCTGTCCTTTTCAGAGGACTCATTTTCATGTGTGGTGTTGTGAGGGAAGACATATTAGAGGAAAAACATACCATCTAGTTTGACAAAATAAAAAATGTAACATTCGCAATTCAAGAATAAAATCTTTGGTGAGAAATGCAAGCCTCAGCCAGGAGCTTTAGTTGGTGAAACCATGTTAATACGCACTCTCCCACTCAAGCTGCAGGGTAGTCATCACATGCAGTAAGAGGACCAGGTTTTTGCACAATGGAAACTCTTTAGCCTTGAGGTATGTAAGTGTCACACAGCCTCAGCCTGAATGCATTTTTTAGAACCAAATCACTTACCGATGAAAGATTGTTTAACTGGCAAATATAGCATTTGCTGAATGAAATACCTCTTAGACCTGTTTAGTTAGTAAGCATAAGTGATAGAATCAACCACATGTAAATACCTCTTAGACCTGTTTAGTTACTAAGCGTAAGTGATAGAATCAACCACATGTACCACACATACCACTCTACATCATGGTGCTGTTGCTAAGTCCAGGCCAATCCAAAATCATACAGGACTTAGCTTCTCATAGCTAGGGTTTAAGGCCCTCTTCTTAGCTAGAAAAATTATGTTTCTCCTTGCCGCTCCTTCACAATCCCGTGAGAAAACTAGATTTATATTTTTCCATCAAGTATATGCTTATTTGTATTCATCACAGTAGTCCTGTTTTTCTCATTAGTGTCACCCCCCCTCCCCTTAAAAAAAAAGAAAAAAAAAAGAGACAGGGTCTACGCAGCAGTATGATCATAGCTCATCACAGCCTCTAACTCCTGGTGTCAAGGGATCCTCCCATCTCAGCCTCCCAAGTAGCTGGGACTACAGGTTCACTAGTGTCTTGATAGGAAAGATTATTTCCTTATTCACAGAGGATACGTAGTAAGTACTGGCCAGTGAAGAGGCACACTTTAGGAGGAAAGAGAAAACACGGAACATTCCAATGAGAAATAGCTGGTATCTGCTAAACTGCTGAGCAGGCTCTAAATCAACATACAGCAAGATACCACAACTGTGGAGCTGACAATGGGTATCGAGTAGACAAAGATTCAGGTCATACTTCTAGATATGGGGAGCACCTAAGGAGAAATCAGCCTTACACTGCGTGAAATGGCTGTCCCTTTAGTTCCTCTCTAGCACAAGCACACGTGATGCATCTTACATGGTAAAAAGAAGTCAGAACTAACGCCATCTATAGGGCTTCAAGGCAGTGCTTTATACTCAGCAACTGCTAAGCTTAGCTGCATGTAGTGACTCGGAATAGTAAATGGTCATATGAATACAATCGGCAATAATGTAAACCTTTATCCACCCTAACATAGTTGAATAAAACCACATATACCCACTAGAACCAAGTACACCCACTAGTGGCTCATTGTGAATAAGGAACTGAAAGGGGCTTGGTGAGGACAAAGTATGTCAACCATCTCCAGTTCCCCAGTCAATAATCGCTTTAACAGTTTGGTCTCCCCAATCTTACAACTACACTGCACAATCTTTTTTTTGTTTGTTTTTTTGAGATGGAGTTTCGCTCTTTTTGTCCAGGCTGGAGTGCAATGGTGCAGCCTGCCTCAGCTCACTGCAACCTCTGCCTTCTGGGTTCAAGTGATTCTCCTGCCTCAGCCTCCCGAGTAGCTGGGACTACAGGCACACACCACCACGCCTGGCTAATTTTTGTATTTTTAGTAGATGGGGTTTCACCATTCACCATGTTAGCCAGGCTGGTCTCGAACTCCTGACCTCAGGTGATCCACCTGCCTTGGCCTTCCAAAGTGTTGTGATTACAGGCGTGAGCCACCGCGCCCAGCCCCACTGCACAATCTTATATGCAAACCATAAGAGAGATGAAGTTAAACAGCTCGAGACTATCATTCATTCATTCATTCATCATTTGAGATGGGGTCTTGCTCTGTTACCCAGGCTGGAGTGCAGCAGTGTGATCATGGCTCACTGCAGCCTCGACTTCCCAGGCTCAAGCAATCCTCCTGCCTCAGCCTCCTGAGTAGCTGGGACCACAAGTGGGCACCACCATGCCCAGCTATTTTTTTACTTTTTTTGTAGAGATGAAGTCTAACACTGTTGCCAGGCTGGTCTTGAAGTCCTGGATTCAAGTGATCCTCCCTCCTTGGCCTCCCTGAGTGCTGGGACTACAGGCATTAGCTACTGTGCCTGGCCTGAGAAATATTATTAAACTTTAAAAGATTTGACAGTTCTAATTGAAACCAAAAAAAAAAATAAGCATTCACAGACTCAGAATATGAGGTGCCGAAAGGACCTCAGAAATCATGTCAGCAACTTGTTTTATAGTTGAGAAAGGTTTCAGGACTGAGTTGCTCTAACCAAGAGGGTCAAGCATCAGAATAGGTGAGCTCTGATTACCAAGTCTAGTGCTCTTTCCATTTCAAGATGATGCCTTCCTAGTCACTCTGACTTCAAGAACTTTTAAATGTTGTTAATGATTAGGCTAAGAATCACTGGGAAACACTGCTTTCAATTTGATAAAAGGATTCATAATGTAATTATTTATCTGTGATGCATTTAATATTGTGAGCCATTTCCTAGTGACCTGAATTACACAACAGACTTTATTTCTATTTTTCAGGTCCAGACCTACAGAGTCAAAATGACAGACTTTAAATACTGTCACACATCCAGTGAGCATGGATGAAGCCTTAACCCAAGATAGTCCTGATGATAAACCACTCCTTAACATATACACTGAAACAAAAGAAAAACCCTCCTCGTACAATTTGGGTAAATTCTTATATGCTTTTTTTTTTCACAAGAGGGAAATAAAAATGCAAGAAGTATGCATAATTACTCCAAAAAAATCTTTTTTTGAGATAAGATCTCACTATGTTGCCCAGGCTGGTTTTGAACTCCTGGCTTCAAGCGATCCTCCCACCTTGGCCTCCCGAAGTGCTGGGATTACAGGCATGAGCTACCAGGCCTGGCCAAATTCTTTAAAATCAATCTTAAACCCATCTCTTCCAAGGCAGTATTCCCCAAACTGGAATCAATTCCTTCTTTCCTCCAAACTCCAAGAGCACTCTAAATGCCTTTCCCATAGTATCACTTACTGTCTTCCCTGTATTAGAAATTCCTGGGCACATCTTATTTCCCCAAGGACAGGATCTGTGCCTTCATTCCTTTTAGAAGCCTACTAGAGCCTTGAATTCATTCAACAAGCATTTATTGAACCAAATATGAACCAGTGCACAAGGTAGTTTATTATTACAAAACCCCTAAGTTTGCTGATTCTAAGATAGCACTGGCAAACTAAACAAGATCTTTGCTTTAGGCTGAAATTTTATCAGCTCAGCATAGTAATGATGTTGATTTCATATTAAGCAGATTATAACTGAGTTGTAAGAGTATTCTAGATACAAGTATTAGATATGATTTGCAATATTTTCTCCCATTTTGTAGGCTATCTTTTCACTTTCTTGATAGCGTCCTTTGAAGCAGAAAAGTTTTGAATTTTGATGAAATCCTATACAGATGGGGTCTCACTATGTTGCCCAGGCTGGTCTCAAACTCTTGAGATCAAGTCATCCTCCTGCCTTGGCCTCCCAAAGTACAAGGATTACAGGCGTGAGCCACCACGCCCAGCCAAGTATTTAATCTTTTGCTGCTTGTGCGTTTAGTGTGTTACTTAAGAAGGCTTTGCCTAACCTAAGGTCATTAGGATTTACTAATATTTTCTTCTAAGAATTTTATAATTTTAGCTCTTACATTTAGGTCTATGATCCATTTTTAGTTACTTTTTGTGTATGGTGTCAGGAAGGAATGCAAATTCATTCTTCTGCACCTGGAAATCCAGTTGTCTCAGCAATGTTTGTTGAAAAGACGATTCTTTCCCCGGTTATTGTCTTGGTACCTTACATTACTGGTTTATTATAAACAAAGGATACGATGAAGAGATGCGTAGGGCAAGGTATGGGGGAAGGTATGGAGGAAGGTTCAGGGAGCTTCTATGTCCCCTCTAGGCGCACCACCCTCCAGGCACCTCCATGTGTTCAGCTATCTGGAAGCTTCTGTACCTGAGTTTCAATTATACTGGCTCCTCGACTTAATCCAGTGAATTATGACTGACTCGAGAATTTAAAAATTTTTTTAGACAGGATCTATCTCTGTTGCCCAGGCTAGAGTGCAGTGGCACAAAAAAGGCTCACTGTAGTCTTAACCTCCTAGGCTCAACTGATCCTCCTGCCTCAGCCTCCTGAGTAGTTGGGACCACAGGTGCATGCCAACATGGCCAGCCTTTTTTTTTTTTTTTTTTTAATGCTCCCGTTTTCTCCAAGCCAGCTAATTTTAAACTTTTTTTGTAGAGGCAGGGTCTCATCACGTTGCCTAGGCTGGTCTCAAACTCCTGGGCTCAAACAATCTTCCCACCTCAGCCTCCCCAAGTGGTGGGATTACAGGCATGAGCCACCGTGCCCCACCATAACTTGAGACTTTAGATCAGACACTTAACCCAAGTTTTACTTTCCTCATTTGTAAAACATGGATAATATCACTGACCTCATAGGGCTATCATAATGTTGGAAGGAAATTATACAAATAAAGTATGTATTATATGTCCTTCCTCCTTAGCAGTTTGTTGTAGTATTTCCTACTGGAGTATTCTTTTCTAGTTTCTGCATTTTATTTTATTTTTTTATTTTTTTCAAACCAAAGCACTTTAAAAAAAAGTAATATGCAAGACTGTTGGAGAAAACCGTGATTGTTACTGAACAGATGAGACACTTTGAGAAAAGATAAACAATTATTCATTTTTGTTTAAGACATCAGGAGTACTAATAAAGAACCAACTGGTAAACTGCTGATAATTCCATATAATATATCTAGCATACAACTACACTGAATCATTCTTTTTTTTTTTTTTATACTTTAAGTTTTAGGGTACATGTGCACATTGTGCAGGTTAGTTACATATGTATACATGTGCCATGCTGGTGCGCTGCACCCACTAACTCGTCATCTAGCATTAGGTATATCTCCCAATGCTATCCCTCCCCGCTCCCCCGTAGTTTCTGCATTTTAAACAGGACTAATACTTCACCAATTTCAAGAAAATGACAAACCCCACATTTGATTCTGCCCAGAGATTGAATGTACAGCACACACTGGGTACATAATAACCTTTGTTCAACTAGAGTGGTGTTAGTTGCAGATGGATTCTTGGGGTACACAAACCAAGTCACCTGGGAGAGAGATGAGACAGTCTGGGCTCTCTGACTGCCAGTACCCACAAAAGCAATTATTAGAGATTTCATTTTCTTTCTGAACACAGGAAAAAGATATTTTATGCATAATCATTAATACAGCCAAAACCCTAATGGGAGGTTCTTAAATACAAAACTTTCAAAATTTTTCACTTTACTGTCAAACTTCATGAAGATAGACACCATGTATTATAAACTTCTGTATCCATGACACTTTGAACTTAGTAAGGACTCCATAAATATATACTTAAAAAAAAAAACAAACAAGCAAACAAAACAAACAAAAAAAAAAACAGGGCCAGGTGCAGCGGCTCACTCCTGTAATCCAGCCTTTTGGGAGGCCAAGGCGGGTGGATTACCTAAGGTCAGGAGTTCCAGACCAGCCTGGCCAACATGGTGGAACCCCGTTTCTACTAAAAATACAAAAATTAGCTGGGCGTGGTGGCACATGCCTGTAATCTCAGCTACTTGGGAGGCTGAGGCAGAAGAATTGCTTGAACCCAGGAAGCGGAGGTTGCAATGAGCTGAGATGATACCACTGCATTCCAGCCTGGGAGACAGAGCAAGAGACTCTGTCTCAATTAAAAAATAAAAATAAAAATAAAAAAACCCAAATCTGTTCTTTTGTATTATGCCCTTCTGATCAACTCTACAATTCTCATATTTGTTGATACCTACATGCTAACCATGGATATCTAGTGAGAAACCTAAGAATGAACAAATCTGACTCCGGAGACTCAGGTCAGTCAATTAAGAAAACCAGAATCTTAAATAGGTTACTAGGAAAGTAAATAAACATCATATCAATACAGGCATGAACGAACTATCAAGGCACACTCCATTAATTCACCAAGAACTCACAGAGGCAAAGGTGCCAATCTGTTTGATATTCTGTTCATAGCTCTGTGAGCTCGTGGGACGGCCGGGGGTTCTCCTGGAGTACCAAAAAGTGTAGTTGTACTGCAGGGGATGCTCTGCCGGTCCAGGGACAACAGCCTGGGAAGTAAAGAAGGTGTGTTAGTCCTGGGCATTTGTCACGTGGTCTGAGACTGAGAGAACATTTTGCAGTGTCAATCCTTACCACCTCCACAATTAAAAAAGGATATACAACCTCAACTATCTGCAATGTGCCAAAGATTCTGCTTACACAGTACATTTCCTCAGTGGTTAACTGATTCTAAATTCCTGAAACACTTTACCTGTGTTCTTATGGCCTTTGTAACTTTCTCCCTCATATAATAGGTATTCATCTTTGTATCTTATCTCAGCATATGCCCAGTCCAAGCACTGCCTCCTCTATGAGATTCATCACTGTCAAGTTACTTAACCTGTTTGTGCCTCATCTTCTTACCTGCAAAATGAGGAAAATTGTAACAACCATCTCACAATACTGCTGAGAGGATCAAATGAATCAGTGGATATACAATGCTGAGCACAGTGCCTGGCACAGAGTACGTGCACAACAGATGTCAGTATTATTATTGGTACTATTAAACGTAAGCCCCTTCCACAGTCTCATTCACCTTTGTGTCCTCTTAGCATCTAGCATAAAATGCTAGTAACCCTTGGAGGGTTACTCAATATTGTAGAATAAATGAATTAGTGATTGCTTTGATATTTCTTTGTTTGTTTTTTTGAAACGGAGTCTCACTCTGTTGCCAGGCTGGAGTGCAGTGGCGCGACCTCGGCTCACTGCAACCTCTGCCTCCTGGGTTCAAGCGATTCTCCTGCCTCAGCCTCCCCAGTAGCTGGGACTTCAGGCACGCGCCACAGCATCCAGCTAATTTTTGTATTTTTAGTAGAGATGGGGTTTTACCATGTTGGCCAGGATGGTCTCGATCTCTTGACCTAGTGATCCACCCACCTTGGCCTTCCAAAGTGCTAGGATTACAGGCATGAGCCATGGCACCCAGCCTGCTTTGATATTTCAAGGAAAAAATTGATCTCTCTCTCTCTCTCATTCCCTAAGTTTTCCCTTTTCCAAGTCACTTTCACCTTAGACTATTGCTGACTAAACTGTCTACAATTTCAAGGGGTATGTAGGATTTGAAACACTCAGCAGTGGCTTATGAAGCAGCTAACAGCCTTGTTAAGCTCCAGGACTAATCTCCATCTCAGGCTAGGAGAACGTTGAAAGCAAGGCAGCATCTCAAGATTCTGTGGCAAGAGAAAAGTTCTAGGTCTGAAAATGAACATCAATGATTGCACAATGTTTTTCTGAGAACAAAGTCAGATATTCCAACACAGGATGCCATCAAGTTAATCTGGTATCTTCCAGATAAACAGATTCCACAAGATAATAAAAGTCTCAAGTTCAAAGGCAACTACATCTGTGCAGCCAACACTCACCTTTCTCTTGCTACTGCTCTGATTCTTGTCTCGTTCCGTTTTTTCCTTCTCACCATCTTTCTGTGTGCTGTTTTCTTCATTCTGATCATGGTCCCCACTGTCATCATCTTTCAAACTGAATGGAAAGGCAACACAATACAATTCTGTGACGAAGTCAATTCTTGCTTACCTAACAAAGCCACCAGGTCATACGAACTACTATGTAACCAACCCAAAGTCACTCAAATTCAGGCCCTGAGATGTAAGAAGGGCAAAATAACACAGACAGGCAAATTAGGATTAAACAAAAACGAAACACCCATCAGCTAACTTGTGAACTCCACAAAGCACTGTCTTTCAGTTTTCTAAAAAGCCACACAAAGAACCAGTTAAAGGGAATGTTTAAGGTATACAGTTTAAGGGATTGTTTTCCCTGCCAAAAATGGAGTAAAAAATGAGAAGAGTCTCTAATGCTATGGCATTTCAAATGAAGGTTAAAAACGTACTATCTGCTTTGCCACTTCTCCTTACCACCTCTTCTACACTCACTGTCACTACTTTAGTTTAGGCCCTCTTCTCCTGACACGTCAATCATATAATAAATTCCTGGTCTTCCTGACACAAATCTCTCACTCTCTATCCATCCTTTCACTAGCATTATCTTTTTAAGTGCAAATCTGACATTTAACTTGCATGCTTTAAACTTTCAACTGTCCCTCGCTTTTTGATGCCTACCCTCTAAGATAAAGTACAGCAAAATGTAAGATCCTCTAGAATCTGACTCCTGCCAGCCAGGATCCTCCTCCTCTAGCAATCTATGTTGCCGTATCGGTGCCATTTGCAAACACCACCCCTTCGGTCTGTCACACCATTCCTCCCATGTCTGCTTTCCCTACTAGAGAGAGAGTTCCCTTAGAGCAGTGTCTTATTTCATCTCGGTATCTCCAGCACCCAGGGCAAGATGTTGCCTTAACATGCGGCACTAGAAGATGCTGAATAAATGGTAAACCAAAAGGAAAAATAAATGACTGAAAGAAAGAATAAATGTGTTCTTGCTTCATAAGCACAGAGTCAAACGAACTTTAGGGATTACCCTTTCATGAGCAGTGAAACTACCCCAAGGCTTTCAGGTACACCTAAAATCACCGGATCCAGACAAAAAGATAAATGGAAGGTGAGTTTGCAAAGACAATAAGAAAGCCATTTATTTTAGGGCTGGACCATTAATTCATCACAGATCTTCTCTCCAATCATCTTTCTCGCCCCAATAACTATATGTGTGGTCAAACGAAATTAGGCAGTTCTCAAGAATGGTACTAGAAATGCTCCAGTTATAATTCAGATACTACCCTATGCTGACACATAAACATGTTGCAGGGTACTTTGTATTTGTGGTCTGGTTTTTTTTGCCCACGAATCCCCAGTGCCTAGTACATTAAAAGTATCCAATAAATATTAGAATGAATGAGCTAGTCACATGTTGGGGTGCCTGCTCTGCCCATTTCACAGCCCTAGCTGTAGGATATACCCAGGAGGTTATGCCCTGTGCCATGAACCTTCCCATCCCTACCCTGGTCAAGACACAACTAGGAAGTGCACCTGACCAAAGGGTAGTCCAGCCTGGGCAATAACCTATGCCCCAGAGCCTTGCTCAAAAATATGAGCAGATTCCTCCCCTCAGCATTTCATCCAGGAGATGAAAGATCATAGACTCAGGAGCTGGGGCAGCCATATGGGCCCCATGCAAGAAAAGCCCTGAGAGAATTAAGACAATGAGCAAAAGCAGAGAAAGCCAGTATGAGATAAGAGAATGGAGCAGATGAGCAGAGAAAATGGAGGGGAGTTTCATTTTGTTGCTAATGCTAACATCTCTCTGGTTTTATTCAGCCTCCCTGGACTTCCAGGAGACCATCATCTGTACTTATGATATTCCCTTCCCCTTTATTAAACTTCCCCTTTATTAAACATTTGGTTTCCTTTTCAAAAGGAGCCTGTCTAGCACACAAGATCTACAGATTAAAAATTACCAACATCTACCAAGCATCTATGGTGTGTATGAGCTACCAGAGTGCTTGTCCCCAAGAACCTAGCTGAGGAGAAAAGGTACACAGATATACCCACGCCTCAGCATGGTGCAAAGGCCCCTGCTCTGCTCACATGTCCCAATATCATCTCCTTCCTGGTCCCAACAAACTCTTTTCACTCCAGTTGTATCACCCTAATTTTGGTGCCCCCATTTTATCCTTCTGTTATGCTCATCATGTGGTCTCTCCTCAAGAAGTCCTTCTTTGCCTAGTTAACTTGTCCTACAGGACTCAGATTGAGGGCCACTTTCTCTTGGCAACATTTCCTAACCTCTTCCAACCTAGGCTGAGTTGGGGTCTCCTCTTCTGAACTTGCCCATATAAATGTTTGTACTTGTTCCAGCTATACTCTCATGGCCAGTTCTGTCTCCTGATCAAAAACATCTCAAAGGTTCTTCTGCTTAGGCCCAGGACAACTCTCTTCTTCAGGGCACACCCTTGGGATGCAAACCCTTTTCCTCCCTTCTTAGCTTCCAACTCCCACTATAGCCTCTGGGGTCCCTTGCATTTAGATCTTGGTTGAAGAGGGGTACAGTCATCCCAGCATCTTGTTTTTGCTAGACCCAAGAAAAGTATATACCTTCCTTTCTTTTTAGTGGTTTGCTGCTGATCACTACCAGGAAACAAAAATAATTGTCAGAGAAGAAACAATGCTCCTGTGATCCCTGGACCACTTAGGGCTCCTTTCTAAGACAGTAAATGGGAACCCTAATGGACCTATATCTGGTGCTTTTATTACCTGAGAGTGGAACTAACCAACCACTCTGCCCTCTAAGCCTACATTTAAGGCAAATCTTACAAGCTACTCTTCCCAGCTTCAAGCTGGATTTGAGTCAAGATACAACTCAGACTGAAAAATCAGTGCTCCCTAAACTCAGGCAGTTAGCAACTCTGAGACTGTCCAGACTGAGAGGCACTTTAGTTAGCTTGCTAAGCTTCTGCCCACGTATTTCCTCACCCTCTGAACTAGACCAATACCTTGTGGGCAGGACCTTGGTTCAATTCATCTTTATACCCTCACCATCAGACAGTGGCATAAAAAAAAATCTCCGTTTAATGAATGGGTCTATAGAATCAAAGCAATGAGTGCCAAATAAGTGGTTTAGACAATAGTTAGGAATGGGCCCAAAGTTAACGATATAGAATAAAAAGCAAATGATGTAGAATACGGACAAAATCAAGTACAGTTGTGTAGATCTGAAAACTATGTTTAAGTCAGGACTGCAGTTTTTGTGAAAGCATCTTACGGTTTTACGTTATCAATAGGATCAATGGCAATGAGATCTAAGGACTTGATAGGTCTACCCCTTCTCCACAAAAGCAATTACAATCAAAGGTTTCATTCAGAGAAGTTGAGTCCATACAGTAACGGAGATTAGAGCTAATCTTTAATATGAGCCCATTAGATTATATACTACTGTACTCAGCTCCAGCCACTGGACATCTGGAAGGATTCTGGCAAACTGGAACATGTCCTTAAGAGCAATGTGGTAAAAAGTGCAGATTACTAGAGAGAGCAATGTGGTAAAGACTCCAAATATGCAGCAATGGCCTAAACACCGCAGAATTTCTGAATGAAAAACAACATAAAAAAATAAAACTAGGGGCAGGAGTGCTGTTTTCAACTGCTAATTTCAAATGAAAGAAAGCTTGTTTTTCTTTTTTTTTCCTGCAATGCTAGAGGGCAGATGTTAAAAGATTCTGGCTCAATACAATAGTTAATAATTCAAAGTAATTAAAATGACCCAGGTTCTTCAATCGTAGAAGAGGTAAGAAAAAAAAAGAGGGCAAGTTTAATTTTTCTCAAGAGGTGCTTGAACCAAGGTTACACAACAAACCTGGGATAGCCCTTCCTTTGTGTCGGGAATTAGTTAACCTCAGAGTCTCACTTTCCTCATCTGTAAAAGGAGACAACAAGATCCCCTTCACAGAATTGTTAGAGTAGAAATAACATATGAGGCTGGGGGTGGTGGCTCATGCCTGTAATCCCAGCACTTTAGGAGGCAAGGTGGGTGGATCTCTTGAGCCCGAGTTCGAGATCGGCCTGGGCAACATGGCGAAACCCCGTCTCTACAAAAAATACAAAAAAATTAGCAAGGTAGGGTGGCACATGCCTGTAGTCCGGCTACTCTGGAGGCTGAGATGGGAGGATTGCTGGTGCCCGGGAGGTTGAGTGGGCAGTGAGCTGTGATGACACCACTGCACTCCAGCCAGGGTGACACAGCGAGACCCTGTCTCAAAAAATATATATATATATGAAAAATACCTAGCAAGATCCCTGTGGAAGTCCATTATTACCATTCTTACTGCAGACTCCCAAATGATTTGGGTAGGCTTGAGCTAGATGACCCATAAGATGTCTTCTTAGGATGACATTTGATTTGTTCAAATCAGTGGAGGAAGGGGTATAAGGGTTCCAGAAAGCTCCACTGAGGCAGGATTTGGATCTGGAGCTAGTTGTTGCAGGGTTTACAATAGAGATGAAATGGGGCGGCAGCGGGGGAGAGGTTCGTAGAGGGACAGGCTCAGTTAAACAGCAGGATAGAGAAGAGGTCGGGCAAAGACTTTCTCAAGTAGCAGAGACCTCTCAGCAACCAGAAAACATTCCTGAGGACCTACCTGCCTGGAGTGTTGGAAATCCAGTATTCCCTGAATTTGCACAGTACTCTCTGTATTGGAAACACCCCAATTTCCCATCAAAAGCACCAGGTCACAACCTAAACTAATAGTAATTCCACTTTACGTTTATATCGCAATAGTTAGCAATGTTCACAAGCATCTTTAAGCATCGCTGAGTGTGATCTGACCCTTATCACACCCCGGCGTGGCAGCAGGGTCCTAGCCACTAATGTGGTTTGAGCAACAATGGCTTAGAGGCTGGGTAACTTTTCTACAGTCAAACAGATGGTAAGTGGTGAATCTGGGACTAGAAATCCAGGTTTTCGGATGAAGAGACAGTCGATTTACTAGACTACTAGAAGAGAGGAAGGAACATATTCTACCTCAAGATACAATCCTTGGAGGGGGATAAGTAAAGATACTTCTGCATTTTCTCTCTGTACCTCCAAACTGTTTGATGCTGAAACTAGAAACCGGAGCGGGCAGGAGAGGGCAACAAGTATACTTAGGTCTTGGCGAGTGTGTTGGAAGACGGGAACGGGAAGGGGAGGAGAAAGAAAGTAGGAAGAGTCTCAGGAAGATAATTCCTAAGCCAGCCTTCCACCGCGTCGAGGGCAGCAACCACATTACCTCATTGCATCCTCCAAACTCTACGACAAAGGGTGTTACCGTCCCCACTCTGCAGATGAGAAAACTGAGGCTCAGAGGGGAGAGGGAGTGTGTGGGGAAAGCTGGATTCAGAGGCAGCGCTGCCAGACTGCGGAAACACCCAAACCGCCGAGGTCCCCACCCCTCCACGTCGCAGGCAATCCGCATCCACCAGGGCGGGGCGTCCGAAAATCTCCCCCTACCGGGCGGCACAGCCACCCCTCCCCCGGGCCCAGCTCTTCGCCCTCGGTTCGGACGGCCCTGGGGTCTCCGGGACTCCGGTATCCATTGCTCCCCAGCCCCCTCCTCCCCGCCAGTCCAGGCCAGGTCCGGCCGCAGCCGGATCCCAGCAGGGAAGCCGGTGCCGCAGGGTTTGCGCCGCCCCAGCCCCAGCGGGGGCGGGCGCGGGGGAACTGTTCGGGGAAGGGGCCCCGGGGGCGGCCACGAGCCACTCACGCGTCGAACTTGTTGTTCATCCTCTCGCCGCCGCTGTCGCCACTGCCTCAGGGAGTGACTTCCGCTCCACCGGGTCCCTCAGCCTTGGGCCCGGGTACTTCCGGTTTTGCGCGGGGCGCAGCGGAACGTCGGCGCGCAGGCCCGGTTTGGAAGCGGCTATCTCGGGACGCCAGCTCAGGGCGGCTGCGCAGAGGGCTGGACTCAGCGGCGGAGCTGGCTGCTGGCCTCAGTTCTGCCTCTGTCCAGGTCCTTGTGACCCGCCCGCTCTCCTAAGGGAGCGTGTCCTGGCCCCCTCCCGCAGCGGCTCGGAAAAAAGGCAGCACCGCGTCGTTGACGGCGCGGGCTCTGGACTCGCTGCTTGGTAAAAACCTTCCTCTTCCTCCAGTGCGGGACGCACTCTCTGGTATCTCTTTTGACCTCCCGGAGGCTTTCCTTTGTCGGTCGCGGCGCCACTGTACTATGGCATACCTCGTTTTATTACGCTTCGCAGATAGGGCATTCTGAAAACAAATGGAGGGTTTGTGGCAGCCCTGAGTCCAGCAATTGTATCAGCGCCATTTTTCCAACAGCATGTGCTCACTTGGTGTCTCTGTGTTACATTTTGGTAATTCTCAAAATATTTAAAACTTTTTCATGATTTCTGTGTCTGTTATGGTGATCTATGATCAGTGATCTTTGATGTTGCTATTGTCATTGTTTTGGGGTGCCACATACAGCGTCTTTTATAAGACGTGGAACTTAATGTTGTGTGTGTTCTGACCGCTCCACCCACAGACCGTTCCCCATCTCTCTCCCTCTTCTTGGGCCTCCCTATTCCCTGAGACACAACAATATTGAGATTAGGCGAATTAATGACTCTGCAATGGCCTCTAAGTGCTCAAGTGAAAGGAAGAGTCGCACATCTCTCACTTTAAATCAAAAACTAGAAATGATTAAACTGAGTGAGGAAGGTATGTCAAAAGCCGAGATAGGCCGAAGGCTAGGCCTCCTGCGGCAAACAGTTAGCCAAGTTGTAAATGCAAAGGAAAAGTTCTTGAAGGAAGTTAAAAGTGCTACTCCAATGAACACACGAATGATAAGAAAGCGAAACAGCCTTATTGCTGATATGGAGAAGGTTTTAGTGGTCTGGATAGAAGATCAGACCAGCCGCAACATTCCCTTAAGCCAAAGCCTAATCCAGAACAAAGCCCTAACTCTCTTCAACTCTATGAAAGCTGAGAGAGGTGTGGAAGCTGCAGAAGAAAAGTTTGAAGCTAGCAGAGGTTGGTTCATGAGGTTTAAGGAAAGAAGCCATTTCCATAACATAAAAGCACAAGGTGAAGCAGCAAGTGCTGATGTAGAAGCTGCAGCAAGTTATCCAGAAGCTTTAGCTAAGATCATTGACGAAGGTGGCTACACTAAACAACAGATTTTCAATGTAGATGAAACAGCCTTCTATTGGAAGAAGATGCCATCTAGAACTTTCATAGCTAGAGAGGAGAAGTCAGTGCCTGGCTTCAAAGCTTCAAAGGACAGGCTGACTCTCTTGTTAGGGGCTAATGCAGCTGGTGACTTTAAGTTGAAGCCAATGCTTATTTACCATTCTGAAAATCCTAGGGCCCTTAAGAATTATACTAAATCTACTCTACCCGTGCTATATAAATGGAACAGCAAAGCCCGGATGACAGCACATCTGTTTACAGCGTGGTTTACTGAATATTTTAAACCCACTGTTGAGACCTACTGCTCAGAAAAGAAGATTCCTTTCAAAATATTACTGCTCATTGACAATGCCCCTAGTCATCCAAGAGCTCTGATGGAGATATACGAGGAGATTAATGTTATTTTCATGCCTGCTAACACAACATCCATTCTGCAGCCCATGGATCAAGGGGTAATTTCGACCTTCAAGTCTTATTATTTGAGAAATACATTTCATAAGGCTCTAGCTGCCATGGATAGTGATGTCTCTGATGGATCTGGGCAAAGCAAATTGAAAACCTTCTGGAAAGGATTCACCATTTTAGATGCCATTAAAAACATTCGTGATTCATGGGAGGAGGTCAAATTGTCAACATTAACAGGAGTTTGGAAGAAGTTGATTCCCACCCTCATTGATGACTATGAGGGGTTCAAGACTTCAGTGGAGGAAGTAAGTGCAGATGTGGTGGAAATAGCAAAAGAACTAGAATTAGAAGTAGAGCCTGAAGATGTAACTGAATTGCTGCAATCTCATGATAAAACTTTAACAGATGAGGAGTTGTTTCTTATGGATGCGCAAAGAAAGTGGTTTCTTGAGATGGAATCTACACCTGGTGAAGATGCTGTGAACATTGTTGAAATGACAACAAAGGATTTAGAATATTACATAAACTTAGTTGATAAAGCAGCAGCAGGGTTTGAGAGGATTGACTCCAATTTTGAAAGAAGCTCTACTGTGGGCAAAATGCTATCAAACAGCATCGCATGCTACAGAGAAATCTTTCATGAAAGGAAGAGTCAACTCATGCGAAAAGCTTCACCGATGTCTTATTTTAGGAAATTGCCACAGCCACCCCAACCTTCAGCAGCCACCACCCTGACCAGTCAGCAACCATCAACCTCGAGGCAAGACCCTCCACCAGCAAAAAGAGTACGACTCACCGAAGGCTCAGATTGATAATCAGCATTTTTTAGCAATAAAGTATTTTTAAATTTAGGTATGTATATTGTTTTATTAGACAATGCTATTGCACTCTTGCTGGTCTACAGTATAGTGTAAACATAACTTTTATATGCATTGGGAAACCAAAAACATTCATGTGACTTGCTTTCTTGTGTTGGTCTGGAACTGAACCTGCAATGTCTTTGAGGTATGCCTCGACCTACCTCCTTAGGTTGCTGTATGGATCCCATGAGACAGTAACTTATAGTAATGGCAGCTAATGTTAACATTTGAGTGTTTATTGTGTACAAGGAGCTAATCCTCTGCCCTCTGAGGCTTTCAGAGAGGTTGAGAGACTTGTGCCAGATACACAACTAGTAAGGGGCTGGTGGGAACCGGAAATGGCCCCACTGTCATCAGATTCCCTCCCTGATTGAAGTTCTCCCCCACTCTCCCTAACTCCTCTAGTTCTCTATAGCTCTGACTCTGCTCTTGCTTCAAACACACTGTGCATGCACAGACACAGACTCACACTGGAGTAAATAATACGAACTTGCTGGTGATTGAATCCCAAAGACAGCAATCCTGTGCTTGGAGGGAGGGCATATTTCCAAGGTCCCCTCCTGCCAGCATATCCTGTCGTCAGGCCTTTATGTGGCACTTTCACTTTTCTTTTTTCAGTTTTGTAATTTTTTTATTTTTTTTGAGACAGGGTCTTACTGTGTCATCAGGCTGGAGTGCAGTCACATGATCACAGCTCACTGCAGCCTAGACCTCCTGGGCTCAAGCGATCCTCCCACCTCAGCCTCCCGAGTAACTGGGACTACAGGCATGCATCACCACGCCCAGCTAAGTTTTGTATTTTTTGGTAGAGGCCGGGTGTCCCCATGTTGCCCAGGCTGGGTTCCTGGGTTCGTGGGCTCCTGAGCTCAAGCAGTCCACCCACCTTGTCCTCCCAAGGTGCTGGGATTGCAGGTGTGAGCCACCACACCTGGCCAGGAATGGATTATTTTTTGCACCTTATTTACAGATGAGGGAACAGCCTCAGGGAGCATAGGTGACTTGCCCAAGGGTGTCCCCTGGTTACCAGCCAAACTCGTGTGCCGGCTGTAATCTCAGAGCAGGACCTTGCCTCTCCCCCAGGAAGACCCCAGCCTTACTACCTGATTAGTGGGGTCAAGGGAGGCCAGTCAAAGTCTCCTCCTGGAATGAAGAGCTCAGTGGCTCTCTGTTAACTCCACACCTCCTCTTGCCTAGCTCTTCCTTGTCTTAACCATCCTTTGGGAAGAAGGGCCTGTTTTTCAGGCCGTAGAATCTTAGAGTGTCAGATTGGGTCAGAGTCAGGAATTCTGGACTTCAAACCTTGTTTAACCACCACTGTTGTGTGGAGTCCCGCTTACTCTAGGCTCAATTTGCCTATATAACATGGGGAATAATGACTCTTGCTTATCCATACTGCTGTGAGGAGCTCTTAATTAAAAAGGAGGCCAGGTACAGTGGCTTATGCCTGTAATCCCAAGACTCAAGTGGGAGGATCACTTGAGCTCAGGAGTTCAAGACCAACCTAGGCAACATAGCAAAACCTCATCTCTACTAAAAATTTAAAAGTAGCTGGGTGTAGTGGTGCATGCCTGTGGTGCCAGCTACTTGGGAGGCTGAGGCAGGAGCATTGCTTGAGCCCTGGAGGTTGAGGCTGCAGTGAGCCATGATCATGCCACTCCACTCCAACTTGCATGACAAGAGTGAGGCTCTATCTCAAAACTAAACAAAACAACAACAACACATCAAAAACTAAAAAAAAAAAAAAAAAAAAGAGGATTACAAAACTCAGGAAATCGTCTTGTGGTCAGTGGCAGAAAAATGCACATGAATGGAAAGGCCACTGGGGCTGTTGAGAATTGGGTGCTTATTGTACCCAGAAGGCACGGGGGGGAGATGCCAGCTGGTATGGGCTGCTGCCCTGCTTTGGAGAGAGCATCGGCTGCTACTCTTCACACCTCTTGTGACTGCCCTCTTTCAGGGAGAACTTGTAAAAGGGGAGCCAGTCCCAAGTCCGAAGGTATTATACAAAACAGTCCTTCGGGCTTCAGACTGATGGGAATGAATAATGCTTTGCCTAAGTGAGGGGAGTGCACTGAGTGGAGGGGTGGCTGGTGCCAGGATGAGCTAGCCAATCCCACGTGTGTGCTGACTGCAGCAGGACACTAGCCACGGCCCACCCCCAACCACTCTCGGACTCCAGCTCAGACTGTTTCCCCAGCTTTTCTCAGGGCTGTTTGGCTCACACAGTCCTGAAGGGCACTTCCCAAAGAGCACACTTAGGACCTCAGTAGGAGAACGTGGCTGATAAGACTCAGTGTGACCCACGTGTGTGACTCCCACATGCCCCACAGTGGTTGGTTGGCTCAGTCTGGTGAGGGCAGGTAGGGGCGTGGATCTCCAGGGAATGGCAGGGCCGGCACCCGGTTGTAGTGGGCCATGAGGAAGATGCCAGCTGTGCCACAGATGAAGAGCGAGAGCATGGCCAGGAAGCAGACGCGGTCCAGCACTCGGCCCACCAGGAACCACTCCTCATTCCCCTGAGGGTGGGAGGCAGGTGTGGGATAACCAGCGGCGGCACCAGGTCTTCCCTGGGTCCTGTTCTCATCCTTGGGCTTCCAGCAGGCCCATGTCTCCATTTCCTGGGGCCCTTCTTACCTATGTCCGGGTCCCAACTGGTGGCTAATTCCATGGCCCCCTGGCCCTGAGGTGCCCCCCCTGCCCCTGTTCCTTTTTCTTTCTTTCTTTCCTTTTTTTTTTTTTTGAGACGGAGTCTCACGTCTCACTCTTTCACCCAGGCCAGAGTGCAGTGGTGCGATCTTGGCTTGGCTCACTGCAACCTCCGCCTCCCAGGTTCAAGCAATTCTCCTGCCTCAGCCTCCTGAGTAGCTGGGAATACAGGTGCCCGCCACCACACCCAGCTAATTTTTGGTATTTTTGGTATTTTTGGTAGAGATAGGGTTTTGCCATGTTGGCCAGGCTGGTCTCAAACTCCTGACCTCAGGTGATCCACTCGCCTCGGCCTCCCAAAGTACTGGGATTACAGGTGTGACCCACTGCACCCGGCCTCATGTTTTTCCATCCCACTGCCCTATCTTGGCAACCCCACTCATCCTGTCTCTATCACGGTTCCAAGCCCAGGTACTCACTCCACCTCCACCCCACCCTGACTCAGCTTACATTGTCAAAGTGACTCTGCTGGTGCCGGGCACAGGCAATGAGGTTGCAGGCTTCCACACAGGCCTGGATGGCTGGGGCAGCCTGCTTCAGGCTGCCACAGAACTGGCTCAGCCCTAACTCCGGGCCTTTCTCTGATAAAGAGAAAGGGTAAGGTTTGGGAGTAGAATGGAGGAGAAACAGGCAGAGAAGATGGCCTCTCCTTAGGGACCCCAGCTCCTCTCTCCCTGACCTGGGCACTTCTCCAGCACTCATCTGCTGTGCCTGGCTCCCCAGCTGGGGTCCCAGGGGAGGACTGTCCCCAGGCACACCTGGTGTGTCTCACCTAGCTTCTCCAGCGCTGCCGCCACCAGCCCTTGCCGCTGCCACTGCTGGAAGAGGAGTTCACTGCGAGGCAGGCAGAGGGCCACCTCCTCCCCAGTTGTGATCGACCATCCCGAGGAGCCATTCTGTAGCCGGGACTGGGTGTCCTGCACAGCTGCCGGGGCCAGCGGGCGAACGTGCATCCTCAGCAGCTGGGGCAAGAGCCTCAGGAACACCTAGAGAGGGGGTGGCTTCACTAGGGCAGCAGGCCGAGCTTCAGAGCAGAAGCCAGAGGTTGGCGTGAAGGGCTTGTGCTGCTAGGGACCATGGAGGCAGCATACCGGGGCAGTGACGTGGCCTTGGTAAAGCTTTCTATACTGGACACGAGCCTGGGTCCCCAAACTTCAGTGCACATCAGAATCACCAGGGCACTTGTTATAAACACAGATTCCTGCCCCCAGCCCTCATGCTATTCTGGCCTAGAATGCCTGGGACAGGCCTGGGAATCTGCATGTGCAACAAGGGCCCAAGCTGAAGGCTGCAGGTGGGCTACAGATCACACAGACTGGAATCAGACTGCCCTGGCAGACTCCTGCTTTTTCGACTTTGTAGTGCACTTCCTTGGGCAGGTTACTTAACCTCTCTGCGCCTCAACGTCCTCATCTGTAATTGGAGGTGATATGGGTTTTATGAAGATGAAATACATTAACATTTGTAATATCCCGGGCACCTAGGAAGCAATTTCATTCCTGTATTACTGTAATCGATTTTGGTCCATGCGTCCAGATACGCCCAGGATGGGTGTGCTGTGGAATGCCACAGGTGAGTACTGCCGGGGCGTGCGAGAGGGAGGCGTAGGGGAGTGGGCAGCGGGATGTTGAAGTGGGCAGGGAGGGTCCTTGCCTTGCGGACCCCTCGGGCCATGGAGTGTGTGTGTGGAGACCGCAAGGAGACATTGAGCACAACCACAGCATTCACGACAATGAGGATGGTCACCACCAGGAGGAAGGTCAGGTACCTGTCAGGGTGGGGTGGGCAGGAGCTGGCAGCCCATACCATGATGCCACCCCCACGCTTAGTGGCTGCCCCCCCTCAGGCCTCCTGAATTGAGGATGGGGGGGGTGGATGGAGGGCAAGAGGGCAATGCAGGAGGCCATCATGCTCCCAAGAAGGGAGAGTGGCATAGGCGGGTGGACATGAAGACCAGCCTTACTTGCTGATGAGTGGCACCGCCTGGGAGGTTTCAGGCACCTTCTTGGCCACAAGGAAGAGGAAGACAGTCTGGGCCAGGAGCACGTTGATGGCGACGGTACACTTCTGGCCCCCAGCTATCCATGACCGAGAGGCTCTCAGAGCAGGTTCCTACCTCCCCCACCCACAGAGGAACCCCTTACCCCAGAAGTAGCCCGCTGCCTCTGTCCTGGGTCGTAATGCCACTCTGTTCCCCAGGCAGGGCCCACCCCGGCCTCCCAGGTGTCCCCTGTGCTACTGGATGGCTCCTTCCCATAGGCTCCAGGTACCCTTGGCAGGAAGGAAGTGGATGAGGATGGCGACAGAGGAGATGAGCACACAGGGGGCGATGATGTTGATGACGTAGAAGAGGGGCTTGCGCTGGATGAGCAGGTAGAACACCACCTTCTGGTGGCCTGCTTCCTGGGCTGGCGCCGCTGGGTCCAGGAGCATCTTGGCTGGTCGGTGCTGGATGGCCCACTCCCCATTCTCTGCGGGCAGGCAGGCAGGCAGGAGTGGGCACAAGAAGCGTGAGCTAGGCAGATCCCTGCAGCCGAGTGACCCAGCTGCAAGGGCAGCATGTGCCCTAAGGAGCACCAGCAGGGGAGGCACCCTTGAGGGACAGAAGTGGGGTGGGAGATTGGATGCTCGAGCCTCTTCTAAAATTGGAGACATTATCATGAGGAAAGTCAGAGCTTTGTTGGACGTTTTAAAAAGCATATTTTATGGTTTGCTGTAGTTTTCATTTTGAGTTACATGGGAGGGATTTGACCTTGGTCCAGCCTTGACCACAGCTGGGTCCAGCAGGAGCCCTGGATGAGGCTGCCTGGGGAGCCCTTGGGTGGGGGTTACCTGTGAAGGCCTCAGGGTCAATGAAAATCCACTCGATGGTCTGGCCATCTTCCTGACTCAGCTGCAGATCAATCTCATTGGTGCTGTAAGTCTGGGACCTGGGAGTCACCGAGGAAAGAGGCTAAATGTGAGCGGGTGGACCTGCCACGACTGCATGGGGATGACCTTCTGGGGACAAGTGTGGGCAGCTTTTCTTCAACAAAATGCAGCCCCACGCTTCTGAGTTCTCTATAAAACCCCACTGGCGAGATATGGAGAGCAGGAGGACCTAGGGCTCTTTGGGGTCAGGAAGATGGAGTTGAAGGCCCAGGAGGCTGCAGGGCCCTCACCTGGCTGATGGGCCCAGGGTCACTCTGCATTTGTCTCTCCCACTGCTGTCTGGCAGGAGGGGCTGATGATGGCAATGTAGAAAACACATGCCTACCTCAGGAGGACCCCCGTGTCTACAGAGGGGAGTCTCCCTGCCAGGTTTGCTCATGGAAAGACTGCTCCTCTAAGGTACAGGAGAACCCTCCCCCGGGCCCTCCTCCCCACACTTAGGTTTGAGGAAACAGACCCAGAGACCCCCAGGGGTGGCTTGGTTGCATACATGCTTCCGCTGGATTCCCTGCCAGGGCCCCTCTCTCACAGGACAGCCCTGCCTCCCTGTGGGCCTGGAGTGTGCAGTGGTTTCGTGTGTGCGCAGACACGCATCTTGTGTGCATGTGTGCCTTCTCACCCACGCACCCCAGGCGTGAATGTCTCCCCTTGGAGCACAGGTGAGGAAACTGAGGCAGTAAAGGATGAGTGAGGGGACTCGGGCTTAGCAGGGAGAGCTTGGGCACCTTCAGGTGTCTTAGCCTGAGATGGGCACAGAGGCCCAGGGGAGATGGAGCCAGGCCTCTAGGTGCTGCCAGAGCCAAGGCCAGAAGCCTTGCCCAGGCCTTACCCCACCACTGCCCAGGCCCCTCTGAGAGCAGCTCTCTTAATCCTCCCCAATAAATGGCCTCACTGGAAGATAAGGGAGCAGTTCTGCCAGTCGAAGGGGAAGTAGGTGACTGAGATAGAGCAGGCGGAACGGAAGATGGCAGGCGGCAGCCAGTAGATACAGCCGTCAGGGGACACGAGCACATTGCAGTAGAGGGCCACCTCGAAGACACCGTCCACGCTGTATGCACAGAACAGGCCAGGCCACGAGGCTGTGGGCTCAGCCCCCGACACCCCAGCCCCAGACCAGCCCCTGTGCCCCATGTGGATAGGGGCCTGGGGACACCAGTCCCTACCAGCCTGTCACCCCCTGACTGGTTCCCACCCGGACCACTAGGTCCCCCCAGCAATCCTCCTGCCACCCCCCGCCCCAGACAGACTTCCTCAGGCACCACCTCCTAATTTCTGCTTATCTTACTCTCTCTTGTTTTAATCATAATAATAATAATAATAATAATAGTCATAATAGCGACTAATGTGTTAAGCCCACACCATGTGCCAGCCCCCGAGTGATGCACTTTTCATGCCTGTCTTGTTGACTCTCGCCAGCTTCTATAGGACCCGTCAGCGGCCCCATGTTACAGGGAAGGGAGCAGCCCACCCAGGTGGCCCAGCCCAGAGGAGATGGAGCCTGGCGTAGGGTCTGCTCTGCTGGCCCTGGGGTCAGAGGGCATACCCAGGGCCCTGCCCTCGGCACCTGCTCCATCCAGTTCTTCCCTAGCCCCACAGGTGCCCGATTTGCACCCTCTGCTCATCTTTCTCTTTTCCCAGAGTGCCTTGTTCTGCTGGGCCCAGACCCTGTGTCCTTTGTCCCCCACACCCCTGCCTGCACCCCCTCCTCACTTGTTCTCCAGCACGATATCCGGCCGCCACACCATGGTGGACGGCACCCTCAGCACCCACAGGCCTTCGTAGTCTCGCGGATCCCAGCGCAGGCGATAGTCGCACCACTGCTGCAGGGGGAGGGGCAGTTGCTAGGCCTCTGCCCTCTGCTGCACCACAGCCCTAGGAGTGGGCATCCAGCCCAAGAGGACAGAAGAGGCAGGAACGGGGCAGGCAACTCTCAGGAGGCCTTGGGGTGGTGGGGTGGGACCCCTGATGGAAGGAGGGTGGCAGGGTGGCCTCTTACCATCTCTATCCAGACATTGGTGGTGAGGGCTTCCTCTCGCTCGTTCTGGGGGTGCAAGGGTGTAGTATGGAGGGCTCAGCCCCCGACTTCAGTGCCAGTCCCCACAGGCCACCAATGGGGCCAAGCATCCCCCAGCCTCTTGATAGTACTCCCCCCACAACCATGGGGGTTTTCCAGACCCCAGCCTGTCCGATTTAGGGCCCTCCAACCTCTTGGTGGCTGGAGCCACCCCATGCTATCCCCAGCAGGTCCCAGGGCGTGGTGCGCTGACCCCTCCTCCGTCCTGCGGCTTACCAGGGAGATGAGGTTGGTGAGGGTTAGCTTCAGGCTGACATTGACCACATCCGAGTCTCGTTCCGCGGGCCGCAGGTTGGGGTCGTAGTTTTGCATCAGGTCTGCGAGCAGGCGCTCCTCCTGGTTCCGGCCCTGGGCCCCTGCAATAGACAGGCGTGAGCCTAGCAGGAGCTTGGAGGTGGAAAGAGCGGGGAGGCCCTGGGGGTGTGAAGTGGGGACTCAGGGAACTGGGTCCAGGGCAGGCCCCAATACCCCTCAGACCCTCCATCCCCTGAGGCTGTGGACCCCAGCTCTGGGACTCCCCAGGCTGAGATTCCTTTGTGTCCCACCCAGGCAGACAGCCAGCAGCAGCAGGAGGAGCAGCGGCCCCTGGCCCCCATGCATGGTGCCTCAGCTCTCTGCAGTGACAGGGGTGGGACAACAGCTCCAAGGTCTGGGGCAGAGAGAGATGGGCTCTGGGTGTCATATAACAGCCTACACTCCCACCCCAGCCAGCCCAGCCAGCCCGGCCAGCCTGGCCCAGCCCCACCAGCTGTCTGACCACAGCGTTGTCAGCTGTTCCAGGATGGACACAATGCTGGGCTCAGGTTACCTGGGCTGGAGAGGGGAGACAGGGGCCCCGTCTGCCCCAAAAGAGACATCCACCTTCCAGCCCCAACTCGGGCTCAGTTGTCCCAGCCTCACCTCCATGTTCCACATGGGGGGCAAGGACAGCCAGGGCCAGCTGGGTGTGGTAGGGAAGGCAGGTCGCCGAGGAACCTGACAGCGGCTCCAGAGAGGGCTGAGGTGGACTGCCTCCTACTCCCTCCAGGGAGTCAGGATTTGGGTGGGTGTGAAGGCTGTTGGGTAGGCATGTGAGGGTTTTTGTGTTTGTTTGTTTGTTTGTTTTTTGCTGGAGTGCAGTGGTGCGATCTTGGCTCACTACAACCTCCACCTTGATTCTTCTACTTCAGCCTTCTGAGTAGCTGGGACTACTGGCATGCGCCAACACGCCTGGCTAATTTTTCTTCTTCTTCTTCTTTTTTCTTTTTTGTATTTTTAGTAGAGACGGGGTTTCACCATGTTGGCCAGGCCAGTCTTGGAACTCCTGAACTCAAGTGATCCACCCATCTTGGCCTGCCACTGGGCATCCCCCTCACTGGGCATCCCCCTCACTCGGCCTCCCCCTCACTCGGCATCCCCCTCACTCAGCATCCCTCTCCCTGAACTTCCCCCTCGCTGACCTTCCCCCTCACTGGGCTTCCCTTTCCCTGAGCTTCCTCCTCCCAGAGCTTCCCCCTCCCTGAGCTTCTCCCTCCCTAAGCTTCCCCCTCACTGGGCTTCCCTTTCCCTGAGCTTCCTCCTCTCTGAGCTTCCTCCTCCCTGAGCTTCCCCCTTCCTGAGCTTCCCCCTCCCTGGGCATCCCCCCCACTGAGCTTCTCTCTGTGTGGCCCACTTTTCCTGGAATTTACAAAGCCCTCGTTTCCTTCTCACTTCTGAGAGCCTTGCCTTTCCATTTTGCCCTCTGGTCCCCCTAGATGCAGTTTTCTTATCCTCTTTTGCAGACCAGTTTCTCTCCACCTCTTTACTCTCCTCCATGCCCACATTTTACCAAATTCAATGGCCTCCATGATCAGGAAGCACTGCCAAACAGTGGACCACCTGTCCCTGCATCCCCTACCCTCCACCCTCCTGTTTTCTCCCTTTCTCTGCTCTGGGAGAGATGGCCTAGAAGCCTTCTTGGTGTTCTCCGAAGGGTAAATCATCAATGAGGAATGGAAGTTTCTTGCAGGGGTTACGTGTGCAGGGACAGGACCCATTCAGAGAAAATCATCTGTAGAATTGTCTAACACTACTTCTCCTTTGCCACCCTCTGTTATAATGGCTGGTAGAGCAAGATACTCATTTCCTAGTCTCCCTTCAGATAGGCTAGCCATGTGATGTTTTGACCTGCGGGATGTCTACTGGAGCTTTATGGAAAAGTTGTTTTTTTTTTTTTCTTTGAGTTGGAGTTTCACTCTTGTCGCCAAGGCTGGAGTACAATGACTTGATCTCGGCTCACTGCAACCTCTGCCTCCTGGGTTCAAGCGATTCTCTTGCCTCAGCCGCCTGAGTAGCTGGGATTACAGGCGGGCGCCACCAAGCCCATCTAATTTTTGTATTTTTAGTAGAGAGGGGGTTTCACCATGTTCGTCAGGCTGGTCTTGAACTCTTGACCTTAGGTGATCCAGCCGCCTCAGCCTCCCAAAGTGCTGTGATTACAGGCGTGAGCCACTGTGCCCGGCCTATGGAAAAGTTTTGCTTCTTGATGAAAGGGGTCAGAAATGGCTGGCCCTTTTCTGCCTGAACATAGGTGCTAAGTGTGCAGCTGTGGCTGTCAGCTCACAAACTGGGGCCAACAGGTCTGAGGACAGAAGCCAACTTGCCATGGAGGCAGGGCTGGGCAGATGGCAAAATGCCTGGGTCCCTGATAGCTTTGTTAGACAGCCGAGCCAACATGATCACCTCCGCCTCCCTATTATTACTATGTGAGAAAAAGGAAACCTTATGTGTTTAAGCTACAATTCCTTCAGCTTTCTGTTCCTTGCAGGCCAGTGTATTACTGATTCACTGTCCATTGAAAGAGAGAGGGTAGCCCTGTTGGTCTGGAGAGAGTAAGGAACACTCTCTGGCTTCCCGGAAAGCTGTGCCTGTGAGCATGGCTTCCTGGGGACAGAAGATGGAGTTCTATGTCAGTCAGAGTGGACCAGTCCTGACAGCACCACCGTGCTGGGGGAGTGGGTGCCTCTGGTGGAAACTGTGGTGACCCTGGGAGCCTGTGCAGGAGGCACCCCCCCGGTTTTGTGTGACATTTTGGGGTTGTCTTCTCTGGAAGTCCACAGCCACTTGAGCAGGGCCTAATAGAACTGAGGACTCACCTGGTGGTTGAACCAAGACCTGCTGCCAGCAGCGCCACCATGAGGCAGAGAGAAGCAAAGACTGTGGCTGAGGGCCCTAGACTCTCTGTGCACAAGACGGACCCTCCCTGAGTTGATGGGCTATTCCTGGGGAAGTCTCAGATTTCCTGCTCACCTGACAGGTGTGAGAACAAACTGGCTTTCCTATTTAGACAGGACAATTAAAGATTTGTACCTTGAATTTTGTGAATAGTTCATGCTGGAAGGCAGAAGTTACTAGGGTCAGTTTTGGTTTTAAATGGTTTTTCTTTTTCCTTGGTTACATCTAAACATTAAAAATCTCACCTTCTGTATATCTGAGTTAATGAGGTCACCAATTCCCCCCTGAGGGAAATGGGTTAAATCACCACCCATTAAATGTGCAGGTCACATGAAAATGCTCCTACTAGAAATTCAATTTTCACAACACCCCATGACTAGGACTTACTAGACACACATTTTGCAGATTAGAAGATGGAAGGTGAGGAGTGAGATGAGGAGCAGCTCACTCAAGGTCACATTGCTGGTGTAACAAATGACACCAAAACGTTGTCACTTAAAACAACACACATTTATTATCTCACACAGTTTCTGGGGGTCAGGAATCCAGGAGTCACTTAGCTGGTGGTTCTGGCTTAGGGACTTTCATGGGGCTGCACATAAGATGTCTACTGGGCTGTGATCTCATCCGAAGGCCCTACTGGGGCAGAGGATCCACTTCCACATTCACTCACGTGGCTGTTGGCAGGAGGCCTTAGTTCCTTGCCATGTGGGCCTCTCCATAGGGCTCCTTAACATGCCAGCTGGCTTCCCCAAAGTGAGAGATCCAACTGATGTGAGAATGAGGGCTAATGAGCAAGAAAGAGGCCATAGTGTCTTTCCTAACCAAATCTGGGAAGTGAGGTACCATCACTTCTGCCTCATTCTATTGGTTACCCAGACCCACCCTGGTACAGAGTGAGGGGACTGCACAAGGGTGTGAATACTGGGCATCACTGGGGCCATCTTGGAGGTGGACCACCATACAAACAGACCCTTGTCTCCCAATTCCTGCAGCCTTGGCCTTTGGCCCTCAGGATAAGATTGAGTGGAGGCTGCCTTTGGGATAGGGTTGCTAGATTTAGCAAATAAAAATAGGGGACAAATTTCAGAGAAACAACGAATGATTTTTTAGAATATGTATGCCCCAAATAATGCATGACAACCCTAATTTGGAGAGGAGTAGGTGCTGGGGGGCAGGGACCCTTTGGGGAGAGGTGCTGCGTTCTGGTCCTCTAGGATTGTGTGTGCAACCTCAGGCTGACCCCAAGTCTTTGTGGATGTCGATCCTGACCTTTCCACTCCAGTCCTCAACTTCCCAAAGGGACCTAGGCAGAGAGGTCAAGGCAGAAAGAGCTAGGAAAGGATACTCTGGGGTCTGGAGGGAGGGAGGTGTCCTCAACCTCAGTCCCAGGTGAGGCCTCAGAAGCCTGAGGTTGAAGGGTAGGTAGGAAGAGGGAGGCTGGAGGGGCCAGAGAGTGAAGGCGCAGATTCCTGCCTGCTCTACCCCACACCTTGGGGGAGGAGAAGCAGAGAAGGGGCCCTATCTGTCTCACCCCTATCAGAGCTCTCCCCCTGAGGCCACCCTGAGTGGCCTCCTCCCTGGCCCCTGAGCCAGCCTCGGGCCTCCCCCCAAATCGTCCTGCCCACCCACTGTAGCCGATGTCCACCCTCAGACCATCTCGGGTGGCCCCTGTCTTGATTTCAGGGGAGCCATTGAGCATTGAGGAGTGGCTGCTCCCTCCCTTCCTTGGACTCTTCCCCAGTCTGAGGGGCACGAGCCTCAGGGCTAGGAGTGGGTGTCATTAGGGACTGTGGCTCCTCTCTCAGACCCTGCTGTCTCCTGGCTCCCCAACAGGCCCACCCTAGATGAAGCGCTTGTCCTGCACGTTGTAGGAGTAGGGGTCCCCAGGAAAAGGCTGGGGTGGTGGCTGGTTGTAAACGCCCTGCAGGAAGATCCAGGCTGTGCCCACCACCATGACAGGCGTCACCACAAACAGGCAGAGGCGGTCCACTGTGCGGGCCACTCGGTTCCAGCTGTCTTTCTCCTGTGGGTAGGGGCAGAGAGAGTGGGGTGAGAAGGGCCTCAGGCCACAAAGCCCCACCCCCAAGCTGGGGCCCAGCCATGGAGGCAGAGGGCGGCTCAGTGTGCCTGCAGAGGCTGCCTCGGGCTTGCAGGATAATGCTGGCTTGTCCCCAGCAAGGTCCCAGGCCCCTCTGGCCACAGGCAGGGCTGATCACTCTGTTGAGGAGGCGGGAACAGACCATAGCCTCCCTCTCTGCTGTAGCACAGGGCTCTGGGGCTAGAGAGGAACTGAGGCCCAGGGGTCTCTCCTAGGGGCTGAGGAAGGTGGATAGACCCCTCTCTTCTTCTCCCCCATCTCAGCAAGTCAGGGCTGCTGCCAGCCCATATGTGAACTGGGAAAAGGTGCCCTTTCTCAAGAGATAGTTTTTAGAAGTTGTATAATGTTGAATAACCATATATGGCTACCTTTAAAATGTCTGGTTCTGTCTGGAGTATCAGGCTTGGAACTGAGTAGGGACAGAAAATGATTGGCAGCTGGGAGAAAGAAGGGATCCTAAGGGATGCTCAGAGTGTGGCCTGGACAGGGTGGAGCTGTGTGCCTATGTGTGTGTGCCTGGCCCCAGTGCTGCTATAGGGTGCCAGGCAGGAGTTCTCTCTCCCTGGCGGGGGGGCCTGGAATCTGTGTCACATTAACTCCCTCATCTAAGTTGGTGTGTGCCTCTAAGGGGAACCCTGCCCTCTTAAGATAGAATACACTTAATCAGTGCCCTACTTGAACACCTGTACATGGCAATCCTGTGGTCCCTTACCTCATTGTAATTGTTCTGGTCCCTCATGTGGTTAACAATGAAGTTTGCCCCATCCACAGCTGGCTTCAGCTCATTGAAGAGTTCCTGCTGGGCCTGCTCAGAGCTTGCTGGGGGCCGGCCTACAGACGAGGGGCCAGAGTGGGTGTGAGGCCTGCCTCCACCCACCTCCCACAGATGGGCTGAAAACCAAGACCAGCGGGGACCCACGTGCAGTGGTGAGGCGCCTGGCCAGCCCATGCCGCTCTGACTGCTTCTCGAACATGAGGTCACTGCGGGACTTGAGCAGGAAGTACTCCTCGGCCTTGGAGATGTATCCCAGGGAGCTGCTCCTCCGCACCAGGGCCCCAGGGCTGGGTCCATCCTCTGCTGGGCGGGACATGTGCAGGAGCTCCGGCAGGGTCTCCAGGAAGAGCTGGGGCCATGTCAAGGGGCCACAAGAAAGGCGTTGTTTTTTGTTCTTTGTTTTTGAGACGGAGTCTCATTCTGTCACCAGGCTGGAGTGCAGTGGCGCGATCTCGGCTCACTGCAACCTCCACCTCTCGGGTTCAAGTGATTTCTTGCCTCAGTCTCCCAAGTAGTTGGGACTACAGGCACGCGCCACCATGCCCAGCTAATTTTTGTATTTTTAGTAGAGATGGGGTTTCACCATTTTGGCCAGGATGGTCTTGCTCTCCTGACCTCGTGATCTGCCTGACTTGGCCTCCCAAAGTGCTGGGATTACGGGCGAGGCACCGTGTCTGGCCAAAAAGGCCATTTTACAAGCATGGGGTGACCTTTACACATCCTAACATCTGTGACTTCATTCCTGGCTGCCACAAAGTGCTCCCCCGTCTGACTCTGTCATTGATTCCCCGATCTCCTACTGATGCACATGCAGGTTGCTTCCAGCTCTCCCACATCACCCATGGTGCGGAGCAGAACCCATTCACTAAAAATGATTAATTAAAGACCAAAAACTAAGGTAAATGCTCCAAATGCTAGAGTCTCCCCCATCAAATGCTGAAAGACAAAAAGAGTTGCTAAGGCCGGGCACAGTGGCTCACGCCTATAGTCCCAGCTCTTTGGGAAGCCGAGGCAGGTGGATCGCTTGAGGTCAGGAGTTCGAGACCAGCATGGCCAACGTGGTGAAACCCATCGCTACTAAAAATACAAAAATTAGCCAGGCATGGTGGCGGGCGCCTGTAATCCCAGCTACTTAGGAGGCTGAGGCATGAAAATCACTTGAACCTGGGAGGCAGAGGTTGCAGTGAGCTGAGATCGAACCACTGCACTCCAGCCTGGGCGACAGAGGGAGACTCCATCTCAAAAAAGAAAAAAAAGAGTTGCTAAACTGCCTTCAGCTGTCCCAGAACAGCCAGCCGGCCCTGCAGCAGCCGAGAGGCAAGGGCAGCCCCCTCCTGAGCACCCTGCACTCAGTCCTCCCCTTCTTCCTTCTGAGTTGCAGCATACAGTGGAATGAGCACATCTTAAGTATATAGCTAGATGAATTTTTACAGATGCATTCCACTGGGTAAATCACCAGTGATGAGATAGTGAACATGATCCCCAAAAATCTCCCTCACACCTGCCCCCACTCAGTACCCTCCCAGCCCCAGAGATAGCCACCATTCTGACTTCCATCACCAAACACTGATTTGGCCTGTTCTTGAACTTCTTACAAAGTGAGGCCTGCAGCATGTGCTGCTGCGTCTGGTTTCTTTCACGGAACACTGTGCCAGGAGGTTCACACGTGCAGGGCTGCAGCAGCCGCAGGTGCTTCTGCACGGCTGAGCGGCACTCCCGTGGGAGTATATGTCCAGTGTCTTTACCCATTCTACAGATGGCCTTTGGACAAGTTCCAGATTTTTTTTTTTTTTTTTTTTTTTTGGAGACAGAGTTTCGCTCTTGTCTCTTGTCGCCCAGGCTGGAGTGCAGTGGTGAGATCTCGGCTCACTGCAACCTCCACCTCCCGAGTTCAAGCGATTCTCGTACCTCAGCCCCCCGAGTAGCTGGGATTACAAGCGCACACTATCACGCCTGGCTAATTTTTGAATTTTTAGTAGAGATGGAGTTTCACCATGTTGGCCAGGGTGGTCTCGAACTCTTGACCTCAGGTGATCCACCCGCCTCAGCCACCCAAAGTGCTGGGATTATAGGTGTGAGCTACCACACCCGGTCCCTGCTTTTCATTTTATTTTATTTTTTTAGAGATGGGGTCTCGATCTGTTGCCCAGACTGGGGTGCAACTGTGATCATAGTACATTGCAACCTCCAACTCCTGGGTTCCAGGGATCCTCCCACCTCAGCCTCCCGAGTAGCTGAGACTCCAGGTGTGAGCCACTGTACCTGGCTTAGTCTCCAGCTTTTGGCTATTGAGAGTGCTCATTTCTTTTTTTTTTTTTTTTTTTTTTTTTTTTGAGACAAGGTCTCACTCTGTTGCCCAGGCTGGAGTGCCCTGGCGCGATCACAGCTCACTGCAGCTTTGACCTCCCAGGCTCAAGTGATCCACCTCAGCCTCTTGAGTAGCTGGGAATACAAGCATGCGCCACCACACTTGGCTAATTTTTTTGATTGTTTATAGAGACAGGGGTGTCTCTATGTTGCCCAGGCTGGTCTCCAACTCCTGGGCTCAAGAGATTCTCCCGCCTCAGCCTCCTGAAATGCCAGGATTACAGTGGTGAGCTTTTGCGCCGGGCCAAGTACTCACCTTCTTGACCCCCTCAGACAGCACATGGGTGCTGGGTGTTCGGAAGTGGATGTTGAGCACGATGACACAGATCACCACAACCATGGTGACCAGCACCATGCCGAAGAGCAGGAACCTGTGGGCAAACACTCAGCTTGGAGCTCCCAGGGCTGGGCTGGCAAGCAGGGTGAGGCCGGGCTTGAGCGTCACTCACTTGCCGATAAGGGGGATGGCCATGGATGTGGCAGGCAGACGCTTGGAGATGAGCAGCAGGAAGACAGACTGAGCCAGGAGCACCGAGATGGCCACTGATGTCTTCTCACCACCTGGGGAAGCCAGACTTAGCTGTGACCTTGGGGCACCGGTCCTAGAGGGTCCAGCTGTGACCTTGGGGCACCGGTCCTAGAGGGTCCCGCTGTGGCCCCTGGCACCTCTGTAGTACCATCATACCCTGATGAAAATTACGGGTTATGGAGCTAGAGTGCCTGGGTGCAAATATCAGCTCTGCCACTTACTAGCTGGGTGACCTTGGGCAAGTAGCCCAACCTCTCTGTGCATCAGTTTTCTCAACTGTTAAATGTGGTGACAGAGTGTGTTTAACACGCATCACTCTGCCTGGCACTGGGTAAGTGCTCATGAAAATCAGCTGTCACAACCCACCCACGCCACTGAACCCTCCTGGAGCACAGACCTGCGTGCGTTACTCCCCGCTTAGAAAGTGCCAGGTTGTCCTTGTAGAACCAGGATAACACCTCAACTCCCAGCCCCTCACTCAGAGACCCCAGCCCAGTGCTGTCTTGCTCTTCCCACCTGAGCTCCTGCACGTGATGGCAAGGGCGGGAAGGGGGGCTCCCCTGCTGAGGTCCCTTCAGCCCCTGCCTGGCCCCCTCCTTATTGGCATTGCTCCTCCTGCCTGTGGTAGCCCCACCCAATCCTGCTCAAGTCCATTCAAACTCCACCTCCTCTAGAAGCCCTCCCAACCCCACTGCAGATGGAAGGTGCCCCACTTCTCCCTCCTCAAGTCCTGCCGGGGGCAGGGGCTGGGTGGCCTTTGACCCTGGGACTCACTATGCCCTGCTCATAGTAAATACTCTGAACTTGTAAACCACTGCCTCATAGAGTCAGGTGAGCATAGATGGGTTTTCTGCCTCACACCCTACTGTCCTAGAGACCCTGTTATTCACCCACTGGTTCAACAGTTGAGGGCCTCCTGTGTGCCAGGCCCACGGTCACACACTGGTGACCGTGAGGGACTTGGTCTCTGCCCTGACAGAGGGACAGTTTAGCAGTTCTTCTGAGAGTCCGTGGGAAGTAGCATCTTGGAGATGCCCTGCCCTGTCCATTTGGGGATGTTGCCCAGAATCATACAGCCCTCCCTCTGGGTGGCCACCTGGCCCTCACACCTGGATCCAGGCAGGGAGCTCCAGGAATGGAGACCCCAGGTGGCTCCCAGGAGGAAGTGAGGGGGCAGGGCTGGGGCTGGCTGTGCTCAGGTGGGCTTGGGGAGGGGGAGCAGGGGACGGGGCCTGGAGGCTCACTGTCAGCCGGTAGGTAGAAGACCAGGTTGACCATGAAGGAGATGAGCACGCAGGGCACCAGGATGTTGATGATGTAGAAGAGGGGCTTGCGGCGGATGATGAGGTAGAAGGTGATGTCCTGGCGGCTGGGGCTGTCCAGAGGGGCTCTGGGGTCCACGTTGACCCTGGCCGGCCGGTGGACTATCTCCCACTCCCCGTTCTCTGAGGGCGGCACATGGACATCTTAGGGTCAGGCCAGGCCAAGGGGGCTAGGCAGGGCCTGGGGACAGAATGAGGGGCTGGGCAGGGCAAGCCAGTCCAGAGACGCAGATGGGCTGTCTACGGGGTCCCGTTGGTGGGTGTCGTTCCCTGGGGGGTCGGGATGGAAGTTTCCATCTGTGAGGGGAAATCTTCCTCTGTGACTGATTTCTTTTTTATCTTTTCGGAAAAAATAGAAGCTGAGGCCATACAGGACTCAAATAAGGAGTATCTTTTGGCTCAAAAGATACACGAGCCAAAAACAGGTATTGCAGATTAAGACACCAAGTCAAACAAATGCTCTCAGACATTGAGCCTGTCTTCCTGAGTAACAAAGAAAAGCCTCCTGGACATTAATTGAGCCACTCCTCGGCCTGGGCCTTGGGGATAATGAGCCAGTGACAGTAAAACTATCCCTGCCATGATGTGCCAGCCTGAGACAGTGAGACAGGGTCCCTTCTGATGGACAGGGCAAGTGGTAGGCCCCATGGAGGATCCGAGCCTGGGTACAGATCGGGGATGAGGATGTCAGGAGGGGTGGCAGACACCCCCATCAGGATAACACAGCCCTCATGCCAACCACACCCCTGGGCTCACCAGGCACAGGAAAGACTAAACCCCTGTCAGCCACAGGCATCTCATGTGGGAGAAGCATGACTTCCGGGCCTGGGCAGAGGCATGGGGAGGGCCCTGGCACCTTCTCTCTCTGCCTTTGGGATAGCTTTGCATTCAGGAAGTGTGAGTGTCTGTGTGCTCCTCTGTGGGCGGATATGTGTCTGCCCTTCTGTGTCTAGCTGCGTGTGTGAGGAGCTGTGTATTGGTGTCCTAAGTGTGTGTGTGTGTGCACGTGTGTGTCTCTGGGGTGGACAGGGCCAGTGTGTCTGTGTGTGTCTGAGGGACCTGCCCACCCACTGGCGGCTGTTCCCAGCACCTGTGAAGCCTTCAGGATCAATGATGATCCACTCCACGGGGTAGGTGCGGTTCTCCTTGGCATCCTGTTTCAGGCTCAGGGTGATCTCTTTGGCCGTATACTTGAGGGAACTGGGGAGGGCAATGGGCAGAGAGTGACACTCGGCCAGTGGCTGGGGCCACAGAGTGGGGAAGGGCTGGTAAGGGAGGACCATTGTGGGGAGGGCAGCACTAATCCAGACAGGGCAGGGGCCTCTGTCTGAGGGTGCTTCAGTCACCTTCTTTGGCCTCTGGCAGGGTGCTTTGGGGTGAGGGGTGGCTGGAGAAAAGGGCACACCTGAACTTGAGGGAGCAGTTCTGCCAGTCGAAGGGGAAATAGGTGACAGAGATGGGGCAGGAGGAGCGGAAGATGGCAGGTGGCAGCCAGTACACGAAGCCGTAGTGGTAGACAAGCACGTTGCAGGAGTAGGAGATCTGGAAGGAGCCGTCATTGCTGGGGGACAGGGACAAGAACCATAGTGAGCTCTGGCCACTCACGACTGGCAGAGTTGGGGGAGGCAGAGGAGGCTTAAGGAAAGGAGGCAGGGTGACAGAGGGGAGGTCAGGGAGGGCTTGGCTCAACTTGTTCTCCAGCACAATCTCTGGGAGCCACACCATGTCCGGGGGGAGGCGCAGGACACTGATGTTTCCAAATTCTTCAGCATTCCACTTCAGCCGGTTGTCTGTCCAGCCCTGGAATCCCAAAGGCATGTCACCAGTGCACTCTGCAGCCATCCAGGCTCCTGGCTCCCCCCACTTCCCTGAGAGAAGACTGAACAGGGTCTGAGAGCTGTGACAAAAGAGGTTTGGGGAAGGCAGGTACAGAGTGCGGATTCAGGTCTGTCATGGACAGCTGTGCAGGATGCTCACTGCACAACTAAGGGAGCATTATTTCTACTGTGAGCATAGACGATTTGTGTCTGTACTGTGGACTTTTGACAGGCAGGAAGAGAATGTTTTCTAATAAACATCAAGATAAAGTGGCAATTTTCCAACATGTGAATCCTAATCCACTTGAAGGTGACATCAGGGCTGGTGAGGGCACTAGGTGGGGGAAGGACAGTTGGGCCTGGGGCTTCCCTGTAGGGAGGCACCAACCCCTCCTGGAGAACAGTGTCCAAGGCAGACGGGATCTCCATGCAGAAGCAATCTGGTGCCCTGCATTCCCTCCCCGACCCCACCGGCTCTGGGCGGGGCATTCTCTTTTTTTTGAGATGGAGTCTTGTTCTGTCGCCCAGGCTGGAGTGCAGTGGCGCAATCTCGGCTCACTGCAAGCTCCGCCTCCTGCGTTCACACCATTCTCCTGCCTCAGCTTCCCGAGTAGCTGGGACTACAGGTACCCACCACCACACCAAGCTAATTTTTTGTATTTTTAGTAGAGACGGGGTTTCACCGTGTCAGCCAAGATGGTCTTGATCTCCTGACCTCGTGATCCACCCCCCTCGGCCTTCCAAAGTGCTGGGATTACAGGCATGAGCCACTGCGCCCGGCTGGGAGGGGCATTCTTACGTGCTCTATCCACACATTGGTAGTGAGGGTCTCCTCAACTTCTTTCTGTAATTAGACGGTAGGGCCATCCTTCAGGGCCATATCATTCTTTTATCCGCACACATTCACCCACTCTCTCTCTCTCTCTCTCTCTCTTTTTTTTTCCAGGGTCTTGCTCAATTGCCCAGGATGGAGTGCAGTGGCACGAGCTTGGCTCACTGCAACCTGCAACCTCTGCCTCCTGGGTTCAAGCGATTCTCCTGCCTCAGCCTTCCTAGTAGCTGGGATTATAGGCCCACACCATCACACCCGGCTAATTTTTGTATTTTTAGTAGAGATCAGGTTTTACTATGTTGGCCAGGCTGGTCTCGAGCTCCTGACCTCAGGTGATCCACCCACCTGGGCCTCCCAAAGTGCTGGGATTACAGGCATGAGCCACCACACCCAGCCTACATTCACCCACTGTCAATTGGCACCCAGGGAAACCGTGGCATCTGGGCCCTGATCACTCGCAGTCAGGAGTGGGTAGGCCGCCAGGGAGCAGAGAGGACCAGTGGCCTCTGAAGTGTGTCACAGATGGGGCATGCTATGGGTGTGGTTGGGGGACACCGCAGAGCTGACACTGGAGGGGCAGGACAGCAGCCTCTCAGGGCACAGAGCAGCCGCAGCACGTTTCCCAGGAAGGGAGTGGCCATAGGCCAGGTGGGGGCTTCTAGCTTCCTCCATGGCTATCCTGGTACTGGAAAGCCATCCCTGCCCTCCCTCCCAACCCAGCACCGGAGGGCCTCTCACCAGGGAGATGAGGTTGGAGAGTGTGAGGGCCAGGGCAACGTCCACACTCTCCTCTTTGTGTGCCACGGGCCGGAGCTCCTTGTTGTAGCCCTTCTCTTGAAACAGGTGCCGGATCAGCCGCTCCTCCTCGTTCAGCCCCCAGCTGCCTGGGGAGGGTCAGCGACAAGGACTGAATGGGGCCCTGGGCAGGGGACTCAGGAAGGAAGCTGCCCTGAGGTCCTGCTGGACCATGAGGTTGGGATGAGCAGGGGGGAACCCAACCACTCCCTGGGAGTGGGGACCCCAGAAGGCGGCCCCCCACAGGGAGAGATGGCAGAGTGGGAGTGGAGTGAGTGAGGAGCCATGCGGTGTGGGGCCTGGGTAAGCATCACGGGGGACCCCAGGGTGGGGAGGGTGTCTTCCCTTACCACACACCGCCAGGGCAGCCAGCAGCCCCAGTGTCAGCACTGGCCCCTCCATCCCATCCCTCTGACTGGGACGTGCATCTGCCCCTCCTGTCTACAGGGCTGTGGAATGAGGGTGGGCGGGAGAGGGGACAGGTGTTGGGGGAGGAGGGGGTCAACGGGAAGAGGCAGCCGGAAACACAATCTGACACCTCATGGCGGTGGGGGACGGGCCAGCCAGGGCAGGAGCCCAAGGACATGAGGCAAAGATCCCAGGCTGGGACTCCCCGCAGCTCGGAGGCGGGGGGTGGGGAGGGAGGGCCGGGGGGGTGCTGGGCGGAGACGCTGGGCACTGGGGCCAGCGCTGGGCAGCCATGCACGGGGGCGGGGCAACAGGCAGGCCAGCTGCTGCTGCTTCTCAGGAGGCAGGAGATAGGCTCAGATAGGGGCCTTACAGCCCCTTTCCAGCATCTGTTACCCTTGCCAACTGCTTCCAGAGGCAGCCCTGCCTGGGCCCCACCCCTGAGACTGAATGTCCACCCACCAGGTCCCATCCCAAGAAAGCTCCAGAGTTGTTTCCGTGTATTATAAATAACATTTATTAAAGCAGCTGTGATTCTCTGATTGTAAACCTGGGAAGACACGGGGGGCCCAGGACCCCCACCCCATCCCACCCACACACACCCAGCCACTGGGGCAGCGACAGTTTGTCATTATGCTCCCGAACCCCTCTCAGCCCCTGGGAGCAGTAGGTCCTCCCCAGGGGCTGGGGGCCCAGACATGGCTCAGGGTTGCCTGGCGGGGGGTACCTGAGGGTTGAGTGGGTGGTGCCCCTTCCTCTCCAGCCCGGGCCCCTGCCCTACATCCATCCAGGGTCCCTCGGGCTCCCCTTCTGCCAGGGCAGCCACGCGGAAGGCCTGCAGGGCCTGCACCAGCAGCCGGGGGAGGCTGCGAGCCAGTGTGGCCGGCTCCAGGCCCACCAGGCCGCTGAAGGCCACATGCCGGCCCCCCAAGCCTGCCCGCACCCAGGCTCTGAAAAGCCCGGTCAGTGTCTTGGAGCCCAGATCTGCCAGGACCTACAGATGGAGGAGTGGGGATCAGGGGCCCAGAAACTCACTCCTGAGTTGAAACCCCAGAGGTCACCCCCTCTCCCCCTGGGCCCCAGAAACTCTCACCTAGACCTGGAAACCCTGCTCATTTCCCGCTCATGTGGACACTCCCACCCACCCCTCTACTCACTCTCCCCACCACCACCCCCAGTGGCCTGGCTCACACTCCGCAGGCCCCACTCCCTTCCCCTCGGACCCTCTACCTACCCCCAGAGCTGGGGCAGAGGCGACCCCAGGCTGCTGGGAGGGTATCTGGGCTGGGCCCTCTGCATCTTCCCTGGGCTGGGTCTCAGCCTTCCCAGGCCATCGTGAAGGAGTCTGGAAGCCTGGGGACCTACCTCATGAAAGTTCATGGCCAGGTGCTCCGAGGGGACCTGCAGGATCCAGGCATGGGCCCCCTGCAGGGCAGCCAACTTCTGTCGCAGGGGCTCCAGCCCAGGGCAGCCTGGAGGAAGAGGAGAGGCCCCGGGAATAATGAACGGTTGCGGTATGGAACTGGGGGTGGCACTCCCACCAGCACCTCAGGATGGCCTCCCAGGGGACACACTTATCCTCTTATGCTATAGGTGGGGAAACTGAGGCTCGGAGAAGTTAAGCAGTAACACCAGGCAAAGCATCTCTGTTTGACACTGATGAGAGCTAAAACCACAAGTACTCCAAAAGAGTCATACGCTCTATGGCGGGGAGGGGAGAACGAGTCCACCCTGTTGCCCCATGGGGTAAGCCCTTTCCGGAGCTGCAGTAGAAGCGCTTCCGACCTCGTCCAGGCCCTCAGCCTATCCCCTCCTGAAGGTCGGCAGGGGGCGTCATTACCGTTGGCTTCTCCGCGCGGCTCCGGCCTCCGCTTCGGGAACCGAGTGCCTGCAGCCCGCGATCCTGGGGAGGCACAGGGTTAGGGTACCGCCTCGGCGGAGAAAGTGGCTGTGCCGCGCGGGTGGGGCCGGGCCAGGGCTGGGCTGGGCTGGAGGGCGCGGGGTACCTGAGTGAAGCCGCAGCTCCCGGGCGGGGTGCAGAGGAGACTCCCTGAGCGCTGGAGCGGGGAGAGCCAGGGCGGGGGCCAGGCGCCGCAGTCCCGGACGAGGCCCGAGCAGCTCCTGCGCGTTCCGCAGCAGGCCCAGCAGCGTGTGCGCCAGCGAGCGCAGCTCTGCGGACCGGACAGGAGTCGGAGCGGCGGTCAGAGGCTGGCCAGGCCCCCTCCCCTCTGCCCCCCGTCCGGGTCCGGGTGAACAGAACTGACCGCATCGCCGCCGGCGCTGCAGGCACTGCTGGTGCGCCAGGCGCGCACAGGCGCCCTGGGACCCCGGGCACAGGCGGGCATAGAAGGCGCAGAGCCGGGCGGCGTCTGCCTGCAGCTCCTGGGGGGGGTCCCAGGCCAGAAGCTCCCTGCAGCTGGGCTCGCGGCTGGAGGAGGCTGCTGCGGGCGGGACAGGGGTCAGCTCACCCTCTGTTTGGGGCCCTAGCCCCCTCACTCCTTCCCCGGAAGGAGACAGGCTTTCCCGAGGCAGAAGGGAGCTGGGAATGGGCATGGGCCGGGTGGAAACGGGCTTGTCCCACGGTTGTCCGTTGGGGCACTGGGGACGGGGCATTGGAAAGAGGGCGCTCACCGCTCATCTGCTCCTGGAGCCAGTCCTTGAACACTGCCACGCGGGTGTAGACCCCGGGCTTCCCTGGCTCCCCGCAGCCGTCCCCCCAGGAGGTGACTCCGAACAGGACCTCTCTAGGGCGGGGGCCAGGCTCAGAACAGGTCAGGGGGCCTCCCGAGTCACCCTGCGGGGCCAAGAGAGAGGACGCTGCATTCACCTGCCCCCTATGACGCCTGCCTTACGCCTGGCAGGTGTGAGCTTGCCACTTGTGTCCATTTTAGGGATGAGGACAGAGAGGCTCAGAGAAGTCGAGTGACAGACAGACGTGGAAGGAAAAGAGGCCGTAGTGGCCCTGGGAAGGCTCAGCCGGCCTTTTCTCATCAGACTGGGTTCATACCTGGCACGAGTCAACGCCCCCCGCCAGGTACCCGGCGCAGAGCATGGTGCTGGGGCGCAGCCCGGGCCCCAGGGCTCTTCGGCAGGTGTCGGTGCTGAGCAGGGGAACACGGGCCTCTCTCACTGCTTCAGCCTCAGGCCCGTCTGCAGGGAAGGGGTGGAAGGCTCAGGTTTGGAGGGCAAGAGCCCCGCCTTGAGGGTCCCCTTCCCACCACCCCCCTTGATTCCTCCCCCTTTGAAAGAGCAGGCAGCATTTTTCCAAGGCAACCCGGCCTCCCTACACTCTATTACCTCGGACCCCCAGTTCTTCCCACCACGCGCCGGCTCACCCACGCCCAGTACCTTCGAAGAGGGCGCCCCAGCCCGCGATGGCGCAGGCGGTTCCGGCAGGGGGCTCCTGGGGCTCCTGGGGCAGGCACACGGGGCGCGCCGATCCCCCCGGGCTCACCGGCGTCCACAGCTGCACCAGGGCCAGGTCGTTGTGGAAGGTCCGCGGGTCAAACTGAGGAGGGGGAGGCGGCGCAGGGTCAAGGAAGCACGGGTGGGGGTGCGGTGCCCAGCCTTGGGGGCCTGGGGACTGCCTTCTCACCTTGGGGTGGGGCAGGATGCGGTTCACTGGCACCTCCTCCGCTTGCTCCCCCCGGGACCCCTCTGCCAGCGTCACAGTCCACAGAAGCTCATTCGGGGCGCTGCGGGTCGAGCGGCAGCTGAGACGCAGGAAGGACAGGGGCACACCCCGCAGGCCCCTCGGAGACCCTGCCCCTCCGCCCGCATGCCGGGCTTTCTCCACCTGGGGGCACGGAGGGCGGGCCGGGGAGGGGTCCCGTCCCAGAGGGGGCGAACTCGCCCGGCCGTGCCACCCCCTCCGGGCTGGCATCCTGGCGGGGCGGGCGCGGCGCCTTGAGATGGGGAAGCCCGGGGCCGGCCGCCGCCAGGGGGCAGCAGAGACCACCTTTCCCGCGCGTCGCCCGCCGGACAACCCGGCAGGTGCGGGGCCCAGCGCCGGGGACCCCAGCTGGGCAAGGCCTGGGGGTCCTACTTACCCTACAAAGCAGTGCGCTGCCGTGAGCACCCAGGAGGCCGCTACCAGGACGCCGCCGCACAGAGGCTGCCCGCCGAGCTGCAGCCTCACCAGCCAGGGCCAGGCCCCGGGCGGCGCCGCGCTGCCCCCCACGATGCGGCCGTGGGCCCGCGTCACATTGGCAGTGCTCGGACGCCTCTCGCCGCACGGCCCTAGAAAGGGGCAAGGGGTGTCACGAGGGACATGTTCTGGCCATCCTCGCCTTCGAGGCCCACCCGGCTCTCAGGCCTGCCCCCTCGAGCCTTTTCAACCTCACCTGGCTCAGGTGGGTCCTGGAGGAGAGCTTGAGGCCTGGGGCGCCCAGATCCTGCAGAGAAACAGACCTTTGAGTCTCACTGCTGCCCTCTCGCCTGTCCTCACCCCAGGCTGGGCCGAGCCTCTCTCTCCCCATCTCTCCTTTCGCGCTCAGCCCTCCAGCCCACACGGGTTCTATTTCAGCAACCATGAACTTCTCCTGGTCACCACAGGAGCCCAGAGTGTTTCCGCCTCCCTGCCTTTGCACAGGCCATGCCCCAAGCCTAGCGTGTCCTTTCCACTCGGAGAGACAGACCTTCACAAACGTAGTCTAGGTTGCGGCCCAACACAGTCTCTGCCCCCAAGAGGAGAGTGAAGACTGAAGGGAAGGGACAGAGGCAGCAGAATGGGCCCAGGGTAGGCAGCAAGCTCACTGGGGCACGGGGGGCAGGGTGGGCACCTCGGCACTCGTGCGATCTGTGCTGGATCTCCATCGCCACTCGGTTTATTGCCCACTGGGCGCTCCTCTGGGCTGCCTGCAACGCCTGAGTCCCCTGGGCCGACAGAACTGCTGGGACAGGGGGCACACAATCATGCGTGGTTGGGGAAGAGCCTCAGCCTCATCCTCCTGGCCCCAGCCCTGAGCCCTGCCTCGGGAGACCCACCAGCCTGGGACAGAATGAGGAGGCAAGTGAGCCCCGGGGACGCTGGGCCCAGCACTCAGAGCCCGTGCTCCCAGGTTCTCAGCCCAAGATGTCTCCCTAATTCAACTGAGCTGGACTGGGATCTTTGAAAGGTGCTTTTCCTTAACAATTTTTTTTAAAGACACCACCCCAAAGATACAGACATCGCAGAACTCAGCTTTATTGACTGAAAGTAGCTGTGTTTGAGTGGCCCACCTTCGGCCGGGACAGCCAAGGGCAGGGTGCTGCCCCGGGCCGTTTCTCTCTGCTTCTTGGGGCCTTCTCTCCATTCCTTTCGGCATGCTCAACAGCTCCCCTTCCCTTTCCCGCCACACCCCTCCTCTCCCACCTATATCTCAGTTCTTGGCCCCTTCTCGCAGCAGGGTGGGCAGAAGGAGCCAAAGGTCCTTATGAGTGGGGGTGACAAGCTCTTCTGTCCCCGCCCGCCCAGGGTCCCACTTCCTCTACATTCCTCCCAACCCCGCGGCTCTCGGGCCAGCCTGGACTTACCTTGCAGGGCGCTGGGGGGCAGGCGTGTGTACAGTGGGTGCCCGTGGGCAAACCATGAGCTTGGGAGGGGTAGCAGCAGCAGCACAGCCAGCAGCATGGTGACCAGGAGCTGGGGTGAGAGACCCCTGTCCTCTCTCCTCCTCGGAGTCCACCTTCCGGGTGCCTATCCTTTGGTGCCCGCCTTCTGCTGCCTTTCGGCCCCCGGGCACTGAATTCTTGTCCCTCAAATCATCTGACCCCGTTCTCTTACATCAAAATTACCCGCCTCCCTGGTCAGCCCTCACCTGGCCCTTAACTCCTAGGAGCCCACAGGGGAATGGGGCTGCAGGGTCTTTATAGAGGACAGCCTGGGGGAGGGGTGCACGGGAGGGTGGCCAAGACTGGGGGAGGAGTGGGGTAGTGGGCTTGACCTTCACCTCTGAAGTCTCATCATCCCAGCTCCGAGCCCCCCTTCTGTCAAAGGAGCCCTTGTTTCTGCGGCTCCATCAAAGGGGCCAAGACAGGGAAGAAGGGCTGACGGTTGGGCTGCAGGCCAGGCAGAGGGGGGCTGCTGGGTGGGGGCGGGCCCTGGCTCCAGGGCTGGGATGGGGGGGGATCCCCATCTGCCTCTACCCCCTGAGGAGCTTACAGCTATGACGGGGCAGACACTCCTGGAGGGAGGAGGGCAGGGGGTGTCTGGGGTTTCTCAGCAGCCCCACCCCCTGAGGAAGCCCTGGAGCTCCCCACCCCTCTGCCCCTAATTGCTTGGCAGAGTCCCTCCCCAATGTGGCCATTTCTAAAGATGATCAAAGCAGCCTAATTAGCGCCGTAATTGCCGCACTGGGGGTGGTGGGGTGGGAAGGGGCAGAGGCAGGCAGCCGCAGGAGTGGCGCGGAAAGGGAGGCGGGAGATGAAAGGCCCACAGTGGCCCAGTTCCGGGAGGACAGGCCCTAGCAGCTTCTGACGCTCTCCCAGACCCCCTGGCCCTGCACAGTGCCCGCTCTGCCTGTCCGGCATTGTTCTGTGACCCTGATCTGGCAGTGGGATTCTTCTGGAGTCCTCTGGAGTCTCATGGGCAGGGCCACACAGCTCTCCTGGGACTGAGTTACCACCTGGGGTAGGATAGTGCCCGTCTGCGCTGCCCAGGCTCCCCAATTCATGTGAGGTGAACTGGTGGGAATATTTATCAGCAAATGCTATGACCCGGGGCTCTTTCCCCCTGGAGAGCCAGCTGTTCCACAGTGACCAGCACACCATGCTAAGGAGCCCTTTCCCCAGTTACCACCGCACCTCGCCATGACAATACCTCTACTTCAGGAATGCTCTGAAAATACTGTCTGCGGATGATTCTGGTGAGTGAATTTGGTGAAGTTGGAAAGGACTCTATTCACCAGAGTATCTGTCCATCTTGCAGGGTATCTTTTTATCCATGACCTCCACAATCTTGGTAGATAAGGCATTAGCTCAACACAGCTTGAATTTTAGCATAAACAGAGACAGTGTCCAAAGGAAGATCGCCTGCGGTTCCCAGTAAGAGCCACCAAAGCAGGGGACCCAGGAGCAGAGAAGGTGGGTGGGAAATCCTCACAGGCCTCTGTGAGGATTCGACAGAGCTTCAACAGAGCTTCTGCCCTGCAGGTTACTGCATCCAAGCTGAGGGGATAGGGATGGAGCCAGCCACCCAGGCAGCTCTATGGACGCTTCCCCTAGGGCATGCCTCCAGGAAGGTATGTCCTGCCCATTCTTGCCGAGTCACGCAGGCCAGGCCACAGCAAGCCCACACAGAGCCCCTGGGCCTCCCTCCTGCCTCTGGTCTTCAGGTGGGAGGCAGGGTGAGAATCCAGCCACTGCCAAAGAAAATGGAGGGAACTTTCTGCGTGGACTGCAATTCTGCTTAACCCCATTCTCCTGTTCTCTGATTCCTGTGCCCACAGCTGGGTCCCGAGCCCTCTCCTCTCTTCTGTATGGACCCACCCAACCAAGTCTGGCTCAATTTCATCCGCTCGCACAGGTTACCTCTTAGAAGCCACATTAAAATCCCACCTCATAACATTACTTTGTTTATTATTGTTTAAGCGTGCACTCACTCCCTGTCTGCTTCCTCCATTGGAATGTGATGGAGAGACTTCCAGGCCTCTATCCCTGCAGTCTCATTCTCTGTAACACAACCGTCTTCTATTTTCTTTATTTTTCTTTCTTTCTTTCTTTATATTTGAGGCAGGGTCTCACTCTGTCACCCAGGCTGGAGTGCAGTGGCACAAGTTACGGCTCACTGCAGCTTCGACTTCCTGGGCTCAAGTGATCCTCCTGCCTCAGCCTCCTGAGTGGCTGGGACCACAGGCATACACCACCATGCCGGCTAATTTTTAAATTTTTTGTAGAGACAGGGTCTCCCTATGTTGCCCGGGCTGGTCTGGAACTCCAGGGCTCAAGTGATCTGCCCACCTCAGCCTCCCAAAGTGCTGGGATTACAGGCATGAGCCACTGCACCTGGCCTCGGACTTTGTATTTTCTTTAGAGTATTTATTCCTATGTTGCAGGATGTTGATGGGGATTCTTGGCTGTTATAAGGGGCTCAGTCTCCTATAGTCTAGTTAAAAGGGTACCAGCAGTTGGCCCCAGACCTCCTCCCAGCGAGCAGCTCAATGCCAGGGACCTGCCGAAATCCATGCCATCCTCTATGGACCCTTCCCCGAGTGAATAGGAAAACAGGACAGGGGAGGGGGGCCTTGGCACAGCACAGCAGCTTCCCTCACTTCCCCAGCCAAGCTGGAAAGGACAGATGAGGTCCCAGGAGGAATCATGGAATTTGAATTCCTTGATCAGGAATCAAGGAAGCTGGTAAGAGGGAGAGGCTCGCATTTCGGTGCCCAGCTGGATGACAGGGTGCAGGGTTTGTCTGTCCGGCTCCGTGCTGTCCCAGCATCTAGACCAGAGTCCGACTCACACATGCGCTAAATGAATGAACGATCAGCCCTGACGGCCAGATGCGGTGGCCATGCCTGTAATCCCAGCACTCTGGGAGGCCGAGGCAGGCAGATCATTTGACATCAGGAGTTTGAGACCAGCCTGGCCAACATGGTGAAACCCCATCTCTACTAAAAATACAAAAATTAGCTGGCGTGGTGGTGGGCGCCTATAACCCCAGCTACTTGGGAGGCTGAGGCATGAGATTGCTTGAACCCAGGAGGTGGAGGTTGCAGTGAGCCGAGATCGCACTACTGCACTCCAGCCTGGGCGACAGGGCAAGACTCCATCTCAAAAAAAAAAAAAAAAAAAAAAAAGATCAGCACTGGCCCCTCCCCTGCTCCAGGGCTGCATCTCTTGCCTCCTGGCACTTCAATCTCAACCTGCCCAAAGCAGTGCTGGGGTCTCCCCTCCCCTGCCAGCTCCCTGTCCATGCTCTGCTGCCCTTGCTCTCACAGCCACACCTAGCCTATTCAGTCCCAGTTGCCCGCCTCTGGCAGGCCCAGCAGTTCCTCTTCTCTCGAGTTTGTGTCAGGCAAAGAGAAGCAATGCTTTCTGAGGGGAATTTAAGGCAGCTATTTCCAGATACAGGGAGAGAATGTGGCTCAGACAGGTGCAGAGCTCACCCCCACCCCTGCTGTCCCAGGCTCTCCCTCTTTCTTCTCCTTTTGGGTGGGGCCTGGTGACAGTCCAGGCTGCAGGAAGGATGCAAAGATGACCAGGAAAGCCCCTAGTTCTCCTCTTCCTCCCTCACTGCCTCCACTCCAGGCTTCCATATCTCTTCCCTGGGAGGAGAGAGGTCTTGGTCTGTCACTTGCAGGCCCTCTCTCCACACCTGGGTGTCCTCCGAGGTCACAGATGCTCCATCTCCATCCTTCCACAGGCAGAGGCAAGCCTTGGTCTCAACCTTCCCATTTCAAGAAGAGACAGGGAAAGAACTTTGGACCTTGTCACTGTTATCTCTGGAAAACCCCAGCAGGCTCCTGTCAGGAGGTTCCAGTGGGCTTAGGTGATATGAGTCAGTCCTGCAGCCTTCTCAGACGAGGAATGAATGTGGGAAGGGCTGGGCCTCTGGAAATGGAAAGGAGACAGCCGGCACCTGGAAGGGCACCCACCTATGATGCAGCATCTCTGCAGTTGTCCTTTGGGAAAGGGCCTTCCTCTTCCAAGCTCCTGAAGACCCCCCATGTCATGGAGGTGCTTGTCCTTCCCTCCTTCCCAAACTCCCCTGACCTCCTAGGCCTCTCCAATGAAGTGGACAAAAGCACAGTAGGAACCTGGGCCGCATGGTGAAACCCCGTCTCTACAAAAAAAAAAAAAAAGAAAAAATACAAACATTAGCTGGGCAAGTTCACGTGCACCTGTGGTCCCAGCTACTCAGGGAGGCTGAGGTGGGAGGATCACTTGAGCCTGGGAGGTAGAGGTTGCAGTGAGCCAAGAATGCGCCACTGCACTGCAACATGGGAGACAGAGCAAGACACTGTCTCAAGAAAAAAAGAAAAGAAAAAGAGGCAGAGTGGGAGCAGCAGCTGAGCAGGCTGCCTTTGGGGCCGTGTCCCTAGATGGGAGGGTGGGACCTGCAGCTAGGCCAGCTTTGCTGACTACAGTGCGGCTGCCCCATGAAGTTGTGAGGGGAGGTTGAGGTAAGGTCTTCTTGGCCTGAGACCATGATTCAGAGCTTGGCATGGAGATTCAATTGCACCTCCATGTGACTTTGGGTGAATCTCTTCCTGTTATGGGCGGAATCGTGTCCCTAAAAAGACATGTGGAAGTTCAACCAGTACTTCAGACTATGACCTTATTCAGAAATAAGGTTGCTGCAGTTGTAGTTAGTTAATAATGAGGTCACACCGGGCCCTTCATCCAATAGGCTGGTGTCCTTACAAGAAGACACAGAGACAGAGACACACAAGTGAATGTCATGTGACAAGAGAGGCGGAGGCTGGAGGGATGCAATTCAAGCTGGGGAATGCCAAGGACAGCTAGCAATAACCGGAGCTATGAGAAGGGCATGGAACAGGTTCTCCTGGAGAGGCTTCAAGAGAGCAGGGCTCCACTGACACCGTGTTTTCAGACTTCTCGCCTCCAGAACTGTGAAAGAATAAATTTCTGTCGTCTGAAGCCACCCAGTTTGTGGTAACTTGTAACAGCAGCCCTCGGAAACAAATATACTTCTCCTCTCTCAACCTCATGTCCTCATCTGGGAAATAGGCTAGTAACCCCCATCTTGTTGGTGGGGATTCAAGGAGCTGACACAGTTAGGCCTCCTGCAAAGGGCTGCCAGGGACTGTGGTCGTTGCTCTAGATCAGCTCTTTGTAAATGTGACGGAATCGATAAGTGCTGTTTCCCTGCATGAATATAGAGAGGGCAGGGAGGGCCTGAGCTTGGGAGACAGCAAGGGAGCTGTGGGAGAGCAGAGAATGAGACAGGATGGGATGCGAAACTGCAGAAGGGGCGGCGGCTCCCCAGGTTGTGTGTGGCCTGGGCCCTAGTTTGTCTGAGTAGGAGCTCGCTTCTCCCCATGGGGCCTTCCTCATGGATTGCCTGTCCCTTTCAGCTTTTCAGCTTTGCTTTCTGTTCTGACCTTCCCTATTCCCCATGGGCTGAACTTGGCCTTTTTTTTTTTTTTTTTTTGAGACAACTTGTTGCTATATTGCCCACGCTGGTCTTGAACTTCTAGGTTCAAGTAATCCTCCTGCTTCAGCCTCCCAAAGTGTTGGAATTACAGGCATGAGCCACCATGCCTGGCCTGTATTTGACTTTAAGAGGGCTCTGAAGAGGCAGGGGTGCTGTCTAGCCCAGAAGGGAGCACTGCTGAAGCTGGGGCGCCTGCAGGCTCTGTGGTTCTCTGAGAATGGAGTGATCCTGGAACTGTATCCAGGGCTTTCCTTAGTAGGTGAGACCCCTGGCCTCCCTGCCCTCCCCTCACTCAATATTTTGGGCACGGATACATCCAGACCACCACTGATGCCACTGAAGACCACTGTTCAATCCTGTGATAAAAGAATGCAAACCATTTCACAATTTTGCTTGTTTCCTCTCCTGTTCTTCTTTTTTGTCTTTTGTCTTTTTTCTTGTGATCTCCATAAGTTTCCTTTCCTTTTTTTCAGTCTGGCTGACGGCTGTGTTTCTTTGAAATTTGCTAATTTAACACCTTCAATTTCTATGCTACTATTCCCATTTTCCCCTCCTCCTACATAGTAGACTCTCCCTGATCAGTATTTCCCATTGCTATTGCTTTCAAATCTTTTTGTTAACTTAGATGATTTTTTTTTTGAGATGGAGTTTTGCCCTTGTCACCCAGGCTGGAGTGCGGTGGCATGATCTGGGCTCACTGCAAACTCTGCCTCCCAGGTTCAAGCGATTCTCGTGCCTCAGCCTCCTGAGTAGCTGGGGCTCCTGTGTAGCATGGGTGTGTGCTACCATGCCCGGCTTATTTTGTATTTTTAGTAGAGATGGGGTTTCACCATGTTGGCCAGGCTGGTCTCAAATTCCTGACCTCAAGTGATCCACCCGCCTCGGCCACCCAAAGTGCTGGGATTACAGGCATGAGCCACCGCGCCCAGCCTTAGATGATCTTTTTAGAAAACACCATCTCTCTGATGTAGAGATGGTTCTTGGAGTCATGTGGTTCTCTTCATGGTTGCTTCATTTACTGCTGCCAACATAAACTCAAATTAGATTTAATAAGTCATATTAAAATTTTCAATAGGATCCCTCCTTACAGCAAATTTCTAGCAATCTATCTCTCTAAACTTATCTGCATCAATGTAAAAAGAAATTTCTGGAAATGGTGGTTATTTATTAATGATGGCTTAATTTCTGAAATTGAGGTTTATTTTATTGTGTTTTGCTTTTCACTTTCTTCTGTGTGCTTTCCTGTGTTACTTGAATTCTTTAAAATCAGCAGGTAGCATTTATACAAATACGAAACATCAAGAGTAAAAAAGAAAAGGACAGGCACCAAGTAGAAATCTTTTCAATAAGACAGTTTATTGATATAATATTTCACCGAGTAAATACTCATTAATGTCAAAAGCTGGTTGAGTAAAGGGAATTTCATGTAGTTCGATGTATTACAATGTATCAAACCTTCATAATAACTGCTTAAGGCAGGTGTCATCAGACCCATTTTACAGATGAGGCCACTGAGGCTCGGAGAAGTTGATTGACCTAGCTGAGACCACACTGCTAGGAACTGGAGAAGAGATGGAAGGCTGTTCTGCCTGCTGCCAGAGGCCACACCCTCAACCTCTGCCCAGCCCTGCCTTGGGAGTCCACAAGTGCCTTCTGACTGCTAACCCTGCAGGGGTTTGCTAAGGTAGCCACACAAAGGTTGAAGCTTCTTGAAATGGATGAAACGGTTGGGGCCGAGGCTTTGTCTTCCCTTGCAGGGGACTCAGCTGTGTGAGGCAGGAGTGGGTGAGGCAGAACAGCTGAGAAGACATATAGGCGTGGGGTTGGGGCCAGCAGATGATGGGAGGGACCTAAAGGGGAGAGGAAGAGGAGAAACCAGAGACACGGGTGCCACCAAAGTTCCTCCAGTGTCCCTTCTGCATCCATCTTGCACCCCCAGACTGGCAACCTCCTCAGAGCCTCTGAGGTTGGAGAGGCCTCGTGGGGGTGCCCCAGCTACTATCTCCTTCTATGTCCAGCTACCAGGCATGGAGCAGGAAGGGGTGGGTGCATAGGTCAGGGGGCCCTCCGCAAGGCCTCACTTACCCTCCTGCTGGGCATGTCCAGCCCCCTGCCCAGAGCTCCCAGCCTCATCACTCAGGGCCAGGTGGAGGCCATGTAGGGTGCAGGGAGAGCTTACAAAGCCAATAAATCCCCCAAGGCAATTACAGTGATGAGCGAGGCATAAACAAGGCGCTTTACCTGCCGCAGCCAACCCTCCCCTGCACACACGTGCGCATGCACACACACGGGAACACACACACACACACATACACACGCACACATGCTGGAGTCAGCCCATTTGCAGGGTAATGGCTTTGCGACAGCAGAAATTATCTGCAGCATTAGAGGCAGCCTGGCCAGGCAGGGCAAGCTGGGGGCGGGGCCTCAGGATGAACCTGGGGGATACTAAGAGAGGAAGCAGGTGCCCGCAGGCTAGGGTCTGGGCCCCTGGAAACACTGCAGGGCTGGGGGGAGTGGGTGCAGGCTGCAAAGGGCTTGGTGAGGGCCAGACCAAGTGGAGGGTCCCTGCCCACCCCTGCCCACAGCTCTTTCCCTTTCGACTTCCAAGGCCTGTAAGTGGGCAGATAACTGGGAGCAGCGGTGTCTCAGGACCTGAAATCATAGCTGAGCAGCCACTTGCTCCTGTCCTGGCCTGAAAGCCACGTCCTTTTCCCTAGCCCCAGGGAGGCCACACTTGGTGGCCTAGAGAGAGGGGCATGGGGTGATTAAGGAATGAAAGGGAGCCCCCGAAAGGAGGATGCGTGTTGCGGGGGTGGTGAGGGGGTGGCAGGGTTTGCCTTAGCTGATTGTTTCCCTCCGTGACTGTCATGGGAATCAGGTCTGGGCTGCCCAGCAGTTCTGGGGAGGAGGGGGCTCCAGAGGAAGGACCTCCTCCTTCCCCAGGTCAGGAAACTGAAAAGAGCCACCACCTGGATCTTCGGAAGAGACCTCTGGCTGCCCGTTTTAGGCCAAGGACAGGAGGGCTAATCTTCCCCTACACCCCTTTAGCCAGCTAGCATTGGTAGGGGCAGCAAAACCAATAAAGAGAGTGGGGCAAGCTGGGCTCCCAGGCCTATGGGACTTTGAGGTTCACAGTGATGTGGGGGTGGCAACAGTCCCAGGGGTCCTTAGCATCCTGCCCCAGGGCTTGGCTAGACCTGGCATCTGCGGTGGGGGTGCTCGCTGGGGAATCATGCCTGTCAGCCTGACAATAAAGCTGGGCTCTGTGACTCTGGCAGCAACGGAGCATCCTGCCCACCTGCGGGCACACCCAGATTGCATTTGCTGAAATAAATTGCTGGAGAAAATAAATCCCACACACATGATTAATGGGAGGCAGGGAGGCAGGCAGCCAGCATGAGGAGCCACTGGGGACAGAGTGACAGTTGGGCACAAAGCCAGCACAGCCACGGGGCCTCCGGGAAAGGGCTGTAGCAACTGTATGGCTACCAGGGTCACTGTGGTCCCTGCCACTGCCACTGCACAGGGGACCTGACCGCGCAGGCTGACAAGGCCCCTGGGGACTCAGGCTGGCCCCCAGCTTGGCTCTGCATCACTGCAGGTGGTGTGGAGGGGCCGATCCTGGGCTTGCTACTGTGACCTGGGCCGGACCACGCCTCCTGGGGACTGGGGACCCCACGGACCAGAGCAGGGAAGAAATCAAGCCAGGATGTTGGCAAGAGGGGTGGGGGTGAGGGGTAAGGACTTCCCAGCTGGCCAGCTGTGAGTCCTTGAGCAAACTACCTCCTGTCTCTGAGCCTCCATCTCCCCATCTGCTCAATGGAGCTAATACCAGGGCCTCCCTCAGAAGGTTGTTGAGGGGCTCAGCTCAGGCCACCCAGCCAAAGCAGCTGCTAGGGTGCTGGGCACACAGGGGGCTGTCCCAGATGACAAAGGTGTGCTCAGCATCTATGACATGCCCATGCTGCACTGAGAACTGGGGCACAGTCCCTGCCCTCATGGAGCTAATAGCCTGGTGGTAGACAAATGGTAAAAAAGTAATAATAGTAAGGACTGGCCGGGTGTGGTGGCTCACGCCTGTAATTCCAGCACTTTGGGAGGCTGAGGCGGGTGGATCACGAGGTCAGGAGATCGAGACCATCCTGGCTAACATGGCGAAACCCCATTTCTACTAAAAATACAAAACATTTAGCCAGGCTACTCGGGAGGCTGAGGCAGGAGAATGGCGTGAACCCGGGAGGCGGAGCTTGCAGTGAGTCAAGATTGCACCACTGCACTCCAGCCTGGGTGACAGAGCAAGACTCTGTCTCAAAAAAAAAAAAAAACCACCAAAAAAAAAAGTAAGGACTACGTAAGTCATCTCAAATGCACACGGCGCTGTGTAGGAGAAGCCTTGAGTGCTGGGGACAGGGGAAGGGGCTTGCTTACACTCTGGAGGTCAGGGCAGGCTTCCTGGGGGAGAGGGCACTGAACACAAGTGAATTTATGGCAAAAATCCAATAGTTTGATTTTGGTGAGTCTGTTGAGAAACAGTCTCATTCATTGCTTTTAGGAGAGTCACAGTGAGAGTTGACAATGCCTACACAAATACCTACCCACAGTACACACACTCTTATTCTCCTTTTAATTTTTATTTTCTCTTAAATGAGACAGGGCCTCATTCTGTCACCTAGGCTGGAGTGCAATAGCGTGGCCACGGCTCACTGTAGCCTTGACCTCCTGGGCTCAAGTGATCCTCCTTCCTCAGCCTCCTGAGTAGCTGGGACCACAGGCGTTTGCCACCATATCCAGCTAAGTTTTAAAATTTTTTATAGAGAAGAGGTCTAGCTGTGTTGTCCAGGCTGGTCTTGAACTCCTGAGCTCAAGAATCCTCATGCCTCGGCCTCCCAAAGTGTCATGCCATCGCACCTGGTCTCACGCATTCTTATTCTTTAGTACTCCCACTTCAGAGCATTTTGTCCTACAGATATGTAGAAAAACACAGTTATAAAATGACAGATGTACAAAGATGTTCACTGCAACATTGACAGAAAGAACAAAAAAGAAAAGTAGCAACAACTCAGGTAGTGATGGAGGAAGGACTCAGTTGAATAAACCGTGTACGAGACTGGGAATGATGACTCATGCCCGTCATCCCAGCATTTTGGGAGGCTGAGGTGGGAACTGCTTGGGGCCAGGAGTTTTGAGACCAGCCTGGGCAAGATGGCGAGATCCCCATATCTGCAAAAAAAACAAAAAAATTTTTTTTTTAATTAGCTAGGCATTGGCTGGCTGCGGTGGCTTATGCCTGTAATCCCAGAAACTTGGGAGGCTGAGGCAGGTGGATCACTTGAGGTCAGGAATTCGAGATCAGCCTGGCCAACATGGTGAAACCCCGTCTCTACTAAAAATACAAAAATTAGCCAGGCATGGTGGTGCACGACTGTAATCCCAGCTACTCAGGAGGCGGAGGCACCAGAATTGCTTGAACCCGGGAGGCGGAGGTTGCAGTAAGCCAAGATTGTGCCACTGCACTCCAACCTGGGTGAAAGAGGAAGACTCTGTCTCAAAAATAAAAATAAAAGTAAATAAATAGGCTGGGCATGGTGGCATGCACCTGTAATCCTACGTACTCAGGAGGCTGAAGTATCACTTGAACCCAGGAATTTGAAGTTGCAGCGAGTTATGATTGTACCACTGCACTCTAGTCTGGGTGACAGAGAGAGATGAAATACTATACAGCTGTGAAAAAAGAATGAGGAATCTATTGCTGTGGAAAGAACGTCAAGATAGATTAAGTGAAAACAAAATGAGGAACAGTGTACTCAAATGAGGAACATTCTACTTTTTGTGTGAGAAAGGACAAAAAGAAAAGCACATAATTTGTTTTAGACTACACACAGAATTAAAGTAGCCCCCTGGGGTTATGGGGTGGAAGAGGAAACCAGGTACATGGGAATGGGAGTGGAACTTTGAATTGCTTTGATTTTTTAATTATATGGGTGTATTATCCACAGAAAAAAAAATGTAAAGATATTTCAGGGACTTTGTTTCTTTCTGGAGGGCAGAGGGCACATGACTGGAGGTGCTGGGGTAGGGAGCTGGTTCAGGGATAAACCTCAACCTGAGGTGGCCTGGCAGTGCCGAATGAATATCAAAGTATCAAAGTGCCAGATGAGTCCAAACAAACCATGTTTAGGAACAGTTGGTCCATGGAACCTTCAGGAAGCGATGGAGGCTCAGAGAGAAGAGGGTGTGCAGCAGGTGTGGCCCTACCGGGCCCCAGACTTGGCCCTCCGCCCACACTAAGGCCAAGGACTCGGAGGGTAGGGACTGAGGGAGTGACCAGAAAAGCTGACCGTGGATGGAGGTGCAGCGGCACTGGGAAGCGAGTCTCTGGTGGGACACCTGTCACTCACCCAGTGTGGCTGTGGGTGTGTGTGTGAGCTGGTTGGGGGGCAGGGGTCTGTGGTCAGGGCAAGAAGCACTGGGAGGTCAGGAGAGATAAACGATCACCTTGCGGGGACATGCTGGTTCCCCGCTGAACCACTGAACTGCTGGATTCTGAGCCACAAGGCCTGAGGCCCGAAGACCCTCCCCACCTCTACCCTGAGGAAGCCCCTCCTCCCCACCTGCCAGGCTGGAGGGTCCCAGGGCCCACCTGGGTGAGCAGGTGTGGGGGTGCCTCCTGGTGGCGCTCAGTGAGAGTCACAGGCCTCGAAGGACTAGGAAGTCCTGGGCAGCCCTGGGCCAAATTCCAGGACCCCACAAGGGCTGGGAGCTAGATAAAACCAAAGGGTCCAAGCCGGGAGATTTAGGGAGAGATCTTGGGGCAAGTGAAGGAAAATCTCAGTGGCTGTGGATGCCCCAGTACCCATCTCCCCATGAAAAGCCCAACCCTCCTCCCTCAGCCTACCCAGCAGGACACAGCCTCTCTGCCTCGGAGGTTTCTGGGGCTCAGGGAGGTGAGCCTTCTGCTTTTCCTGACTTCCCATTATCTTTCCACTCTGCCCCCCTCCTTCTCCAAAGCTGCCTTTCCTGTTTCCAAATCACCCCCTCTCTGTTCAAGCTGCGCACCAGGCAGCTTTGCCCACGTGTGCAATCCCAAGTGAGCACAGTGCAGGGTCCGCTACCAACGCCGCAGCCTCCTTGTTCAACAGTTATTAAGCAATTCACAGGGGCAACAGCACAGCGGGACACCAGGTGGGGGCCGTCTGCAGCGGGCAGCTCCGTGAGCTGAGCAGGGCAGGGGCTAGCACTGCAGGGGAAGGGGGTCCTGATGAGGAGGGGCTAGGGCTGCAGGGGAAGGGGTCCTCTACTCCCAAGTACATGGGGCCCTAGGCCTGGTTTTGGGGGGTCTCCCTCACCTGACAGCTGTGCCTGAGCATCTCCACTCTGGGAGGCTCCCAGTCCTTCCCCCATGTGTGTGCACATGTGGGGAGACACTGGCTGGGGATGGCTGTCCTGTCAGAAGTGGCTCAGGCGAATGTGCTGGGCCTCCAACCATAGGGGCAACACCCTTCCCTGGGCAGCCTGCTTCTGGAGGAGAGGGGTCCTCAGAGCAGAGGGCATCTGAACCAGGCTTCTGTGGGCCTCATTCAGTGCTTACCCACACCACTTCCACGGAGCCTCACAGTGTACCCATTTTGCAGATGCGGCAATTGAGATGTGGATAGGTGGATGGCTTGGCAAGGTGAGTCAGGACTCTCAGGTCTGGGCAAGAGCCGCTGGGGAGAATGGAAGAAAAAGGAGGTGCAGGGACTTGTTTTCAGTATCATCTTGTTTACACAGACATGGCTGGGCCTAGAGAAATAATAAGATGAATGATGATTTGTGGGGTTCGCTGAACCGTTAGCCCATGGCAGTCCTGGCTCCGGGAATCCTCCAGGTACAGACTCAGTGACCCCCACAGAAGCTGCATGCAGGAGGGGCTATAATCATAATCATCCCCCTTTTCACGCGGGGCCACTGAGCGAGGCACCGTGTGTCACACAACCTGCACCTGGTCACAGAACAAAAAGGGATGGAGCTAGGATTTGTACCCGGGCCTGTGGGGTCCAGGGAGGCTGAATTGTGGTGACAGAGAGGCAGGCTCCCCTCAGAGCCTGTCAGGAATCCCCTCTGCCTGAGTTGCTCTCCCAGCCTCTTCTCTCCAGGCTTCGCTCTCCCCACGCCTTGCTCTGGGCCTGGCTCATCTCCAGAGGTCCCTGCCCCAGGCAGCCCTGCATCTCAGGACTCAGGCTGTGGGATATGGGGCTTGCAGAACAGTGCAGGAGCCCAGAGCTGGGGCTCACCCTCTGGCTGGCCCCTGTGTCCCCCCTCCCTGGGGGCCAGGACCCCTCTCCTCCAGAAGCAGGCTGCCCACAGAAGGGTGCTGCCCCTGTGGTTGGAAGCCCAGAATGTTCGCCTGAGCCACTTCTGAGAGGACAATCATCCCCAGCCAGTGTTTCCCCACCCAGGAGGCTCAGGATCAAGTAGAGGGACATCAAGCGGCCAGCCTTGAAGTTCTGTCTCCAGCCTGGCCCTCCCTGGAGGGCTAGGGACACAGCCCCCAGTGGGAATCTGAAGCCCCTGATGGAGACATCCTTGCCCTGTGTGAGCGCAGGGCCTCCCCCCTCCCCCTGCTCCCCTCCCGCCAAGTTTGTCTCTTTGTCCTTCTTCCCTTTCCCTCCCCACCACCTTCATCTGGGCCTCTGCCTCTGCCTCCCTCTGACACGCCTGCTCCTCTTTCTGTCTCTCAGGGAGCCTCTGTCTCCCCCCGTCACCCTCCCTTTCTGCTTCTTCTCTCCCTGCGGTGTCTCTGTTTCTGGGCATCTCCGTGGCCTGTCTCTGTGTCCCTCACCCCGCCCTCCCCCTTCCCAAGCCCTCTCCGGACATCCCTCCACTCCCCCGGCCCTTCCCAGGGGCTCAGTCCTCAGGAAGCCTCCCCCTCTCTGGGCTCTTCACAGCCATGTAAGGGAGGGCACATTTCTTGTCGCCCCGACCTAATATCTTAATGCAAGGCCATTATTCACCCGGAGTCCAGGCAGAGCAGGACTCTCCCCTCCTCGTTTGTCATCCAGAGTGAAGCCTCTGCACTGCTCCTCCGGGATCAGATTAAGGGACTGACAGGCTGGCCAGGAGCAAATGGAGCTGCCAGCGCTGCCCCCACTCCTCACTCCCTGCTGCCGCAGCCTCCCAGTCTCCGGGTCCCTGAAGTGTGGCCTGGCAGGGACCTCAGGCCTTGGAGTAGGGGCGGCCTGGGGCCTCAGAGTGTCCTGTTTCTCACTTCAGCTCCTCCTCATGCACCTGGCAAAAGGTTAGGGGCAGGAGGAGGCTTTTCTCCTGAGACAGGAAGAGAGAAAAGCATGGGGGTTCAGAGTGACCTGGACTCCTGGGGCTGGGGAGATCTACTCTACAAACAGAACAGCCAGCCGGGCATGGTGGCTCATGCCTCTAATCTCAGCACTTTGGGTGGCCAAGGCTGGCGGATCACTTGTGGCTGAGTTTGAGACCAGCCTGGCCAACATGGTGAAACCCCGTCTCTACTGAAAATACAAAAATTAGCTGGGTATGATGGCACGCTCCTGTAATTTCAGCTACTCAGGTGGCTGAGGCATGAGAATCACTTGAACCTGGAAGGTGGAGGTTGCAGTAAGCCGAGATTGTGCCACTGCACTCCAGCCTGGGCGACGGAGCAAGACTCTGTCTCAAAAAACAAAACAAAACAAAACAAAAACAGAACAGCAAACACTGTAGATAGTCCTTAAAGCCTGGGAGGACCTTTACCTGTACGCACATGTTGAATCCCTACAGCAACCCTATAAAGCAGGTCCTATTAATATCCCCATTTTACAGAGGCTCAGAGAGGCTAAGTGACTTGTCCAAGGTCACACAGTCAGTGAAGTCTATGTGTCAGACATAGTGCTTTGTATCTTTGTCAATTTTCTCAGCACACTATGAGAGAGGGGCTGGTATCATCCTCATTTTACAGTTGAGAGAACTGAGGTGTTCTCCTGGGTCCAGAACTCTCTGGCATGGGTCTGTGCCCCATCATGGTTCTGCCTTCCCTTTTCCTTACTTCACAAGGAAAGGCTCTGCTCTGCACTACTGTCTGCAGGGCAGGTGTGACTGCAGCAAATGTCCGGAAAGCAGGATCGTGAGGTTCTCTGGCCTGTCTCGCCCCTCAGACCCATCTTTGGGACCACATCCTCCACCAGGGCTCTTGGCTTGCCAGGGCAGTGTCCAGCGTAACTCACCATCACTGCACCTCCCTCAGGTCCCATCAGGACATGTGCCATCTGGAACCCAGAGCTGAATGCCAAGGGCTGCCTTCATGGAAGGGACAGGGGAGGGATGTGGAACCTACCTGGAGCCTTCTCATTGCTGCCTGGACACCAACTCTCCACTTTCCACATCAGCCCAGTTCCCATAGTAACCGCCAGCTTGCTGTCTCCTAGCAACTAAGTGGTTCTCAGAGGTGAGGCAGAGTATTAGAGAGTAGTTGACATTTGAGGCCAGAGCACTGGGTTCAAATCCCAGCTATGCCATGTCATAGCTGTGAGGTCTTTGGCAAGTCACTTAACCTCTCTGAACCTCTGCCTCTTTGAACCTTCTCCTGTCTGTGAAATGGGGATGATACTGTTCATGGATTAAGCATTCAAAATTAAGTTGCCAATGGGTGAAAGCGGGAAGGGCCAAGCAAAGGTGTGGAAGTAATGTGAAAAGCCCAGTGGGTCAGTGTCACAACCTGGTAGAAGCAGAGGGAGGCGAAGCCTGAGTTTGGGGTGGGATCCCTGGTGTGGGTGAGCCTCCCTATCTCAAGGGACTCCATCTCGAGGGACCCCAGCCTGGCCCACTTGGCAGCCCCACCAGACTCTTCCGCCCTTTGCATCACCACAATCCTCACTGTGGTACTTTCATCACTGAAGTGCCCAGGGATCTTTCTAGAGAAGCCACACTCCCGCGGCAGCTCTGCCTCCCCAGTGCAAAACCGTAACGCACTGGCTACCAGAATCTGCTAATTCTAAGCCCTTTACGCATATCATTGAACTTCCCAGAGAAGTGGGGTCTCCTCATTACTTCCCAGCGTCAGATGAAAGGGGCTGAGAGGCTAAATTACCTGCCCACAGTCTCGCAGGAACAAGAGGCAGGGCTGGGGCTCTAGAAGCCCGACTTTCTAGCATCTTTCCAGTGCTCTCATGGGTTAGGAAGGAAAGAGTGGGGGGAAGGGGTAACCAGAATGGAGGTGGGGGAAATGGAGGCAGAGAGACCCAGGGACAACGCCCGCGGTCTCAGCGGGAAGGTGTTGGGGCCCGAGGGCCCGAGCCAGAGCTCCAGGCTGGAGGAAACCTCCCTGCCTCCTAAACCGCTAGGACAAACTGGCCGCAGCTGCTCCTCGCCCTGAGCAGCGGGAACGCTCTGGGAGGGTCGGGGAAGAGCGCGGGGAAGTGTTGACTGGAACAGTCGCCCCCTCCCTCCCCGGGCTCGGGAATTAGCCGCCTTTATCGGCACCCGCGGGGGGAAGCGAGGGTAAAGAGGGGGACCCACCCCGAGGGGCAGGTGCAGAAAGAAAGGCGCGGGGAGCGTCCTGCCGCGCCGCGTCCCGCAGGGGCCCGGTCCCCAGCCTGCCCCCGAGGTCCACCAGGCGGGCGCCAGGCCCCAGGCCTCGGTCCTCACGGTGCTGGGGGAGGGAGGCTGAGCGGGACATTGACCTATATTTGGAGAGCGCTCAGTCCCCCTCGCGAGTCCAGGTGAGTCCCCTCCTCCCGTCCCCGCACTCAGCCCTCCAGCCTGAACCTCCCCCACGCCGCCCGCCCAGACCCCTCCCTGGGGCCAGGGCTAAGGTCGCTGCCGCAGCTCGGGCCGCCTGATTCAATGAACTAATTCCCGGCAAGACAGATGTGCCATTCCCCGTCGCCTGCCATTAGCGGAGACTGAGTGCCCGCGGGCGGGGGCGGGAGCGCGGCGGGGGCGGTGAGGTGACGTCACGGCCCAGCCGCTGACGTCAAGGGCGCCGGGCCAGGAGTCCCGCAGCGGCCAGGCCCGCCCCGGCCTTCCGCAGAGTGCGTGTTTGTGCGCACACCTGTGTCTCTGGGCCTCGGGGTCTGCACTGGGTCCTTAGTTTGACCCAACTGGGCTGACTCCTACGGATAAACCTCCCTCCCGCCCCCGCCTCTGCCTTCCCTTTCTTTGTCGTCTGATCTTGCCTCCCCGCCCCCCTCTCCTCCCCCAACACCACCCCGCTCCACTCCCCCCAACCTCCCGTCTCTTCCGTCTCTTACTTCGGTGGTATTTTCTGTGGGCGCATGCACGGTGAGGACGCACGCACACACGCGTGAACATTGACACCCAAGCATGCACACACGTGTGCACACGGGGGCCTGTGCGCACGCAGGTGTGTGTCAGCAGGAGCATACTTCAGATATGCACGCCGTGGTGCCCAGGGACACATACATGCACGCAAGGGCACAGGAGTCTCCAAGCAACACCTGCACACACGCGTGCGCACACACAGTCCTGGGTCTGGCTGGGGGTGCTGCAGGCCCCAGGGGGACCCTCTCAGCCTTAGAGAAGCCGAGCCCATAGCCTCAGCCCCTCCCCAGCCAGGTTTCTGGGCCCCTGAGGAGCATTACAGCTGGGGTTGGGGAAGGGGCAGGATAGGGGGAAGGGAAGCCTTGTCAAGGACACCAGCAAGGGAAAGGAAAAAAAAAAATAAAGTGGAAGAAATAAAATCAAAAGGCTTTTAAGGCTGCTCTCCCCAAGTAGTTGATGTCTTGGCTGCGATTGCCGGCAATGAAATATTGTGCTCTCTGATCGCTTAATGCACGGAGCTCCGCAGCCCCCTCCCCTTGCCCGTGGCAGCCCTCCCCTCCCCCTCCTCCCACCCCTCCCCCATTCCCTGGCAGATCTGCCTCCTTGCTCCCAGAAGGGCCCTGAATGTTTAATGGAGGACACAGCTGATACCCACGTCCACCCTGGCACTGACCCCAGGAGGGGCCCTGAAAGCCACAGCTGGCCAGGACACCTCAGTCCACAGCCTGGGCAGGAGAGGAGAGCCCAGCCAGGAGCTGGGAACCCTGCCCATGCCCAGCAATTGTGGTGCCCAGGGCTCTCTCCCTGCAGAGAAAGAGCTGGCTCTGGGGGTCTTTGAGGTGTGACAGCATCCTCAGCCCGAGAAGGAAATGAGGCCCATGTGTCACTGATAGGGATCCCCTGCCCTTGGAGCTCTGAGAGGCTGGTGACACAGCCGAGGCTCCTGGAGACTGTGTGTGTTGGGGTGGAGGAATGGATAGGTGGGGTGGGGGTGGGCGGTAGGGGCTGAGTGGATAGGTGGAGGGTGTCCTGTCCTAATTTTCAGCCTTTAGTTAAAAACAGCTCAGTTATGGTTAAGAGGCCTGGCTTCAAGCCTCAGCTTCCATTCCAGCTCCCTTACTTCCTGGCTCTGTGACCTTGGGCAAGCTCCGAGCCTCCTGTGTCTAAGTTTCCACACCAGGAAGGATAGAGCAAATAATAGAACCAACTTCATAGGGTTATTGGAGGATTAAAAGAGAAAATATATGCAAAGTGCTTAGCACAGGGCCCCGTGCACAGGAGGGGCCCATAAGTAGGGCTAATTATCTTTGTGATCTCTGCAGTGGCTCCACCCCGCCTTGTCTGGACTAGGAGGGGCTGGGCTGGCAGCAGGCCGAAGGTGGTGGAGCCCACAGCCCCTCTCCTTCCCATCTTCCTCCTCCTCTCCCACCCTGGCTTCCACACCCGCCCCGCCCCCAGGCAACGGTTCTCTGTGCGCCTTTCTGTCAAGGTCGCCAAATTGGCCAAATCTCCGTAATGCTAAAAAATTGGTCCATTAGCTGGCAGGGAACATTGACAGGAGGGGAGAGCGGAGAGCATCACCACCACAGATGTGCCAGGGGCAGGGGGAAGGGGCTCCAGAGCCAGCCCTGTGTGTGTTTCTGCACATATATGTGTATGCATGTGTGTGGGTGCGTGTGTGGCTAAGGCCCTGCTGTGTGCCAGACATGCTACCACTCGAGACTTTCACAGCATCACCTCATAAACCCCATGACAGCCCTGAGAGGTTGGTCCTGTTATTATTCCCATGTTACAGATGAGGAAATGGAGGCTTAGAGACCAGAAGGGCTCAAGCAGGGTCACTCAGCAGGTAGCAGGGAGAAAACTCACCCTCTGCTCTGGGACTCCACTGGCCTCTGTGGGGCCCCTTCCCAGATGTCCCAGTGGCCCCAAACACCCCATGATCCTTGATCCTGCAGTCTCTGCCCTCATCCCTGCCTCCTGGCCCTGCCCTGGGGGTCTTCTCACTGCCCTGGAGCAGCTGGCTGGGGAACTTCATCTCGTTGGGGTCAGCCGTGCCCAGTTTCTCCTTGTGGGGAGAAATGATGGGTGTGGGAAGTGATCAGGGCCTGGAGGAGAATGGGGAGGGAAGCTCAGGGCTTCTGGCTGTCCTCCCTCCTTCCTGGAGGGAGGGGTGGGCTTGGACAAGGACTGCCCACACTGGGCCACTCCCTAGCTGCCCATGATGGGGACAAGGCTCTTCTCTGCCCTCTTTGGAAGTCATCTCACTTAAATCTAGCCTGGGTAGATATTACTGTCCCTATTTTGGGGCAAAGGAATTGAGGCCTAAAGAGGCTAAGTAACCTGTCCACAGCTAGTGGAGGGTGGCGCTGGGATTGAATCCAGATCACTCTGACTTCAGAGCCTGGGCTTTCAACCCTTTTGCTTCAATGATGGGGAGCACCTCCATGGGTGTCATGTCCTATCAGAACAGTTTGAATCCTGAGAATGTGTTTATTCATTCTTTCCTTCCATACATATGAAGTACCTCCTAGTGCCAGCGCTATGCACTGGGGATGCAGAGATGGACGAGCTCCTTCCCTACCCCCAGGCCCACGCTGCTGCACACAGCTGAGACAGCCCCTACCCCACTCCTGCAGCCCCAGGAAGCCCCGGCTTCTCCTCTCAGGGCTGCTCGGCAGTCCTCGCCTCTTCCCCTCTCCCTCTGTCCCTTGCTTCCCGGATCTGCTTAACTCTGAGTCAGTCCACCCAGCTGCCTGCACACATGGGTCCTCATCCCTGCCTGTAAGAGGTGAGCACCTGCCAGTGGGCCTCAGGGCCCCCAATTCTTACTCTGCAGTCCCCCGGGCCCCCATTTCCCACCCCAGCACCCCCATCAGATGGGTAGTAGGGACCCCCAATTCTTACTCTGCAGTCCCCCGGGCCCCCATTTCCCACCTCAGCACCCCCATCAGATGGCTCGTGTCTGGGGATATGGCTGCCCACTCCAACCACCCTAGGGGAACAATACTTCAAGGCCAATGCCCTGGGCTGTGGCTGGGGACAAGGAAGGCTGAAGAGAGGGAGGCTGGCAGGCTGAGGAAAGAGCCTTCTCTTGGCCATAACCTGTCCTGAGACACCACCAAGGGTCCGGCTGGGCTGCCGCGTGGCCCTGGCCTCACTGTCTATTGTGGACTGCATATTAGTGTCCCCCAAATTCCTGTGTTGAAGCCCTAATTCCTAGTGGGATGGCCTCTGGAGTTGGGGCCTCTGGGAGGTGATTAGGCCATGAGGGTGGATCCCTCATGATGGGATGTGTGCCCTTCTAAGAAGAGATGGGAGAGAACATGCTTCCTCCCTCTGCTCTCTGCCGTGGGAGGAGACAACCAGGGGACAACATCTGCAAACCAGGAGGCCCCCAGCGGAAGCCAGCCGTGCTGGCACCCTGGTCTCAGACACCCAGCCGCCAGGACTGTGAGGATACACGCGCCCTGTTGAAGCCACCCAGCCCGTCGTGTTTGCTGTAGCAGCCCAAACGAACACACTGTCCATCCTCAGCCTGGCCGCCACCCACGAGAGGTGAATGAGCGCCCCCAGAGCCAGCCGTGGCCCAGAAGTGAGGGGATGTTGAGGGAGGTGGGGCAAGCTGGCCTCCATCTGACTGGAGACAAAACTAGGATTCAGCTTCTCAAGTCAACACAGTCCCTTTTAACATCCCCTCTATGCAACTCTGCAGGGTAGAAAGCTCAGCCAGGGAGGCTTGGGCACAACTGCCATGCACCAGTGGGGGTGGAGCACAGGCTGGCTGCAGGGAGGGCCTGCCTCTGATGCTGCTGCTCCTGAGTAGTCCAAGTGGCAAGTTGCTCTCCCCCACTTTCCTTCCCCCTTGCCCCCCTCCCCCAGCTTGATTCCTTAGAACCCCTTGATGGACTGTGGTAAAGTATAGCGGTTATGACTTTGGGCTCTGATGTCAAGCAGTTTAGGTTCAAGTCCTACCTCTGACACTTCCTGGTCATGACTTTGGAAAAGCCCCTTCATTGTAAGCTATGGTCTCCTCACCCTGCAAAGTGGGAGGATAATAATGGTACCTGCCCCTTGGTAGGTGTTGCAAGGATTCAGTGAGATGCAACAGTGCTGGTACAAGGTGAGTCCTGATGGCGATGATGGTGGTGACGGTTTTGTTGAAAGGGATGATGATGATGATGATGATGATGGAGGTGGTGATGATGTTGGGGAATTAGGCGAAAAGGATGATCTAGATAAGGTGATGGTGCTGATGGTGGTAGAAAAGGGGAGGATGACAAGGATGGGGTGCTGCAATTCAGGTCTAGTGAAGAAAGATAGCAAGGCACATAGGAAGCTTGGTGATGCAGGGGTATGAAGCCAAAGGGTGCTTCTCTGTGGATCCTGTGCCTACCCCACCTACTGTTAACCCCCTTGCCTCCAGCCAGCCCAGGAGAAGGCAGAGGTTTCTCTTCTTTCCTGCCTGACCCTGGCTGGGCATTGGTCGGGGCTCTGGTCTCGCCATGGCCCCCTGGCCTTCCCAGGTCTTTGGGAAGCATCCACAAGTCCTGGTGGCCGATGTGAGTCCCGGTTCTCCAGACCCAAAGGACCTGTCAGCAGGTGATCATGGGGTCCAGAGTGGCAGGCATGGACTGGTGCATGGGTCTTGAGCAGGAGTCCCAAGGCTGTGGCCCATCCCATGGGCTCTGAGGAGGGTCAGGGTAGGGCTGTGGACCTCAAGTGGGGTCCACAGGAGGAGACAGTTATGTGGGCTGGATGGGCAGGCGGCTGCGGTGCTTCCGAGTTTGGAGTCAGACCTGTTCACATCCAGTTCCACCACTGAAGAGCCATAGGTTAAGAAACCCTGGCTGTTTCGTAATCTCCCCAAGTCTCAGCTTTATCTCTGTCCCGACACATAGGGTCATGATTGTATTTTTCACAGGTTGGGCAGTCAGCAGAACACCTGCACCTGGGAGGCACCCCAGAGACATTGCTGACTGACTTCATTATCATGACCTTCATTGGCTTTGATGGGCTGCATAGACCCCTGGCCTGGGCTGCACCCGGGATGGTCATAGGCCAGGCCCGGGCAGGGCTGGGGGCTCCTGGCAGGCAGGCTGGGCTCAGATGCTTCACCTCCCTGACCCCTCCATGCGCCGGCTCTCCACTGCCCCCACCCCCCAGCCTCCCCCTGCGCCCTCTCCACAGGCTAGCGAAGGCTCTGACGTGTGAAATAAAAAGAGATTTTTAATTACCTCTCAGCAAAACAGCAATTAGAGAGAATCACAGCACAACAGCGGTCCCCTCCTCCACTCCCCCAGCCAGGTCCGCCTTCTCGCCTATTTCTCCTCGCAACCCCAGCGTGAGGCTGGATGTGACAGGAAGTCCTCCCATTCAGCTCAGGCCCCCGTCCCTGTACCCCAGGCGTGGGGTGGGCGAGTCAAAGGTCAGGAGGTGGTCTGTGCTGGGGATGGGGGTGGGAGGGTGCCAGGGGCTGTAGGGAAAGCCCCCAAATGATGAGGGCTGCTTGGGCAAGTGGGGCCTCCTTCTGCGCAGACCTCGAGGGTGGCCAGGACCCCATCTCTCTGGGGTCTGCGTGCAGACCACAGGGCTCTGCATCCACACCACGTGTGCCCTGGCAGTGCCCGTCCCTGTGTGCATGACTGGCACGTGTGAACACCCGTGTGTGCACGTGAGCCTGGCAGCAACCTGGGGCGGTGCAACCCTCAGGATGAGCAGGTTGTGCTGGACAGGCAGCGCATTCTCCTGCAACAGGCTTTTAAAATAATTGCCTGTGACCCTGAGCAGTAGCTCTCTGTCCGCTGGCTGCCCCTGCCCCAGGCGCCTGCTGCCAGGGGTCACTGCTCTGTCCATCTGCAGAGACTTGGGCACCTGTGCTGTACTTGGGGATGGGGCAGGGAGGGCGGGTGAGGTGGCCCCGTGGGTGGCCTGAGGCTGGGGGCGGTGGGTGGTGGGTGGCTGATTGAAGGGATAATTGCAGGCAGCAGGCCTTAGCTAATGCATGCTATGATAAAGCCCCATTACTGAGGGAGGCCGCTGAAGCATGGGGGTGGAGGCTGGGGGGGAGGCCGCCTATGGGGCGCTGACAGCCTTTCTCATGGGAGGGGGAGTGGGCAGCCACTGACACCTCTGCAGTCCCCTACCTTCCAGAGCTGCAGCCAGATGAGTGGGGAGAGCCAGGCCCCAGGGGTAGGAGGGACCCGCCCCACAGACACGCACGACCACCCCCGGGCAAAGGTCTGCAAGCCTCCACTCAGTTGTCTAGGGGCCCAGCCCCCATGGAGGAGCAGCAGTTTCCTGGCCATTAATCTTGGGGTTCCTGTACTGTGGAGCCTCCCAGCCTCAATGTTAGGGAGTATCATCACTGGGTTGTAGAGGTCAGACTGGGCCAGGTGAGGTGGCTCACGCCTGCAATCCCAGCACTTTGGGAGGCCGAGGAGGGTGGATCACCTGAGGTCAAGAGTTTGAGACCATCCTGGCCAACATGGTGAAACCCCATCTCTACTGAAAGTACAAAAATTAGCCGGGCGTGGTGGCGGGTGCCTGTAATCCCAGCTACTCGGGAGGCCAAGGCAGAAGAATCGCATGAACCCGGGAGGCAGAGGTTGCAGTGAGCCTAGATCCCACCACTGCAGCCAGCCTGGGCGACAAGAGTGAGACTCTGTCTCAAAAAAAAAAAAAAAAAAAAGAAGTCAGACTGGCAGTGAATGGACAGCTGACAGCAGGGACCCCAGCTCATTGGGTGTCACAGATGCCAGCTACCTGTGGTGGGGGCACAGATTAGACTGCTGAGTCCCTGCAACATGGCCCCAAGTCTCACCCACTTGTCTATGGGGAACAGACCTCAGCATCCATTTCCCAGAGGCCCAGAGCAGGTACATGACTTTCCTAAGAACACACAGCCGGGTCTGGATCAGACCCCACATACCCCTAATCTCTCAGTGTGGTCATTTACCGGCTGTGTGACTGTGAAAGTCACTTAATCTCTCAGGGCCTCAGCTGCTTCCCCTGTAAAATGGGATAATAGTAGCACCTGCTCCTAGGATTGTCCTGAGGAGTGAATGAGATAATTCAGCACTAATGCCCAGGGCCTGGCCTGGAAGTCAGCTGCTTCTATCCTCAGCGCTGTCTTTGTTCTCTGACCCACATCATTGTGGTAGGCAGACTCCTAAGATGCCCCCAAGATTCCCGGCCCCCGGTGTACACATGCGCATCCCACCGCTATTCAACTGAACACAAATCTGGGGACTGGTGTGCAGGGATTTTGCAGATGTGATTAAGGTTCCAAAAGACTTGACCTTCAGGTAAGGAGATTATTGGGGTGGGCCCGACCTAAGCACATGAGCCCTTCAAAATCAGAGAGTTTTGCCAAGTGCAGTGGCTCATGCCTGTAATCCTAGCAGTTTGGGAGGCCAAGGTGGGAGGATTGCTTGAGCCCAGGAGTTTTGAGACCAGCCTGAACAATACAGTGAGACCCCGTCTCTTAAAAAATAAATAAATAAAAGCAGAGAGTTTCCCGGGCTGGTCAGTGTGAGGAAAACAGAAACTTGAAGCAAGTGGAAGACTCCACTGGAGGGAATTCTCCATTGCTGGCTGTGGAAATGGAGGGGGCCTCTGGGAGCTGACAGCAGAACCCCAAAGTGGACACCTTGATTCTAGCACTTCAAGGAACTGAATTCTGCCACAAACCCTGAGCTTAGAGGAGGCCCCTGAACCCCAGATGAGCGCCGTATCCCCAGCCGACATCTCGATTTGGCGCAGTGGGGCCATGGGCAGAGAATCGCATGCCGTGCCTGGACCACTGACTACAGAAACTGTGAGGTCATAAAAGGGTGCTGTTGTAAGTAGCTATGTTTGTGCTACTTTGTTTTGCAGCAATACAAAACTAATAACCCTCTTTGGTAGTTCTGTCACAGGCTCTGGGACCTCTTGCCAAGAGGGGAGCTTGGTGCCAGGCTGAGGGGCAGCCCCAGGCATAGCTGGCACTCTCCGGTGACATGTGGATATGCACCTTGCAGCTGGCTACTCCTGGCAGGCCTGAGCACCTCCCCAAGAGGCTGTCACAGGTGGAAGGGAAGGCAGAAACTTGCCACCCAGGCTTCCTGCTCCGGGCCGTGCTGGAGTTGGGGGAACCTTGTACCCAGTTGCCCGTCCTCCAATCTGACCTATCAACACAACAGAGGAGGAGGCCTGTGGGAGGCCTCGCCATGTGCTGTCCAGCCCACAGCCCCAGGGTGGGTGGCAGTGGGTAGAGGTGGGGCAGAGGTGGGCACTGATATTCACAGTGATGCAGGGTGAATCACGGGAGCGCCAAATCTGCTTCTCTAGTCCTTTACCCACTTTAAGGAGCTTCTGACAATGCCTGACCCCTCAAACACACAGTCTGGAAGAAGGCCCCACAAGGGGCCATGGCCCTGTTCCCAGCCCCCCGCCTGCCAATATCCCCCTCCCCAGACCCTCTGTCTCCTCCCCTGCACAGCCCTGCTCTCTCTTCAAAAGGGACAATTAGTGGCCTCAGCTTTAATTAGCTAACGATCCCCTTCAGCTCCAATCACTTGAAATGATGATGGAGTGCTGGGGGAGGGGACTGCAGGCCCAGGACCCTGGCAGCCAAGGAAGTGGCCCTCCAGGCCATTCAGGCTTCTCTGCCTGTCCCAGGCTCGCCCTTCCTTGCAGTCCCAGGCAATGTGCCATGGAGACCCTGACAGGAAGGGGTGTCCCCAGCCCCCACAGCCTCATTTGCATCCCTCTTGCAGCAGGAGCTGAGCTCCTGTCGTGGCCTGTCCATCAGATGGGGAGCCCAAGGGACCTGCTTGTCAGGGCTAGAGACCACTGGCCGGAGACTCTCCACTGCCCCCTCCTTCCTGTCCCCCATAGCCACCATCCGACTTTGACTGCAAATCTGGCCCCCACTCCTGACTCCCTGCCTTGTGGCCAAGGCCTTGCCACTTAAAGGTTGGGTAGGAAGGACAAGGCAATAGGAAAATCTAGGGTTCCAGCAGAGCTGAGGAAGAGAGGCTGTCGTGAAAATAGCGAGTCACAAGATAACGTCAGGTAGGGACAAATGCGGTATGGGATGTACCCAGTGCCACAGACAGAAAATGGCTTGGCCTCTTCAGATAGGGAAATCCAGGAGGGGCCTGTGGAGGTGGCGACATCGGAACGGAGGCCAAGGTCCCGGCTGCACGCCCTGAGATGCCTCCTGAGGTCGCTGAGCAAAGCCACCTTTGGCACCTCCAACGCAGTTTCTGGGCCTGAGGTCCCAGGCTGGGACCCTGGCTCCGAGCTGCCGTCACTTGGGTTCCTGAGTGCCCTGCTGCCCTCTGCAGAGCTGTTCTTCCATCTCCCAGCTCGCAGTGTGCATGGCCCTGTGACTCTGAATGCAGCAGACACAGGGTCAAGCCTCCGTTTCAGTACTGAGTCTCTGCGTGAACCTGGGCATCTTCCTTTCCTTCTATGCACCCCAGTTTCTTCCTCTGTAAACTGGGGACAACGACAGGGCTCCCTCGTGGGCTTACTCAGCGTGAGGTTCAGTGTGGAGGGGATAGAGGTCTTGGCGCAGAGCATGGCGCTTGGGAGCCGCTCCGCATGTGACAGTGGCTGTTCCACCCACAGTTGGCGACAGGCCTGTCCAGGTTGGAGCTGGGGCCTTGTTCCATTCAGCCTGGCCCAGGCTCTGGGCACCCCTGCTCTGGGGTCACGTGCCAGGCTCCGGGCTGGGCACTGGGGGGCATGCATCCCTCCGTGCCAGGGGCCCTTGGGCAGCTTCCTCAGGTGGGGGCCTGTCAGGGGGATCCTGGAAGCTTGAGATGGACCTAAAGGAGGGACACAGGTCTGGGGACACAGAAGTTGGGCAGAGGGGACAGCTCGAACAAAGGCTGTGCTATGAGTATGCCATGCTGGTAGAGGAGGGACACTCAGGGGAGCATGAGGGGACCACACCCAGGAGGCCTCAGAAGCCACAGTGGCCATGGCTACACCGAGGCTGTGGCTGGGAACAGGCAGAACTGCAGCAGCACCCAGGTAGGCAAGGAGGGAGAGACCCCCTTCTCCACTAAGAAAGGGAGGAGGAGGGGCCAGAGCTGGAGACAGGAAAGGGATAAGAATGAGAGGAGGAGGTGAGAAGTCTTTCCAAGGCTGGGTTTGGAGTGCAGTGAGTTTCCAGCGCCAGCGGGTGTGGGTGGGACCTGGGACCAGAGCCAAACACCTGGGCACAGCATCCAGGGGATGGAGGAAGGGCAGGAGGCAGGGAAGGTGGGACAGGGCGGGCAGAGAGGGAGAGTGCGAGGCAAAACTCTGGGCCAAGGCCTTAGGATTTGGAGACCAGATGGGGTGAGTGAGACAACCTAAGTATCCCTCAGTCACAGAGGGTGACCCCGAGGACCTCTGGCTTGGAAACACTAGCACAGGCCACATGGGGAGGAGAGGCACTCAACCATCCATCCTATTGTGTCCTATTTATTAAAAATAAATCAGTAAGGGCTGGGCACAGTGGCCCACACTTGTAATCCCAGCACTTTGAGAGGCCGAGGTAGGCGGATCACCCAGAGTTCAAGACAAGCCTGGGCAACATAGCGAGACTCCAGTCTCTACACAATAAAAAAAAATTGGCCAGGCATGGTAGGAACACCTGTAGTCCCAGCTACTTTGGAGGCCAAGGTGGGAGGATCACTTGAGCGTAGGAGATCCAGGCTGCAGGGAGGTGTGATTGCACCACTGCACTCTCTCTGGGAAACACAACGAGACGTCATCTCTAAAACAACAACAAAAAAGACGATAAAATAAAGTGATACCCAGGTGGGCCTAGATGCTCCCCCTGCAGTGGTCGCAGAGCCTACCTGGCCTTACCTTGGGAGGGCTGAGGCTGCGTGAACGAGGACTTTCATGTTTCTCCTCTACAAACTTGTGTGGCTTCAATATTTTAAAACAAGAGAATATTTACATGTTTCTTGTACAAAAACAACATTGCTCCAGAGGTTGGGAGGTGACCCCAAGAGGAGTCTATGCATGGCGAGGACAAAGCCTACCACGGGGTTCAGAGTGGAGAGGAGGGGTGCAGGAGGGTGGAAAAGTGGCCCCCACTTTGTCATCTGGTGGGTTCCAGAGCAAAGGAAAGGTGTTCAGGATCTGAGAGCCTGGGCAGGTTTGCCTGGGTGCTGTGCCTGGTGTATGGCTTGGCGCTGAGAGATGCTTCAGGCAGGGCATCTCCATGAACTGATCACGGACGTCACCTGAGTTTATCATATGCGTCCCCTGTCCTGGGCTCCAGAAGGGGCCGCGGGCTACCTGGAGGGGAAGAACAGGGGCTGCCATAGGAGAGACTTTGCATCCGGTGGAGTAGGGGCCTGTGGAGGCAGCACCTGACCAGATGGGAGAGGCCACTTCCAGGTGGCCCTGAAGGATGGTTGGCAATTGGCCACCGTAAGAGGGGACGGGGGAAGGGTGTTCCAGGCAGCTGAAACAGCAAGTGCTAAGGCCTGAGGGATGACAGAGCCAGCCATGTTCTGGGAAATGGAAATAGATCAGAGTAACCAGAGGAAAGAGGGAGGTATGGGGGTGGGGAGGCAGAGAGGGACAAAGACAGAGAAGAGCCAGGAGGAGGCCCTGCCTTGTGGGCCACACTAAGATGCCTGAGCTCCCCCGTGAGGGGTGAGGAGGGGTTCTGCCGTGGAGGCCGGAGTGGAGGCCAGGTGTCCAGCAGCGGAGGCCAGTGCCAGCAGTCGAGGCCGGAGTGGGCCTAGTGTGGGGTCAGGACCTAGCAAAGGAGCTCAGCCAGAGGTCTGGACAGGGTGGAGGAAGCCAGGCCAGGAGGGCCGGGGGGTGTGGGGAGGTGATAGGCCAGGCCAGGGAGCCCAAGGGCTGCCCTTGAGGCACAGGAATCTGAAAGCCAGTGGAGGACAGATCCAGCTGTCCCCCCGACCGCCCTGCCAGAGGTAGGCCCCACTGGAGGCTCAGGCAGGACCAACGGGCACCCGTCACCCCACCTGGTCACAGCAATGGGGAGGAGTGGAGGCCTGGGGCAGAGTGGTGGGGTACTGGGCCTTTGGGGTCTCTCAGTTCGGCTGTGGGCCCCGAGCTTTCCAAGATGAACCTGAGTCAGCACCGTGGCGGCTGTGGCGGCCACGGCGGCTCCGGCCTTCCTCCACCCCCTCCCTGCCACCCCGGCCACTTGGGAGAGTCATTTCATTTCTCAAATTAAAAATCCATTTTGTGCTGTGAATAATAGATGGGATGAGCCCCGAGAGGCCGGGTGGAGGACAGGAAGCTGGCTGGAGGCGTGTTTTTAGGGCTCAGAAGATACCACAGATCTGCAGGGGAGGAGTAGGGCCTGGTTGGACAGGGTGGAGGCTGGCGGGGCTCGTCCTGGAGCTGACACCCTGCTGCAGCACACCGAGGCAGGGCAAGGGGTTCATCCCCACCCACGTGCAGGCCGCAGGAGAGAGGCGGGTCCGACCACAAATGGGCTCCAGTCAGGACCAGGCCCGGCGTTAGGTGGGCAGCCCCACCTCAGAGCAGGGCACTTAGCAGCCCACATGGTGAACGTGCAACAGATGCAAGCTACTGGTGACAGCACACTGTCCTCAGGGAGGGCTCTATGTCCAGAACCCAAACCAAGTGATGCCCTGTTCGGCAGAGTTGCTGGGATCTACCCTTGGTCAAGGAGGAGACAGAGAGTCAGGTTCTGAACCCCTCATCTCTGCCCCCTTGCATCCCCTCGGGCCTTTTCTCTCCAAGGCAGCTCTGGCAGCACCCAACTGCTCCCTGAAGCTGGGCACCCAGCTGCCTCACTCAGGGCTTGGCTGGGTTTAGCTGGGCACCACTGTGGCCTGTCATTCTCTTTCTCATGAGTCATGGGGTCATCTTGGTAATTAGGGGTAGGAAGAGATCCCCCAAAAGAGTGAGCAAGCTACAGGCCAGACCACTGGTGCCTACTCCCCTACAGTGCCAGCTTCCCTTACAGAGAAGGTGCCGGAGAGTCAAGGAGGTGGGCCTCTGACTTCTCTTTATTGGCAGTCTGTGTGGGGTGGCCAGGACTGAGGGGTCAGAGGGCCCAATTCCAAGTCAACTCCTGTAGGCCCTGGTTGCTGCTCTCAGCCCGGGGCTGGGGGATGCGATGTGAAAAGAAAAGGTGAGGTGGAGCCAGGCAGGTCGCCCGGCAGGGAGTCGGGAGGCCCATGAGCAGACCAATAGCAGCTGAGTCTGGGAGAGGGTGGCTGGAAGGGGGGTCCCAGAGCTGACCCGGGAGGGAGGAGGAAGGGATGAGGGAGGGCAAAAGGAGGGAGGAGAGACTGAGGGCCTGGGGGCTGCCCCCCACCCCACCCCCGGGACTGGAGCAGAAGAGTCCCTAGGGAAGCGTGTTTGCCTCTGTGCCTTTCTGTCGGAAGAGGCTCTCTGAGACAATATCCATTTTTACATTTCTTGGAAATTTCATGGCATTCATTTCGGGGAAAATAAAAGCTGTCCTTGCTGGAGAAATGATACCAATCAGGGCCTGAAAAGGCTGGAAAATTATCCTCCTGGAGACGGGAACATTGAGGGAAAAATGCAGATTAAAAGCACAAAGAGCCACTTTGCCACCTCCCTGCCCTCCCCTCCCCCCTTCATGGAATCGCCACATTATAAGTAATTCCATTTTTCCTCTTTAGAATTAATAGGACCCAAGAAGGATGCATGGGGCAGAGGACAACCCTGGGGTGGCCAGAGATGGAGGCAGGGTATCCGGAGTGGGGGCTTAGAGATGGAGAGATGAAGAGGCAGGGAGAGGCAAGACAGGGGCAGAGGCCGGCACTCAGGGCCAGGGCTCAGGAGCTGGGCAGATGCACAGACCCTGAGGAGGAGAACAGGATGATGGGTAGGTTATCAGAGTCCCTACCTTGTTGTGATTTTTATTAGATGGTGCTCCATGGCTCTCACACATTGTTTAAGCCAATCCTACGGGCTGGAGCCGGCAGACCTGGGAGGGCTGGTGCTTTGTGGGGTCTCCTGCTAGAGACACCAGAGGCAGGGTAGGGCAGAGAAAGCAGAGACTCCAGAAACAGTATCAGTCTTCCAAGGAGCCCCAAGTTCTCTGTGTCCCATTAGGGCCAGGCTGTCTGGCCAAGGCAGGCAGGCAGGTAGAAGAGGGCTTTGCCTCCAGGCAGTGGGGAGGCCCCACATTTAAAAAGCCAGTTTACCTGGAAGAAGGCAGGCGGTGAGTAAATTCAGAGTCCCTGCACCCAGCCTGCCCTCCCATCAGTCCACATACCAGGGTCTTGAGGCTCAGGGCCTGTCTGAGGCCTAGGGCTGCTGGCCAGAGGGGGCAGGCTCCAGCCTTCCCTGGCTCCAGCAGGGAGACTTCGCTCATTCTTCTCTTGGCCTTTTCTTCCTACCTGGGCCAGGGACTCCCTGAGCCGTGGTGCCAGGGCCACCCAAGGCTGGGGAGGATGGGGAAGGGGGCGGCAAGCCCTCTTCTTGCAGGAGTCCCCGCTGAGCTCCCTTCACCAGGGGCTAGGTGAAGGGAGCGAGGCCAACCAGAAGCCCTAGTGGAGAGCCCATCCAGGGCAGGGGTTCCAAGGAGGACAAAAAAGCCGGTTAGTGAAGGTGCGCTCTGCGCCAGGGACTGTGCCGGCAGACACAGGCACTACTGACACCGCCCCCAGCCCTTCGGAGGAGTCCTCGGCTCCTCATCTCCAGCTCCAGCCCCTTTCCAGCCGGCTGGTGGGCGGCTGGGAGTGGGGACACTGGATCGGAGGGGACCCTTCACGGGAGTACTCGCTGCCCTCACTCGTCTCGGAACGCGGCTGGACCCGGAGTCCCCGACCGCAGCCCGCGCACGACCCCCGGGAGCCTGTCTCCGCGGCCGCCGACCCACGTCCGCGCTGCCGCCCCACTGCCAGGTGGCCCGAGAGATGCAGGAGGAAGGAGGGGCGCGCGGGGCGGGCGGAGGAGGGTGGAGCCGCCGGCGCGCCCCCTCCCTCGGGCCGGCAGGCGGGCGGCGCGGCGGGCTCGGCGCGGCGGCAGAGGAGGCGGCGGGCGCTGGGAGACACCGGACGCCCGCTCGGCTGCGCTGCGGCTCAGGCCCCCGCTCGGGCCCGACCCGCTCGGTCACCGCCGGCTCGGGCGCGCACCTGCCGGGTAAGTGGCGCCCGAGTCCCTGCCGCTGAGGCCACCACCGCGGCCACTTCCGTCGCCGCCGCCGCCACTGCGCGGAGCCTCCCGGCTTTGTCTGCGTCCTCTCGGCTGCGGCTCCGGCTGCGGCTGCGGCTGCGGCTCCCGGGCTCGGCTCTCGGGCTCCGCGGACTGCGCCGCACGGCGCCGGGGCTCGGGGGTCGCCAGCCAGCTCGCTCCCCGCCGGGGGTGAAACTTCGCCCAAGTTTGGGTTCTGGGGAGAACCTGTTGAAGCCAGGAGTGGCTCGGGGCGGGGACAGAGATGGTGGGAGTGGGGGGAGGGAACCCGTCTCGGGTTCTCCATCAGGGCCGTCCAGTGGGTGGGTTGTGTGTCCGCCACCCTGGGGCGTTGGCGCGCGCCCCTAGGGAAGGGGCGAGTGGGCCGTCGGGCCACCGAGCAGAAGGAGCCAGGGAGCGGGGTTGGCGTGGTCGATCCCGCGGACTTCCGCGAGGACAAAGTTTGGTTCTTTGGCCGCTTTGCGGAGCGTCTGTCTGGGTCCAGCGCGGAGAGCTGAAAGTGTCGCATAGACGCGCCCCTGACCGCACCTCCTCACTCCAGCCTCCGCTTCTTCCCCCACTCCACCCGGCCTTGGCTGGGGCAGGTCGTGGAAGAGAAAGGCGAAGGGGAAGAGGGACGACCTTTCAATGAAGGCCCACTACGTGCCAGGCCCCTTGCCTGGCGCCTCTTGCTTCCAATAAGAGCCCTCCCAACCCTGCGGCCCTCAAGTGTGTGCAGGGAGGGGACAGGGGGGAAGACTCCACTGTGCACCCGGGGGTGGTGGCCCCGCCGAACCCTCATAGTCCCTGGTTTCCGCAGTGAATGAGGCCCGCGGCTGGGGCCTCTGCACCCAGGCCTGTGTCCCTCCTCGCGGTGACCCTGAGCCCCATCCGGCTGCGGCGCCTCCTGAGCCTGCTTCCGCCCTTCCCGCAGCTGCGGCCCCAGGGCCATGCGGAGGCCCACGAGGAGGCCGGCGGCCACGCGCATCCCGTAGCCCAGGTGGCCCAGGTCTGCACCGCGGCGGCCTCGGCGCCATGGAGCCCCCGTATTCGCTGACGGCGCACTACGATGAGTTCCAAGAGGTCAAGTACGTGAGCCGCTGCGGCGCGGGGGGCGCGCGCGGGGCCTCCCTGCCCCCGGGCTTCCCGTTGGGCGCTGCGCGCAGCGCCACCGGGGCCCGGTCCGGGCTGCCGCGCTGGAACCGGCGCGAGGTGTGCCTGCTGTCGGGGCTGGTGTTCGCCGCCGGCCTCTGCGCCATTCTGGCGGCTATGCTGGCCCTCAAGTACCTGGGCCCGGTCGCGGCCGGCGGCGGCGCCTGTCCCGAGGGCTGCCCTGAGCGCAAGGCCTTCGCGCGCGCCGCTCGCTTCCTGGCCGCCAACCTGGACGCCAGCATCGACCCATGCCAGGACTTCTACTCGTTCGCCTGCGGCGGTTGGCTGCGGCGCCACGCCATCCCCGACGACAAGCTCACCTATGGCACCATCGCGGCCATCGGCGAGCAAAACGAGGAGCGCCTACGGCGCCTGCTGGCGCGGCCCGGGGGTGGGCCTGGCGGCGCGGCCCAGCGCAAGGTGCGCGCCTTCTTCCGCTCGTGCCTCGACATGCGCGAGATCGAGCGACTGGGCCCGCGACCCATGCTAGAGGTCATCGAGGACTGCGGGGGCTGGGACCTGGGCGGCGCGGAGGAGCGTCCGGGGGTCGCGGCGCGATGGGACCTCAACCGGCTGCTGTACAAGGCGCAGGGCGTGTACAGCGCCGCCGCGCTCTTCTCGCTCACGGTCAGCCTGGACGACAGGAACTCCTCGCGCTACGTCATCCGCGTGAGTGCGCCCCCTGAGCGCCCTGCCAGCGGCCGCGGATCCGGGGCGCAGTGGCCTTGCCCAGGGGTCCCTGCGCGCGGGAGGCGGGTGCGTGAGAGGAGAGGAGGGAAGAGACGAGCAGGAGAGGGGAGGGGAGGGGAGCGCACAGAGGCAGAGCGCGGGAGGAGGGCGCAAGTAATTTCCCTGGGGTAATTGCGGTGTTTAGAGGAGCCGCGGGAGCCGCAATTTCCCAGCCCTCTGGCAGGCAGTGAGGGCCAGGAGGGAGAGGCGCGCCGGCGGGCTGGGTTGACGTCTCCGCGAGGTCTGGAGCTGGCCCCAAAGCTAGGGGTCCCAACTGTCAGTGGGGGACCTACGAATGCCCCGGACAGATAAGGAAAGTGCAGACGTACAGGGGTAAGATTGGGCATCCGCAGGCTGGGACAGTCAGGGATGGGGCTTTGGCCATCTCGTCTGGGTGGAAAGAGGAGCTGGGGTCTGCGTGCTTCTGTGGCTGTACTCATGGATGTCTGGTTGCTCTCTGGGCATTGGAGTGGGAATTCCCTCTGTTTAGGGAACCTGAGGTGTGGGCCTCTGACCTGTGGCCCCTGTCTCCCTCCCCAGATTGACCAGGATGGGCTCACCCTGCCAGAGAGGACCCTGTACCTCGCTCAGGATGAGGACAGTGAGAAGGTGCTGGGGCATGGGATGGGGAGGCAGGGAAGGCCTGGGGCCCCAGGAGGGGTGGATCCAGGCTAGGCCTGTCCCTGTCCCTGGGTGAGCCCCCTCCCCTGGTGCAGATCCTGGCAGCATACAGGGTGTTCATGGAGCGAGTGCTCAGCCTCCTGGGTGCAGACGCTGTGGAACAGAAGGCCCAAGAGATCCTGCAAGTGGAGCAGCAGCTGGCCAACGTGAGCAGACCAGGACTGGAGGCTGCCCTGGGCTTGAGGGAGGGCATCATGGAGCAGGGCTGGGTCAGCTGTGATCTCTCCCCACAGATCACTGTGTCAGAGCATGACGACCTACGGCGAGATGTCAGCTCCATGTACAACAAGGTGACGCTGGGGCAGCTGCAGAAGATCACCCCCCACGTGAGTGTGGCCCAGTCCTCGTGGGCAGGCAGGGTTGAGGGCAATGCTGCTGCTGGGACTACAGGGTCATCTCTCCCCAGAGATGGGCAAACCGTTCCTTGGCCATGGACTCTCATGTCCCCTCGCTGCCTCTCTCTGCCCCCTCCCTGTCTTCTGTGGCCCCTGCCAACCCTAGCCTCACTGTCCCTGTCCTTGGTCTCACAGTTGCGGTGGAAGTGGCTGCTAGACCAGATCTTCCAGGAGGACTTCTCAGAGGAAGAGGAGGTGGTGCTGCTGGCGACAGACTACATGCAGCAGGTGTCGCAGCTCATCCGCTCCACACCCCACCGGTATGGCTGCAGATCTGGCATTTTCTGCCCAGCGGTCACTAGGTCCTTCCCCTGCACCCTGGACCTCTCTGCTGGGTGGGCTTTACATTTTCTGCTCTGCATAGCTGGGATGACCCCCTGTCCCTTCTTTGTGGGGCTGTCTGGGTCCTGGGTCCAGCCACAGGTTGGCGGGCACAGGTAGGGGTGGTGCCCTTGGTGGCCCACATGCATGTCCGTCTGGACACCCACTGGCTTCACCTGGTCCCCAGGGTCCTGCACAACTACCTGGTGTGGCGCGTGGTGGTGGTCCTGAGTGAACACCTGTCCCCGCCATTCCGTGAGGCACTGCACGAGCTGGCACAGGAGATGGAGGGCAGCGACAAGCCACAGGAGCTGGCCCGGGTCTGCTTGGGCCAGGCCAATCGCCACTTTGGCATGGCGCTTGGCGCCCTCTTTGTACATGAGCACTTCTCAGCTGCCAGCAAAGCCAAGGTGGGTTGCCCTTGTTTGAGAGAGGAGGATGGTGCTGAACTGAGGGTGGAGCCCTCCCGAGGCCATGGTCCTAATATGGGGAGCCCCACATGTCCCCTGCAGGCAGGGGGACCAGGCCCTGCTAAGTACTCAGCCGATTCTGAGGCCCCAGGCTGCTCCTCCACAGGCCTCCTCCTCCAGGAAGCTTATGTGGACTATCAACTGCAGGCAGACCTCCCTGCCAGGCCCCAGCCCACCTTCTCAGGCATGCTCGGGAGGCGTGGCCTTAGGGATGTCTGTGGTCATTGCTGGGGCAGTTTCCTCCTCTATCTTGTGAGCCCTCGGGGGTGCAGGGCCTGGATCCTCACCTCCAAAGTATCCTCTTGGTGTTCAGAAATGAGGTTTGGGCTTAGAAAGTGGTGCTTAAAGGCAGGGGTACCCCTCCTGCCAGGAGTGATAGACCAGGCTGCTGGGTTGACCCTTGCTCCCTGACCCCTGACCCTGCAGGTGCAGCAGCTAGTGGAAGACATCAAGTACATCCTGGGCCAGCGCCTGGAGGAGCTGGACTGGATGGACGCCGAGACCAGGGCTGCTGCTCGGGCCAAGGTGAGGGGGGACCCAGTGTCATTGGTTGGTCCCATATATATTGAGCACCTACTGTGTACCAGCGAAAGAGAACAAAAGGGACAAAGAGGCCTTCGTGGAGTTGACCAGGCCTGCCTCCCCCACTGTGAAGCCCACTCCCAGGCTGGCCTAGTGCTCCCTTCCTTGGTGGGTAGGGTGGGGGGCGGGGGGCTGTCTCCCGAGGCCTGGTGCCACCTTCACCTGCCCTCGGCCCGCAGCTCCAGTACATGATGGTGATGGTCGGCTACCCGGACTTCCTGCTGAAACCCGATGCTGTGGACAAGGAGTATGAGGTGGGCCCTGACCCTGCCTGCCCAGCCTGTCCACAGCCCCTCTACTAACGGCACTCAGGAGGGCAGGTGGCCTGCACGGCCAGGTTGTTGCCCAGTCTGCAGGTAGCCCTGCCCTGGCCTGCCGCTGAGTGTCGCCCGTGCCTCCTGCAGTTTGAGGTCCATGAGAAGACCTACTTCAAGAACATCTTGAACAGCATCCGCTTCAGCATCCAGCTCTCAGTTAAGAAGATTCGGCAGGAGGTGGACAAGTCCACGTGGGTGCCTGGCCCAGAGCTGGGGGTCAGGGAAGGGTTGTGGGGAAAGGGCAGGAGCTGGTAGGGCAAATCGTCTCACAGCCATGCAGATATGGGGGGCACACACGCCAGCACAGGGCATGGGGTGGGGGCCGGCAGGGTGACCCCCAGACTGTCAGGAGATGGCTGACGAGGAAGCTGTGATGTGAGGGTAGCGGGGGAGGGAGTGTGTTCCCCCCATTCACCCCAGCATCCCTCCACAGGTGGCTGCTCCCCCCACAGGCGCTCAATGCCTACTATCTACCCAACAAGAACCAGATGGGTAAGGGGATGTGTCCCTACGCCGGGCGGGGCAGGGTCCGAAAGTGGATGGGTTTCCCACTGAGCACCCCCTTCTTGTAGTGTTCCCCGCGGGCATCCTGCAGCCCACCCTGTACGACCCTGACTTCCCACAGTGAGTACATAGCTTGCCCTGTTTGTGGCTGAGGGCAGGGCTGGCATTGCAGACCTTGTCTACCAGGTGTGTGTCGGCGTACTGTGGCTCCAATCGCCCCAGACCCAGCTGGGTTCAGGAGTCAGGACAGCTGTGGACCCTGGCTCCCCACTACATCCTTGGTTATTTAGAAAAATGTGTAGGTTTGTTATTTGTAACTTCCTGGGGTCTTCTTTACTTGTTTGAGGCTCATTTTGATGTTTCAAAGGTGGCGCAACACTAATGATGAGGTAGGAGGAGAAACCCCTACGTAGGTGCCTCCGTTTCCCTCCTGTCTCCTCCAGCCCTGTTTCACTGCCCAGCCAGCTCTGTTAGATGTGATTTCCTAAAAGAAGCTGGATAGGTTCCACTGGCATTCACATAGCGCATGAGGAAGCTGAGGCACATGTGCCCCTGGACCGCACGGATGCCTCTGTGGCCTCCCTGTGCCACCTCCTGGCCCGGCCAGGGGACATCTGGGGCCTGGGCAGCAGCATGGGGCTCTCAGAGGGTGGAGGGCTAGGGCCTGATGCTGCTGCTGTGGGCCCAGGTCTCTCAACTACGGGGGCATCGGCACCATCATTGGACATGAGCTGACCCACGGCTACGACGACTGGGGTGAGGCCTGTTGGGGCCCCAGGGGATGGCCCGGAGGGGGCAGGACAGGCAGTGGAGAGGCAGGGTAGGGGATGGCCTAACTGGGGCTGGTGGGTGGGGAGGGGAGGGGGCTCAGGTGAGGGTGGGTCTCAGCCTGCTGCACTGCCCACAGGGGGCCAGTATGACCGCTCAGGGAACCTGCTGCACTGGTGGACGGAGGCCTCCTACAGCCGCTTCCTGCGAAAGGCTGAGTGCATCGTCCGTCTCTATGACAACTTCACTGTCTACAACCAGCGGGTGAGACCCCCACCTGCCCCTTGTGCCCCTCAGGCCTGGTGGGGCACGGGCCGGGAGCATCACGCACACCCTTGCGCACGTGCACATGTCCAAACAAAACCTGTGCCCAGGTCCCTGCACACACATTCGGTTCCCACGCACACTCACGTGGACAGATAATGAGTGTCCGCAGACTTACGGAGGACAAGGGGGTTGGGAGGAAAGAGTAGGGTTGGAGCCCCCCCTCAAACTCTCTGGGCAAGGGAAGGAGAGGGGTGGTAGGAATTAGGGGCTGGGGCCCAGGGTATCAATGCCTGAGGGAGGCCAGCTGGGCCCCAAGCAGCCCCCTGGCCTCTTCCCTTCCCGGCAGGTGAACGGGAAACACACGCTTGGGGAGAACATCGCAGATATGGGCGGCCTCAAGCTGGCCTACCACGTGAGCGGCCTGCCTGTGCTCCACCCCTGCTGCAGGAGGGACGGGGGCTGATGAGGACTCCAGATGAGGGACAGAGCTGCCTCTCCCTGCCCACCCTGCTGAGCTCTGGCCTGGGGTGGGGCAGGGCATGTGCTGGGGCCACGGTCCACTGGAAGAGGAAGGATTCACGGGCCCCCCTTCACAGGGAGAGCAGGGAGGGCTACCTAGATGGAGGACAGAGAAGAAGCGGTGCCCAGGGTGGGCGGGCATAGCAGGTCCATGCTCTCTGTGTCCCCAGGCCTATCAGAAGTGGGTGCGGGAGCACGGCCCAGAGCACCCACTTCCCCGGCTCAAGTACACACATGACCAGCTCTTCTTCATTGCCTTTGCCCAGGTGGGCTGGGTGGGGGATTGGACTGGGAGCCTTGGGGTGGGGACACGGCATCCAGGGTCAGTCCCAGTCCTGCCTTGCCCAGGCTTCGCATGGACAGCCTGTCTGTCATCACCTGTCCCGTCAGAGGTGATGGTCCTGTGGTGCTGAGGGGGCCTACCGCCTTGTGTGCTGGGTGGGGGGCAAGGGGGCGGATGCCTGGCTTCATCTCCCCCTCCTCCCCTCCACCCCGCTCCTGGACCCAGAACTGGTGCATCAAGCGGCGGTCGCAGTCCATCTACCTGCAGGTGCTGACTGACAAGCATGCCCCTGAGCACTACAGGTATGCCCACCTGCCCGCCTGGCCTTGTCCACTCCTTGTGTTTGGGGTGGGATCAGGGGGCATGGGAAGGAATAAAAGTCACCCCTGGTTGCTGGGGCTGGAGTGGCTGCAGGGCCCAACACTGTGTGGGTCTCTCCCCACCCCAGGGTGCTGGGCAGTGTGTCCCAGTTTGAGGAGTTTGGCCGGGCTTTCCACTGTCCCAAGGACTCACCCATGAACCCTGCCCACAAGTGTTCCGTGTGGTGAGCCTGGCTGCCCGCCTGCACGCCCCCACTGCCCCCGCACGAATCACCTCCTGCTGGCTACCGGGGCAGGCATGCACCCGGTGCCAGCCCCGCTCTGGGCACCACCTGCCTTCCAGCCCCTCCAGGACCCGGTCCCCCTGCTGCCCCTCACTTCAGGAGGGGCCTGGAGCAGGGTGAGGCTGGACTTTGGGGGGCTGTGAGGGAAATATACTGGGGTCCCCAGATTCTGCTCTAAGGGGGCCAGACCCTCTGCCAGGCTGGATTGTACGGGCCCCACCTTCGCTGTGTTCTTGCTGCAAAGTCTGGTCAATAAATCACTGCACTGTTGCCTTGGCCTCTTCACGGGTCCCCAGGGCAGGCGGAGCTGGAGAGAGCCCTCTGCAGGGAGGCTAGGGCACTTAGCACAACCGGGACCCTGGAGAGGACCTTCTTGTCTCCTGGTCGCCCTGGCTTGGCCGCCTGTGTCCAGCCTTCCTGGACTCTTCTATCTTTTCCACCAACCGACAGTACTTCCCTGGCCCAGCCGCCCTCCCCCAAAGCCTCGCCCAGGGCTTCTTGCCCAGTTCTGGGGCACCCCTAGTTCAGCCTCATGGCCTGGTGACCCGCATTCCAGGGTGATGCTGGGGCTTATGACCCCTGCAAGTCTGAAGTAGGAGAAACTTCTGCCTTGTCTTAGCCTGGCCCTTGGCCTCAGCCTCCCTGGAGAAGGGGATAGCGATCCACACTTACATGGAGGTGAGGCTGACCCACAGGACATCTCAGCCTCTCCTCCAGTGTGGAGACAGGCTTCTGGGGTGCAGAAAGGAGAGGACTGGTAGGAATGGTAGGCTCCTGGCATGAGGAGGGTGGACAGAGGCAGGGAGTGCTGCCCAGGCTGGAGGCTGCCGGCTGGCCCTGCCTGATCATGGAGGGGCGGCAGGGGTGGGGGGATTATCCTACTGGGCAGCCCCACTCAGGGATCCCGAGTCTGAATTGAGGGGGACCAGCAGGCACCTGCCCTTCCTCCCAGGTCTGTTATTCTTCCTTTGGGGGTGGCCTAGAGGGGTTAACCCCTCCCTGGGCACCGCCCGGTGTGGCCATCCCCATCTCATGAATGGAAGTGGCAAATCTCTTGCCAGCCCAGCTCTTGTCATTCTGCTCAGACAACGCCTGCCTGCACCCTGTCCCCAGCCTTGAGAGACCTTTAAAAAGTCCTTCTTATTGGAGCCTTGGGCAGGACAGCCATGCGTGGCCCTGCGGAGGAGGCTGGAACTGAGAAGGATACCCACGGGAGTGGCCAGTCCGGGATGGGGCGGGGCCCTTCCTCGCAGTCTGCAGGCAGCTGACACTGGGTTCCGAGGTGTCAGGGAAGACTGCAGAGGCTCAGTCCTGGGCACCGAGCCCGGCTCAGAGCTGCCTGTCAAGGGCTCCTTCACAGCGTGCTCCTTGGAGGACCCCAGGCCCCATGGAGGTGCCGTTTCCAGACCTTTCATCCTGAGCTGGGCACACACGTGTCCCTTGGGCAGCTGGAGCAGTACAACAGTCCTCTTCCTGCCACCCTCCTGGGTGGGGCCTGGTGTCTGGGACCCTCCATACCCCGAGGCCCACCCCGCCCCTCTGATCTGGGATCCTGGTTGGAACTGGGATCTGCAGGCCCAGCCCTCTTGCCCTCACCCCGGGCTCCTGCAGTTTCCCAGCTTTACCCACCACCAATCCCTCCTGTGTCCACACCGGCTTAGGGGAGGCCTCAGCATCAGGGGAGCCTGTGGGGTGAGCAGCCAGCAAAGCCAACAGACAGGGGTCCCTTCTGCCCAGCTCAGGAAATGCAATGAGGCTGGGACACTCCTGGGGCCAGGCCCCTTCTCTCTGTGTCCTGCTGAGGATGCAGTGAGGACGGGTGCAGGGAGGTGCCTGGGACAAGACATGAGGTTCCTGGCTTCCAGGCTGGTCCAGAGCAAGTGGCCTGATGCCCAGCAGCACTGTGTGTCACCTGCTAGTTCCCAAACTGCTTTTTCAGACGGGCCCTAGGAGCATCCCCACCGTAACCCAGTGAGATGGACAGAGTGGCAGGAGCCCCTTTAACAGATGGGCCACATGCCCCCAAGGCCACACGCCCCCAAGGCCACACTGCTCATGTCAGGGTCTTGTGGAGCTCAGGTGTCAGCAGGTGTCAGCATGGGTGCATCACGTGTTCCGCTGGGAGACCAGGCACGCTGCATAGTCCCAGCCATCTCTTTGTCTACCAGGCCCCGTCCTAGGATCCACACTGGGCTGTCGATGACTGTGATTCTACTGGGGTCGAGGAATGTGAATGAGCTCAGCATAGCTACCCACCTGGCCTCCGTTGCCCTTGTGTTCAGTGAGGGGACATCAGCCTGGCTGTGAAGGCCCTTCCTGGGTGATTCTAGAAGTGGCTGAGGGGTGGGTTGTTGCTGGGCTGGTTCCATCCATCCCTGAGGGCAGGTTCTCCCACAAACAGGGCACAGCTCACTGGGATGACAGAAAGCAATCTTCGGCCAAGCAGGGAAATAAAGGAGCTGGGATGGTTTACAGCTATGCTTAAACTTCCGGGCATCCAGCCGAGTGAGGTGGCTCAGGCCTGTAATCCCAGGAGTTTGGGAGGCTGAGGCAGGTGGATCGCTTGAGTCCAGGAGTTAGATACCAGCCTAGGCAATACGGGCAAAACCGCATCTCTGAAAAAAATACAAAAATTAGCTGGGCGTGGTGGCATGCCCCTGAAGACCCACCTACTTGGGAGGCTGAGGTGGGAGGATCACTTGAGCCTGGGAGGCAGAGGTTGCAGAGAGCCATGGTTGCGCTACTGCACTCCAGCTTGGGTGCGAGTGAGACCCTGCCTCAAAAAACAAACAAACAAACCAAAAAAACCTGAGAAGAAAAAAATCTTCCAGGTATTCACCTGTGTACCAAAGTTCAGCAGGCGATGCTGTCCCCATCAGTATCCTCAGGGGCTAGCCTCTGCACCAGGTCCTGGTTCTGCCATCCACAGCTTTGTGAGCAGGACTTGAGCCCAGGGGTTACTGCCTGGTGACCTTGGCAAGGGAGGAGCCCTCTATGGTCTCCAGTGTTGCCATCAGCAGATGAGAGGTGACGGGTGCCCAAGCGCTGGCTTGCAGCTGCCACGATGAAGGATTGGCATGCCTGCCCCCTGTTTCCTCCCCAGGTCTGCACAGCTCCCCCGCCTCGGCTGCGAGCTTGCCTCAGAGTTCTCAGGGCCTAGGATGTTGGGGGTGCCCCTCAGCCCTGGGGGCCCTGTGGGTTCCACCTCTGTACAGATTCAGGAAGGATTTGAAGCCAGCAGAGAGGTGGGTTTGTGCCCAAGCTTCCCATCCTAGGGCCAAAGAGGGGACATTGGTGAATGCGGGGGCTGAGCCCAGCTTAGTGGCCCTGGGATTTCTGGGATACCCAGGAAGGGGCACATGGCATCTGGTGCCACTGAACAGCCCTGAGCCCCAGGTCATTCTAACTAGCTCCAGGGAGCCTGGATTTAAGTTCCCACCATCCCTATGGTTGTTTCTATGCTGGCCCTGATGTCCAGGACCCTGGGGGGGCTCAGCTGGTAAGTGCCATAGATACAGTATTTTTAAATGGCTGAAAATTTTTAAATTTCCAAATAGGATGGAAGCCCAGAGTCCTTCATATGCGAATGCCTCTGGGGGCAGGTTCTGCGGGGGGAGATTGGGTTTCTCCACATGGCCCCTTGGGTGGGCTGGTTCTTTCCCACCTCCATGCCCCCCATGGGGGCAGCACCCTAATTCATTTCTTCCCCGGGTCCCACCCACACAATCCTGGGTGGGCCACAGCCTTTGCTGAAGTTTCGGGGTGCCAGAGGGGGTGTGGCCCATCAGCTGCTGAGATCTGCTGTCTCTCTTTCTCTCCTCCCTCCCCCTGCTGAGCTCCTCCCCTCTCCCTGAAGCTGGTTGCAGGAACCCACTTTCCCAGGACTGATTATAAAGAGTAGTTTCCCTTTCCCCCTGCCTGCTCTGGGCTTGTCCAGAGGCTGAGCACTGTCTCTGTCCCCATGGGTGGGCTCTCAAGGACATTCAGCAGCAGGACAGGGCAGGACAGGGCTCAAGAGTCCAGCTTTCCTTCTCCCATCCCCACAGCCTCTGTACCAGTGAGACTGCAGAGGGTTATTTTTATAGATATGAATTTCACTGTCTACCATCCATTAAGAAGCAGAAGGGACTGTAATCTGTTTTTGTTTCAATTAGCATGTTCCCCTTCCTGCTCCCCTTGCAAGGGGCCACAGGACACTTCCATCAGCTCTCTACAGCCTGCAGGGTAGGCTTCTTCTTTTTTTTTTTTTTTGAGATGGAGTTCCACTCTTGTTGCCCAAGCTGGAGTGCAATGGTGTGATCTCGGCTCACTGCAACGTCTGCCTCCCGGATTCAAGGGATTCTCCTGTCTCAGCCCCCTGAGTAGCTGGGATTACAGGTGCACACCAGCACCCTGGCTAATTTTTTGTATTTTTAGTAGAAACGGGGTTTCACCATGTTAGCCAGGCTGGTCTCGAACTCCTGACCTCAGGTGATCCTCCCACCTCGGCCTCCCAAAGTGCTGGGATTATGGCATGAGCCACCGTGCCTGGCCGAAGGGGGCTTCTTGAGAAGCTGAGACCCTTTAGGCTTTGGAGTCAGCAGCTGGCCCTCCCGGGTCTAAGTCACTGCACAGCAATTGATCCATAAGAGGCTGTCGTTGGGAGGACTTTATGGAGAAGAACCTAGGCCACTGATCATGCCATCTATAGTTTCTTCCTATTGCTTATAGAAGGTTTCAGGACAATGGAAAACTCAGCCCATGCACCCCAAGGAAGCCCTTGCTCTATAAGCTCACTTGTCACTGCATTTTGGAGTCCACGATAGATGGCACATAACTGACTGAGCCCTTGGCAAGCTGTGCACTTCATCCCCGTCTGAGAAGAGCAGCTCTTCTCTGCAGCCTCCATCAGGCGGACACTCAGCTTTGCCTGGAAAACCATGAGGGGCAGGAACTGCGACTTCTCAAGACCCCTTCCCCTTGGGGACAACCTTAGCTGTGTCCTGACCTGGCCTTTCCCGCAGAGTCCTTAGAATGAGCAGGAATCCACATCCTAGTGTCCTGGTGTGACCCCTGCCCTGTGACTCCTCTTCATATGGTCCAAGGTGAGCCACAGTTTCCTTCTCTTGTCCAAGCCAAATACCCCTTTTTGTCCCTACTGCTGTTCATGTGACATGGGTTGTGGCTCATGTTGGGGCTTCTCTCTGGGGCCTCCTTTCCATCTGCTTGGGTTGGGGGTTCTCAGCCCTCACTTGTTTGCAGCCCATCTTAGAGGTGCTGTCCCACATGTTCCCCTGGCCATTCCTACTCCCCCACTATCAAGTGTGGCTTATTTTACTCTGTGTCACTGACTCAGGCCACCCTGCTCCCTGACAGCCGGTACACTCTGCTGTAGCAGAAATAAACCAACCTCAAGCAGCATGGTGGAATAGGAAGCTCCTGAATCTCCCCCGACCCAGAAATGCACCAGATAGGTCTATTCACAGGTCAGTTTCCTCAAGACAAAATCAGAGACCAGTTGAGACTCCTACCCATTGAGCAACGGAGAAAGTCATTTTGAATGGTTAGGAGAGTGGAGGCATATTCGGGCATGGCCCCGGGCACCTCACCACCCAGCTGGGAAGGAATCACCCCAGCTTCCTTCTCCCTGTGGAGAGGAGGGTTTGGGCCTTAAATATAGCACCCTAACTCTAAAGTTCCCCACAGTTTGGCTCTTATTTCACCAGCTCTGGGAGCAGAGATTAGACGCATATGAGTCTCTCTAGACCACAGGAATAAAGCAGCAGTTTCATACGGGCATACAAGCACTTCCAGTGGCTTTATCCTCTGGGAACAGTACAGAGAAGGGGCTTAAAAAGAGCGGCCCCCTGTTTCTCCCTCAGATAGAGCACCCCAACTTTTACAGCTTCCACTTGAAAGACTGCATCCTAAACCTCCTAGCTCTGGGGGCAAAGGGGACTGGCATGAATGTGTCTCTCTAGACCACAGGAAGAAAGCAGCATTTTTATACAGGTGCAACAAACACTTCCAGGGTCTTCATCCCCCAGGAGCAGCACAGAGAAGGGGCTTAAAAAAACACAGCCCCCTCTTTGTCCCTGGAAAGGGTTTATACCAAAAATTGAGTTCCCCAACTTTTACAGCTACCTCCCAAAGGACTCCATCCTAAACCTCCTAGCTCTGTGAACAGAAGGGACCAGGTATATGTGAGTCTCCTTGATCACAGAACAAAGTGGTGGTTTTAGATGAGTGTGTAAACACTTCCATGGGGTACACCCCCTTGGAGCAGTGCAGAAAGAGGCAGGAATGTGCAGTTCCCATTCGCTCTCCAGGAGAGGCTCTCGGTACACACTTCCAGTGGCTACTTGACGGTCTGCCTTCTAAATGAACTTGCATAAAGCAGCTAACTGGGCAATGGAACAGAACAGGAGCCCTTCGACAGCTGGAACCAGAGCTTGGTGCTTCATAAGCCTTCTCTCGGGCTCACCCTGGTGATAAATCCAGGCTTACCCATTCTTCATGAAAGGAGTTTGGCCAAGTGCCAAGTGCCAGAACTTCTATAGCTCCCAGCTAAGGGACTGCGTTTTTAATTACCAGCTCTGGGACTCAATGGGGCTTTGCATTCTTGAGTGGCCCTAGACCACAAAAAACAAAGAGGTGGGCCCAATGTCAGCAGCTATCTCCCCAGGATCAAAGAATGCAGCCTGTACAAATGCCTGTGCAGGCATTTGCCACAGATTTTATCCCCAGATTAATGCAGAGAAAGTGGGAGACAAATGCCTGCACTCAGCTTCACTGTAAAGATAGAAGGAACTGGAACACATATCCAACACCCAACCTTTCCAGCTACATCTAGAGAGTCTGGCTGCCATCTCACTGGTATTAGGTACTAACATGATGTAGTACATCCCAAGCTCTAGGGGGCCACCGCAAACAGAGGTAGCAGTCTGGACAAACACAAAGATTTGAGGGACATCTTAAAATCCCAGGTTAAATGGATTGGCGAGATTCTTCTACATGAGGCCAGTCTCACAAGACTGAGGGAAGTAGTTGTCCTATCTAACCCAAAGAGACCAACACAGAGAGTCAAGGAAAATGAAGAAACGGGATGATATTCCAAATAAAGGAACAATACGAATCTCCAGTGAAGAACAAATCCAAGTGAAGTGGAGATATGTGATTTAACTGAATTCAAAATAACGGTCATAGACATGCTCACCAAGGTCAGGAGAGCAATACAAAAACAAACTGAGAATTTCAACAAACAGACAGAAATTAAAGTACTAAACAGAAATCATAGCGCTGAAGAATACTATAACTGAACTGAAAAAGAGCATAAACAGCAGCCTAGATCACACAGAAGAAAGAATTTATAAATTCAAAGACAGGCCACTGGAAATTATCTAATATGAGAAGCAAAAAGAATGAAAAGGATTGAAGATAGCTTAACAACTTATGCATTATTGGCATGCCAGAAGAAGAAAGGGAGAGAAAGGGATAGAATACATATTCAAAGAAATAATGGCAGAAAACATTGCAAGCCTAGGGAATGAAATAGAAAGCCAGATCCAGGAAGCCCAGAGGATGCCAGATAAGATGAATCCAAAGAGATCCACACCAAGACACATTGTAATCGAATTGTCAGTAGTTAAAAAGAATATTGAAAGCAACAAGGGAAAAGTGAATCATCATGTATAAGGGAACCCCCATATGACTATCAGTATACTTCTCAACAGAAACCTTGCAGGCCATAAGGGAGTGGGATGATACATTCAAAATCCTGAAAGGAAGAAAAAAGCCAACTAATAATACTATACCCAGCAATTCTGTCTCTAAAAAATGAAGGTGTGAGAAAGACTTTCTCAGACAAAAACTGAGAGGGTTTTTGTTTTAGACCTGCTTTACAAGAAATGCTAAAAGGAGTTTTTCAAGCTGAAGGAAGAGGATGTTAATTAGTAGTAATATGAAAACATATGAAAGTATAAAACTCATTGGTAAAAGTAAGTACATTGTCAAATCCAAAACACTCTAACACCATAATGGCAGCAGGTAAATCATTTATATCTCCAGTACAAAGGTTAAAAGGTAAAACTTAAAAACAACTAGAGCCACAGTGATTTGTTAAAAGATAAAAATTGTAAAAAGATGTAAAGTGTGACACAAAAACATAAAATGGGAGGAGGAGAAGTAAAAGTGTAGAGTTTATATGTGCAATCAAAGTTAAGTTGTTGTCAACTTAAAATAACCAGTTAAGTATAAGATGGCTTATGTATGCCTTAGGGTAACCACAAAGCAAAAGCCTATAATAGATACACAACAGAGAAAAAGAACAGATCCCAAGCATAGCAGTATAGAAAGCCATCAAATCACAAAGGAAAAAAAGCAAGAGGAAGAAAGGGACAAAAGATCTACAAAATACCCAGAAAATAATGAACAAAATGGTACTAGTAAGTCATTATCTATCAATAATTAGTTTGAGTGTAAATGGGTTAAATTCTCCAATCAAATGCACAGAGTAGCTAAATGGATAAAATAACAAGACCCAACATATGTTGCCTACACAAGACTCACTTTGCCTTAAAGGACACTCATAGACTGAAAGTGAAAGGATAGAAAAAGATATTCAATGCAAATGGGATAAAAAAGAGAAGAGAGGTAGCTATACTTATTTCAGACAAAATATACTTGTGTGTGTGTGTGTGTGTGTGTGTGTGTGTGTGTGTGTGTGTGTGATGGAGTCTTCCTCTGTTGCCCAAGCTGGGGTGCAGTGATGCGATCTCAGCTCACTGCAACCTCCACCTCCCAGGTTCAAGGGATTCTCCTGCCTCAGCCTCCCGAGTAGCTGGGATTACAGGTATGCACCACCATGCCTGGCTAAATTTTGTATTTTTAGTAGAAACAGCGTTTCACCATTTTGGCCAGTCTGGTCTCCAACTCCTGACCTTAGGTGATCTGCCTACCTTGGCCTCCCAAAGTGCTGGGATTACAGGTGTGAGCCACTGTGCCTGGCCCAGACAAAATATACTTTAGGCGAAAAACTGTAAAAAGAGACAAAGTCATCGTATAGTGACATTCTATAGTGGTGAATTCATCAAGAGGATATAACAAGTACAGATATATGTGCACCCAACTTTGGAGCACCTAAATATATGAAGCATGCCTACAATCTCAGCACTTTGAGAGGCCAAGGAGGGAGGACTGCTCGAGGCCAGGAATTTGAGACCAGCCTGGGTACCATAGCAAAACCCCATCCCTACAATCAGTCAATCAAGCAACCAAACAAGCAAACCTTAAGGGATCTGAAGAAAGACGTAGACTACAACATAATAATAGTAGTGAATTGCAATTCCTCACTTTCAGCATTGAACAGATCCAAACAGAAAGTCAATAAGGAAACATCCGATTCGAACTACACTTTAGACCAAATGGGTCTAACAGATATATATAGACCGTTCCACCTAAAAGCAACATAATACATATTCTTCTCGAGTGAACATAAAACATTCTTCAAGGTATGTCGTATATTAGGCTACAAAATAAGTCTTAACAAATTTAAGAAGATTGAAATTGGCCAGGTACAGTGGCTCACTTCTATAATCACAACATTTTGGAAGACCGAAGCGTGAGGATCACTTGAGCCCATGAGTTTGAGACCAGCCTGGGCCACATAGAGACACTGGACATGGTAGCGTATGCCTGTAGTCCCAGCTCCTAGGGAGGCTGAGTCAGGAGGATTGCTTGAGCCTGGGAGTTCGAGGTTGCAGTGAGTGGTGATCAGCACCACCACACTCCAACCTGGGTGACAGAGCAAGACCCTGTCTCAAAAAAACAGAAAAAGATTGAAATAATATCAAGTATCTTTTCCAACCACAGTGGTATGAAACTAGAAATCAATAACAGAAGGAATTATGGGAAATTAACAAATATGTGGAAATTAAACAATATGCTTCTCTGAACAACTGGTGAATCAAAGAAGAAATTAAAGGGTAAACTTAAAAATATCTTGAGATGAACAAAAAATGGAAGCACAATATACAAAAATGCATGGGATGCAGCAAAGGCAGCTTTGTTTTGTTTTGTTTTTTGAGATAGGGTCTCACTCTGTTGCCCAGGCTGGAATGCAGCAGCGCAATCTCTGCTTACTGTAGCCTTGAACTCCTGGGCTCAAGCAATCCTCCCACCTCAGCCTCCCAAGTAGCTGGGACTACAGGCAGGTGCCACCATACCCAGATAATTTGTTTTTATTTTTGTAGAGAAGGAATCTCACTATGTTGAACAGGCTGGTTTCAAACTCCTGGCCTCAAGCAATCCTCTCACCTCAGCCTCCCAAAATGCTGGGATTACAGACATGAACCACCACACCCAGCCTAAAGCAGTTCTAAGAGGGAAGTTTATAGCAATAAATGCCTATATCAAAAAAGAAGAAAAATCTCAAATAAACAGGCTAATATTATGCCTCAAGGAACTAGAAAAAGAAGAACAAATTAAGGTCAAAGTTAGCAGAAGGAAGGAAATAACAAAGATCAGAGCAGAAATCAATGAAATAGAGACTAGAAAAACAATAGAAAAAAATCAACAAAACTAAGAGTTGGTTTGTAAAAAGCTGAACAAAACTGACAAACCCTTAGCTAGACTAATAAAGAAAAAAGAAGACTCAAATAAAATCAGAGATGAAAGAAGAGTTGTTACCATTGATAACAGAAATACAAAGGATCGTAAGAGACTACTATAAGCAATTATATGCCAACAAATTGCACAACCTAGAAGAAATGGATAAATTCCTAGAAATATAACCTAAATACTGGATCATGAAAAAATTGGAAATCTGAACAGACTAATAACTAATAAGAAGATTGAATCAGTAATTAAGAGTCTACCACCACCAACAAAAAAATCCCAGAACGAGATGGCTTCATGGTTAAATTCTACCAGATATTTAAGGAAGAGCTAACACCAATTCTTATCAAGCCCTTCCCAAAAATTGAAGGGGACAGCATACTTCCAAACTCATTCTACAAGGCCAGCTTACTCTGATACCAAGCCAGACAAAGACACTACAAGAAGGAATAAGTACAGGCTATATCATTGATGAACATGGATGCAAAAATCCTCAAGAAAATACTAGATAACCCTATTCACCAGTACCTTAAAAAGATCATTCACCATGGGCCGGATGCAATGGCTCATGCCTGTGATCCCAGCATGAGGTTGAGGTGGGCGGATCACTTGAGCTCAGGAGTTTGAGACCAGCCTGGGCAATATGGCAAATTCCTGTCTCTACTAAAGATACAAAAATTAGCCAGGCATGGTAGTGCATGCCTGAAGCCCCAGCTACTAGGGTGGCTGAGGCATGAGAATTGCTTGAACCTGGGAGGCGGAGGTTGCAGTGAGCCAATGTTGTGCCACTGTACTCCAGCCTGGGCGACAGAGTGAGACTCTGTCTCAAAAAAAAAAAAAAAAAAAAAAAAGATTATCTCTGGGATGCAAGTTTGGTTCAACATATGCCAATCAATGTGAGTCACCATATTAGAATGAAGGACAAGAAATCATATATTCATCTCAATAGATGCAGAAAAAGCATTTGACATAGTTCAATCCTTTCATGGTAAAAAAAACTCTCAACACACTTTGAGAGGCCAAGGCGGGTGGATCACGAGGTCAGGAGATTGAGACCTTCCTGGCTAACACGATGAAACCCCATCTCTACCAAAAATACAAAAAAATTAGCTGGCATGGTGGTGGGTGCCTGTAGTCCCAGCTACTCGGGAGGCTGAGGAAGAATGGCATGAACCCAGGAGGCAGAGCTTTCAGTGAGCCGAGATCGCACCACTGCACTCCAGCCTGGGCGACAGAGCAAGACTCCGTCTCAAAAAAAACAAAACAAAACAAAACAAAACAAAAGACACTCTCAACAAAGTAGGTATGCAAGGAATGTTCCTCAACTCAGTGAAGATCATGTATGACAAGTCCACAGCCAACATCGTACTCAACAGTGAAAAGTTGAAAGCTTCTCCTCTAAGATCAGGAACAAGGCAAGGATGCCTGCTCTGTTCCACATGGTACTGGAAATCTTAGCCAGAGCAATTCGGCAAGAAAAAGAAATAAAAGGTATCCTAATAGGAAAGGATGAAGTGAAATTGTCTGTGTTTGCTGACATGATCTTATATATAAAATATCCTAAACAGTTACCCCCAAAAACCATTAGAACTGATAAACAAATTCAGTAAAGTTCCAGGATACAAAATCAACTTACAAAAAGCAGTAGTGTTTCTTTATACTAACAACTAACTGTCTGAAAAAGAAATTAAGAAAACAATCCCACTTAAGAGAGCATAAAAAAGGTCAGAGTGCAGTGATGCAATCATAGCTCACTGTAACCTTGAACTCCTGTGCTCTGGCAATCCTCATGCCTCAGCCTCCTGAGTAGCTGGGACTACAGGTGCATGCCACTATGCTGAGCTAATTAAAAAAAAAATTTTTTTTTTCAGAGATGGGGCTTGCTATGTTGCCTAGTCTGGTCTCAAACTCCTGGCCTCAAGTGATCCTCCCACTTCGGCCTCTCAGAGGGCTGGGATTACAGGCATGCGCTACTTTACCTGGTCTTGGACAATGGGGGAAGAACGGTCTCTTAATAAATGGTTTTGGAAAAACTAGATCTCCACATACAGAATAATGAAAAGGGGACTTTATCTTACCCCTTATACAAAATCAACTCAAAGACTTAAATGCAAGACCTGAAACTATAAAACTACTAGAAGAAACGTAGGGCAAAGGCTCCATGCCATGGGTCTGGGCAGAGGTTTCTTGGATATGACCCCAAAAGCACAGGCAACAGAAGCAAAAATAGACAAATTGTATTGCATCAAACTAAAAAGCTTCTGAACAGCAATGGAAACAGTTAATAGCGTGAAGAGACAATTCAAAGATTGGGAGAAGACATTTGCGAATCATACACTGGTAAAGGGCTAATATCCAAAATATACAAGGAACTCAAATGACTCAATAATAAAAAACAAATAACCCTATTTTAAAAAGGCAAAGGACTTGAACAGACATTTCTCAAAACAAGACATACAAATGGCCAACAGTTATATGGAAAAGTGCTCAATATCACTAATCATCAGAGAAATGCAAATTAAAACCACAATGAGATATCACCTCACACCTGTTAGATTGGCTGTTATAAAAAAGATGAAAGATAGTAAGTGTTGACAAGGATGTGGAGAAAAGGGAACCATTATACACTGTTGGTAACATTGCAAATTAGTACAGCCATTTTGGATAACAGTATGAAGGTTTCTCAAAAGACTAAATATAGAATTAACTGGAGGGCTAGGTGTTGTGGCTCATGCCTGTAATCTCAGCCCTCTACTCTAGGAGACCAAGGAGGAAGGACTGCTTCAGGTCAGGAGTTCAAGAGCAGCCTGGACAACATAGTGAGATCCTATCTCTAAAAAAAAAAAAGAGAATTACCTGTATCAAATAATCCAGCAACCCCACTACTGGGTACATACCCAAAGGATTGAAATCTGTATGCGGAAGAGATGTCTGCACTGCCATGGTCATGACACAATTATTTACAATAGTCGAGATATGGAAACAACCTAAGTGTTCCTAAACGGGTAAATGGATTTTTAGCACGTGGTGTATTTACATAACGGAACACTAGTCAGCTTTATAAAAACAGGAAATTCTGTCATTTTCAACAACATGGATGAACCAAGAGGAAGTGAAATAAGCCAGGCATAGAGGGGAGGTGAACGGGGAAGGGGAGAGGTTGGTCAACAGGTACAAAGTTACAGCTACTAGGAGGAATAAGTTCTGCTGTTCTATTGCATAGCAAGGTGACTATAGTTCATAATAATGTATTGTATATTTAAAAATAGCCGAAAGATGAGATTTTACTTTTTTTTTTTTTTTTTTGAGATGGAGTTTTGCTTTTGTCACCCAGGCTGGAGGGCAATGGCATTATCTCGGCTCACTGCAACCTCCACCTCCTGGGTTCAAGCGATTCTCCTGCCTCAGCCTCCTGAGTAGCTGGGATTACAAGCATGTGCCATCATGCCCAGCTAATTTTTGTATTTTTATTAGAGACGGGGTTTCGCCATGTTGGTCAGGCTGGTCTCGAACTCCTGACCTCAGGTGATCTGTCCTCCTCGGCCTCCCAAAGTGCTGAGGTTACAGGCGTGAACCATCATGCCCAGCCAAAGATGGGATTTTAAATGTTCTCATTACAAAGAAATAATAAATATTTGAGGAGGCGGATATGCTAATTAGCCTGACTTGATCATTCCGCAATGTATACATGTATTGAAACATCACATTGTACCCCATAAATATATACAATTTTTATTTATCAATTAAAAATAAAATAAAACTGGCCGGGGCATGGTGGCTCATGCCTGCAGTCCCAGCACTTTGGGAGGCTAAGGCAGGTGCATTGCTTAAGCCCAAGAGTTCAAGACAAGCCTGCACAACATGGCAAAACCTTGTCTCTATAAACAGTACAAAAATTATCCAGGTGTGGTGGTGCGCACCTGTAATCCCAGCTACTTGGGAGGTCACTTGAGCCCAGAAAGCAGAGCTTGCAGTGAGCTGAGATCGTGCTTGGGAGACAGAGCTAGGCCCTGTCTCAAAAATAAAATAAAATAAAATAAAATAAAATAAAATAAAATAAAATAAAATAAAAAAGAAAGAATAAACACACACACACACACACATAAAATAAAAGCTATAAACACATCCACATATAAAGCAACCCCACTGGTCACAGTGAATGCCTCCTCCTCCCCAGCCTCCCCACCACCCTGGTGCAAGGTTCAAGGTGCCCAGAGGGCTACACGGTTCAGTCCCGAGCTGGGCCTGTGTCCAGCATGAGCTCATCAGGTTGCAAGGGAGTAAGATGGGTTCCTGGCTTCCCCAACCTCAGCTGCCACCCAGGATCCCGTAGCCTCTGGCAGCAGCTCACGGCTGGTTCATTGGACCGGCAGGCAGCTCAAATCCCCAAGAAGCTGTCACATGGTGCAGTCAAATCGCATCTTTCCTTGTCTATATTTTGCATAAATAATAATTTTAAAAAGCTTCTATGATCCTGTGGAACCAAACCATTGCAGGGACTGCTGTCAGGAATCTGTGTGGAGAGATCTGAAGGCAGCTCCTTGGGGAGAATTTTCCTTTACTCTAAGGAGCCCAGACAGGGTGGGTGGAGGTGGGGAAACTGTGCTGGCTGATAACAAATTTGCAAATCTGGTGAACAAAGAAAGTGCCAGAACAGGGTACCAGGGCCTGGCCACCTCCCTGTTAAGGGTGGATGGTGGCCTCATCTTTTGACAGGGGACTTCTGTTTCCTCCTTGAAGGGCAGCTCAAGAGCCATGTGGCTGGTTCCCAGGCACCATGCCAAGCGCATTAGCAAAGACTGGCAGCCCCAGTGGCAAGGTTCTATCAAGGGGAGCTTCCAGCTGCTTGTTGGTGTTGGGGTCTGGTGTGTGCACTGGCAGTCAATGGTCAGCTGGGGTCAGTAGACCCTGGGGCCGCCTTAGATGAAGGGGTGCAACTGCAAATCCCACACAGCTTCCGGAAGGCCTCTGGAGCCCCTCTGGGAGGCTGAGATTCAGGGAGGCTTCCTCTAGGGGCAGAGGCCAGTTATGCAGCTGCTAACCTGGTGGGGAGGCCTGTTCCTAGAACCAGTGGGGCCAGGGCACGATCAGATGCAACTTCAGCACCCAGGCCAGAATGGCACAGCTGGGATCCCCCTTGAGTCCTCCCGAGAGGCTGCCGGAGTGTGCTCCTCTCGCTGGATCTGGAGGCTTCCTGTGCCAATCACTGGATCTGTGCAGGGGCAGGGGTTCAAGGGAACTCGATGGGCAGGGGGCTTCGAATCTGCTGGGGACTGAACCTGTGGTGCCTTCTGGGGTCTGTGCTCTGCAGGGAGTGAGATACCCCTGCTCACAGGGAGTTGCTCAGCCTGGGCATCCTGCCCAGTACTCAAGTACTTCAAAACTCACCTGGACCTTGGGGTTTGGTTAAAGGGATGTCAGGCACTCCTGAGTGCCTACTGTTTGCTCAGCTCGCCATATGCCTTGCCACAGCCCTGAGCAGTGGGCGCCCCAAGAGCTCATGTTTAATATCAAGTTCCATGCTGGCGCCTTCACCCTTCATGCAGGTACCACCCCACGCAGTTCTCTGGTGTCCCAGAAGAAGGGAATTTGGTGCCCGAGACCAGGGGTTGATGCAATACCCACTCTGGATTGCACGCTTTCAGCGGATTGCGGAGGATTAGAGTTTAGTGCGTCTAAGTGGATTGATGGATTATATGATCTTGTTTTTTTTTTTTTTTTTGAGACAGAGTTTCACTCTTGTTGGCCAGGCTGGAGTATAATGGCACCATCTCAAAACCTTCGCCTCCCGGGTTCGAATGATTCTCCTGCCTCAGCCTCCTGAGTAGCTGGGATTACAGGCATGCGCCACCAAGCCCAGCTAATTTTGTATTTTTAGTAGACACAGAATTTCTCCATGTTGGTCAGGCTGGTCTTGAACTCCCAACCTCAGGTGATGGCCGATCACCTCAGCCTCCCAAAGTGCTGGGATTACTGGCGTGAGCCACCGCGCTCGGCTTATATGATCTGGTATTAACCGAACTCATCCCCCAAAATGGCCAAGTGGCTCACACAAGATTCCTGTAAGGAATCTGCAATGAACACCAGAAATCCAGAGCAGGTGAACCACAGCAGAAGGGAGAGCTGAGAATTCCTTATTACTCTTGGCTGAGCTCAGGGTACAGACCTGACCAGAAGTTAGCCCCTAAAATAAAAAATCAGCAAACAAAACTCTTTGAATTTCCCCCACTCTGTGGTTACTGCTGAAGTTTGCCCCGGGTGCCTGGTGCCTGGAGCTATTAAGTCATCAGCAGTGTGAAATCCTCATGGTTGGCAAGGTGTCTAAAACTAAGCTTTCAGAACCGAAGAGAAACCTGAGCAGTTTTTTTCCCAGCGGTGTTTAAAGTTCTGTGCTGTTCAACCCAGTACTTCTTAGTTATTTCCCTAAGCAATGATAAATATTTGGAAAGCTCTTTTAAAGTTTCTTGCATGATAGCATGAAGCAAAAAACATCTACCAATGGGCAGACACTTATTCTTTCTGCTGCAGGAAAAATGGCAGAAACAATGAACAATAAATGATCTGTCGACAAACCGAAAGGCATTTCTTTGTCAGCAAACACCATCGAAAGATGTAGAGAAAACACTGCCGAAGATTGGAAGAAACTCATGTTAGAGCAAATTACCCAGTGTGGGAGGTTTGCTTTGCAGTGTGCTGAAAGCACAGATGTTCCCAACATGGCTCAGCTGAAGGTATTTGCCAGGTTCTATTCCAATAATGAAATACACAAACCACTTCTTTCTTTCTTTCCTTTTTTTTTTTTGAGCCACTAAAGGGAAGATATAGCAGACAAGATATATTGCCAACAGTAAATGCCTTCTTTAATAAAAACGATGTCATATGGGAAAAACGGTAAAAATGCAACCACAGATAGAATAGCTACTCAGAAAGGGTTTTTTAAAAAAGGATTCTGGATACGAATCAGGGTGCAGAGGTGGCTTCACCCTTACCCCTCACTCATTGGCTCATCCACAGTCTAATCAGCGCAGGGAAGAGGTAGAAGCCTGGAGGGCATAGAATGTTGCAGACCATCAGTGGGCTAATGTTATAAAGCCAAGACTGTGGCATTACAGTAGAATCTTTCCCATACTTGGTAAGGAGATTGGGTGGACCATGAAAACTTTCCAGCCACACAGAATGACTTATCTTCATAGCAAAATACCGAAGAGGGTTGCCCCAAGTTCCCCTCCCTCTCTGCTTGACTTTCCCTCCCTCCTTATTTATTTATTTATTTTTAGACGGAGTCTCACTCTGTCGCCCAGGCTGGAGTGCAGTGATGTGATCTCAGCTCACTGCAACCTCCGCCTCCTGGGTTCAAGTGATTCTCCTGCCTCAGCCTCTTAAGTAGCTGGGGCTACAGGCGCCCGCCACCAAGCCCGGCTAATTTTGTGTATTCTTAGTAGAGACGGGATTTCACCGTGTTAGCCAGGATGGTCTCAATCTCCTGACCTCGTGATCCGCCCACCTCGGCCTCCCAAAGTGCTGGGATTATAGGTGTTAGCCACCGTGCCTGGCCCTCCCTCCTTATTTTTAAAAAATTTATCAGTAATTTTTAATGTATGTCTGTTTCTGCTTCCCTGTGATTAACTCTTTTTTTTTCCTGTGAATATTCTTTTTTAAAAGTTTAGATTCAGGGGTACATGTGCTTGTTTATTACATGGGTAGACTGCATACTGGTGGAGATTAGGCTTCTAGTGAACCCAATACCCATATAATGAGCTTGTACCCGATAGGTAATTTTTAAATCCTCACCCCCACTCCCACCTCCCTCCTTCTTTTTTTTGAGAGGGAGTCTCGCTCTGTCACCCAGGCTGGAGGCAGTGATGTGATCTCGGCTCCCTGCAACCTCCGCCTCCAGGTTCAAGCAATTCTCCTGTCTCAGCCTCCGGAGTAGCTGGGATTATAGGCCCCCACCACCACGCCTGGCTAATTTTTGTCTTTTCAGTAGAGACAGGGTTTCACCATGTTGACCAGGGTGGTCTCAAACGCCTGACCTCAAATGATCCGCCCGCCTCAGCCTCCCAAAGTGCTGGGATTACAGGTGTACGGCACCATGCCTGGCTAATTTTTGTATATTTAGTAGAGATGGGATTTCCATGTTGATCAAGCTGGTCTCGAATTCCTGACCTCAAATGATCTGCCCACATTGGCCTCCCGAGTGTTAGGATTACAGACGTGAGCCACTGCGCCCGGGCTCCCTCCTTCCTAAAGACCAAAATGCTGACACTTTTGAGATGACAAGAGCTGTCTGTTTTAGGCAATCAGGAAAAAGCTTGAAAAATAATTGTACTTTTCTTGCATCTGCTCCTTCAAGGTAAAGATGTCCTTTCAATGAAAAAATGAGAAAGTAATCATCTTGGAATGAAAACTCATGCCAAAGAAAACATTTTTTAGAACCAAAGTTTGAGAATGTTTTCATTGACATGTGAATTTTGTGGTAAAAAATGTATTTGACTGATAAAACCCTGATCCCTACACATTTAAAAAAACTTGAAAGCAGATTATATATTCGAATCTGTTTTTTAAAATTTAGATATAATTTACATACCATAAAATTCATCCTTTTATTTCATTTTTTAGACACAGATTTTCGCTATGCTTCCCAGGCTGGAGTCCTATGGCTATTCACAAGTGGGATCATGGTCCTCCAATATTTTTGTGACAGCTACTAAAACCCAGAATTAAAAAAGAACTACCCTGAGAGTCAGGCCTTCAAACTGATGTTTTACAATTTTATTTCAAGGTTTTAGTAAATAAGAAAGCATATTGAATGATGTTACTATTTCTTGCAAAAGCAAGATGCTTTTTTGCACCTTTGTAAATGTACAAATAAATTTGTAATACTGCAAAATTTGCTGGAAAATGTGGTTGATTTCACCTTTATTCTTTTCAATGTTCTCTTGGAGCAGGTGTGTACTCACTAAGTATGGCTGTATTGGGATGGGCGCTCCAGAATACTTTCAGAGGGAGGTCAGAAACACCTGGAGTCAGCTCCTTCCCCAGCTTTCACCTGAGCCTGCCACCACCCCCACCCTCTGCCCAAAAGACCAGACCCTTCTCCTGGCAGCAGCCAGAGTGCTTATTTCCCAACCAGGGCAGGTCACAGCCCTCCTCAAAGACCTCCAACCACACCCCTCTAACCAGACTTCACAGTCCCCCATGCACACCCCACTCTCCTGACCCCTCAGGCTTTCCCCACTCTGCCCACCCACCCCCACCCCTCTGATCCAGCCCTTGGCCTCCCAGAGCACCTGCTGACACTGCCCCAGGGCGTTTGCACTGCTGTGCTGCCTTGCTCAAGCCCCCACTCTGTTCAAGTCTCTTGCTCAATCATCTGCCCCTCAGCAGTACCTCCTGGCCTGCGTTATCCACCTCTCCAGATACTGTGCCCACACTCACTCATGATTTTTCTCCTAGGAAGTAGTACTGGCATTACATTGTCTAACACCTTTTATTATTGCTTTGTCTCCTAGGAGAATGGAGACCTTGAGGAGGCAGGGGAGTCTTCCTTGTTGAGAAATCTATGCCCAGCATCCAGATGTCCCGGGAGGGCCCATGGGCTCTGGGTTGCTGCCCTGTACCCAGAGCTCCTCAAGCGCTCCTTGGATCTGGTGACCTGGAATGGGCACTGGGGGGCAGGAAGCATCTGAGTGGCTGTGACTTGGGGCAAGCCTCTGCCTCATTGGTCCCTTGGTCAGGTGCAGGGGTGTGGAATGATCCTAGTGGGGAGACAGCAGAGGACTGTGTCAAAGCCCCCCTGGGAATCCCCGATCCAGTAGCCTCCTTGGGTGGGTTGCAGGGTTGCCGGAAGCTTCTCTTCTTCAGGTGTCCTGATCCACCCAAGTCCTTGGGTCTACCAGGTGCTGCCAGGATTGAAGCTAAGACGGTGGGGCACGCGGTCTGGGTGTGTCGTGTCCCACGATGGGGGACGTCTCTGGGTCCAGGCCTGCTTGGTCTTCCTTAGGATAGAGGCAGGGTGGGGGTTGGGTGGTTTTGGTCCCTTTATTGTCTGGGGTGCAGGCAGCCGCATGGCACAAATCTGCAGTCTCTGGGGTTGGGAGGAAGAATCAGAGAACAACCTGAGGGGAGGTCCTGGAAGTCCCAGGCTCAGCTCCCAGGGCGCCCTGGGCTCCTGCTCCCTGAAGGGGATGCGGAGGGAAGAAGGGCCCCGCTGCGCCAGCTGAGGCTGGTTTATCTCTAGGAGGTGAAGGTCCAACGGCAGGACACCTGTGTGTGTTCGCTGGAAGTGGCGGCTCAGGACGGGGAACAGGGCAGGACGCCCGGAGGTGGGGAGCAGGATAACTCCGGAGTGGGGCACTCAGGGAGCAGCGGACGCCCCCAGCAGCAGCAGGGTCCCGGCCAGCAGTGGCAGCGACGCGGCAACTGGGTGCGCGGCGTCGGTGGTGCAGGCGGGAGGCGCCAGGTCGCAGGCCGTGTAGGGCTCCAGACAGGCAGCGAAGGCCATGACATGCGCTACGAAGCTCTGCTCCTGCACACCATGCACCAGGTGCGCCTGCGGGCCGCGCGCAAACACCGCCACGTCTTCGCCTCCGTGGGTCTCGGACGACAGGGGCACCGCCGCCTGCTGCTGGTAATCGGGGCTCCCTGGTAGGAGGGTGAGTGCACTTCAGGGCAGGCAGGCGGCGTCCCCCTCCCGCGAATGCCCCCATCCCTGGCACCCTGGTCCCCCTGCACGGGCCATTCAGCCTCACTCACCGCTCTCGCTCTCATTCACGTCTGGTCGCACGCCTGAGTTGAACACGTAGCCCGGGCCATTGCCGTACAGGATGGACGTGTAGGCTTTGCTGTCCTGAGCCTTGCTGGGGGCCAACCCTGTAGGGAGATGCGGGTCCCTGTAGTTGAGCTGACCACAGCTGTGGGAGTGCCTCCTATGTGCCAGGCACCGCCACTTTTTGCCTGTTCGGGGGCTCGGTCCTCACAAGATCCCTATAGGGCTGGTGCCAGCATTGCACACTTTTGACAGAGGAGGAAACTGAAGCTCAAACTTCACCCTCATAATTGATGCAGCAGCACCTGCCACTCTCCCCAGGCCTACCGAAGATGGAGCTCCCTCGCAAGGTGTAGCCACCAAAGGAGAAGACATGGGAGTGGTCAGCGGTGACGAGGGTCAGCGTGTCCTCCTCGCTGGTGAGCTGGCCCGCCCTCTCAATGGCGTCGTCGAACATGACCGCCTCAGTGAGTGCCTGGTAAGCCACACCCTCATGATGACCATGGTCGATGCGGCCGCCTGCAGGAAGGCCAGAGGGGGGTGATGCTTGAACCTGCCCTGCCGCGCCCCGCCTTCCTCCACTCCCCAGGGGCCACCACGCACCCTCCACAAAGAGGTAGAAGCCGCGGGGGTTCCTGCTCAGCAGGCGCAGGGCAGCCTCTGTCATCTCCATCAGGGAGGGGTCCAGTGTGGGGTCTCGGTGGATCTCATATTTCGTGTCTCCGGGCTCAAAGAGGCCTGTGGGACAAGGAGCTTGGTGGTGATTGGCAGGCTGTGAGCGGGAGGGTGCTGGCAAATGGGCACACAGGCTCGGATGGCACCCTCTGAGGTTGTCTGAGGAATGCCAGGGCAGGAAGGGGGTCATTACCCATGAGATGGGTCACAGACTGGTCCAGGGACGCCTGCATGAGCTCAGTGCGGTTCCACACATACCAGGCACCCTGCAGGGACAGAGCCAGGCTTCAGCCCACAGCCCTGAGACCCACACACTTGGCCTCCCCCTGCCGTGCCTCCCACACCCACCAGCCCCCATCACCTGGTGCTTTGCCAGCCATTCCTGCACCAGGTTCTTCCCGTCCAGCCTGATTCCATTCTGGCTGGCATCAGCTGGGTACTCAGGGTCTGGGGTCCCCATGGGAAACATGTACTTGCGGCCTCCGCCAAGGATCACCTGAGGACAATGGATGGGGCAGGTGGTTTGGGGGCCTGGCTGGCCCCGTGCCCCCTCCTCATGCATAGCCCCTGGCTCCCCTCCCCAGGGCTGTGGGAATGGCCCAGCCTGTATTGCACATTCTACATCCCCAACTCCACCTCCAGAACCTGCTGACCCAGATCAGGCTTTTGGTTGCCTGGATCTGAGCCTGTGCCACCTTCCCCTCTGCCCAGCCCCAGCCCTTGGCCCGGGGGTCGCACGTCAATGTCCATGTTGGAGATGAGCTGAGTGGCGATGTCCTGGCACCCCTCCTGGCGGGCTGAGGCAGGCATGTCAGCATCTGAGTACCAGTTGCGGTTCACTGTGTGTGCGTAGGTGCCGGCTGGCGAGGCGTGCTGCACCCGTGTGGTGGTCACCACTCCTACTGACTTTCCTGAGGGTGACAGAGGTCAGGATCGGTGACCGAGATCTTGGGCCTGGTCCTGACCCCACAGCGGGCCCCAGCTCACCTGCTTGCTTGGCCCGGTTCATCACGGAGATGACCTCATTGCCGCGTGTCGTGTTGCACTGGTTAAAGCGGGCGGCTGCACTCAAGCCGATGGTCTGGAAGTTGGCCTTGACCCCGCACAGGTAGGCCGTGGCTGTGGCTGCGCTGTCTGGCACCTGTCTGTCCACATTGTATGTCTGCGAACGGAGACACCCTGAGCTCTACTTCGGGGCGGACACCCAGACCCCAACCAAGGACCTGGTTCTGGTCCTCTGGGATCCTAACTGCTCCCAGCTCCTAACTTAGGCCCCAGCTGTCCTGGCTCCCTCCCTCCTGCCACACTCCATATCCTTGATCCCTCTCCTCTGCTTGGAGGACTCTGAGGTGGCCCAGCCCTTACCTTGGACAGAGCCAGGTATGGGAAGCGGTCCATGGCCAGGGGCGTCTCAGGCCCCAGTTTGCCATTCTTCTGCCCCTTTAGGATCCTGGTGGCTGTCACCGTGGGCACCCCCAACCCTGAAGGAGCAGAAATGTGTGAGTCCTGGGCCCCAGGGTTGTCCTGGAACCACTGAAGGTCCCGGGTGCCGGGGCTGTGAGGACTACGGGGCTGGACAGGCCTTGCTCACTCACCATCGCCCAGGAAGAGGATGAGGTTCTTGGCGACCTTCTGGATGGGCTGCAGCTTCTTGGCAGCATCCAGGGCCTCAGCTGCCTGGCGGTTCCAGAAGGCCGGGTTCTCCTCCTCAGCTGGCCAGGGGGAGAGTAGAGATCAGGTCAGCCTGGCTGAGGGGGTGCCCTGTGTGTGGAACAGCTTGGGGAGCCTCATTACCTGGGATGACGCCCAGGGAGAGCTGTAGCCTCAGGCCCAGCAGCAGCAGCACCCAGGGCCCCTGCATGTCTTGGGGGCAGCAGGAGGGAGGCGAAGTGGGGACACCAGGAACCGGCTGCAGCGCAGGCTGCCTGGGTTTAAATCAGGGGAGGACTTTGCCCCTGGCTGTAAATGCTCCACGTCCCTCCCCACACCCCTGGTGTCCATCTTGACCCCGCCCAGTCCTGTGACCTGAAGCCAAGCTTGCTGAAGGGAAGGGACTGGGTGTGGCTCACAGTGTCTTGTGGGAGACGCGTTGCCACTCCTTCATTCACCTCATTCAAGGTGTGAAGAGAGGTGAGACTGGAAACACACAGCCTAGGCCAGGGCCCGGGTTAGGGCTCGTAATGTCACGAGCCCCAGAGGAGTGTGAAAGGAGGCACACTGGGTGGCCTGGCTGCCCTAGAACCCACTTGGTGTATATGGGTGCCCACACCTATGTCCTGAGGACGCAGGCTGGGAAGGGGCCAGTGCTCTGGGTCAGCCAGACCTGGGCTGGGTCTTCCAGAGCAGCCTGTGCACTTGAGGTTGACCCCTGTTCCCTTGCACAGGTAGATGGAGCCTGGGGTGAGTCTGTTTTCCATGGGCCCCGGGGAACACCCAGAAGTGTAGCCTCTGATAAGGAGTTCAGAGAGTTTGGTAACCTCAGGCTGAGTTCAAAAGTATTGCTTCAGTCCAGACATCCCACTCTGAGTGTGTAGCCAAAGGAATGCGAACTAGGGACTCGAACAGATAACTGCACACCCATGTTCCCAGCAGCATTATCCACAGCAGCCAAGAGCTGGAAGCTACCCAAGTGTCCAGCAAAAGAGAAATGGAGAAACCAAACAGGGTGCACACATACAATGGAGTATCACGCAGCCTTGAAAACAAAGGCGACCCTGACACCTGCTACAACATGGATGAACCTTAGGACATTATGCTCAGTGAAATATACCAGTGCAAAAGAACAAATACGCACGAACACACTTCTCTGAGGTCCCGAGGGGAGTCAAATACATAGAGACAGAAGTGGAATGGAGGTTGCCTGAGGCTGAGGGAGGAGGCAATGGGTTAGGGTTGGGGTTAGGGTTAGAGTTGGAGTTTAATAGGGACAGAGCTTCAAGGTTGCAGGATGAGAATGTTCTGGAGATCAGCTGCACAACACTGTGCGTGTACTCAACACTGCCGCCCTGTACACTTGAAAATGGTGAAGGAGGTAAACTTGATGTACCGTGTTTTGTAGCACAATTCAAAAACTGGTTCAAGAAGAAAAGGCTCCTCCAGCTCCACCCACCCCAGCCCAACCACAGCAGCCCCTTCTCCACTCGAGCCTGTTTACCTCAAACCCCAGGCTTGGCCCTCAGAACCCAGGGGACCTCACCTGCTGCCCAGCCTCTGCCTGCCCTGCCCCACTCCCCACCACGCCTAGGGCCTCCCTCAGGCCGAGCTTTCCCGGGTCCTCCTGCCTGCGCCCTCCTGGCTTCCCGGTGGTCGTCCTGGGGCTCTCAGGGAAGATGTCGCTCTCATAGGTCCTTCTTGCCCCCTGCTTGTTGCCCCCTTAGTTTCCTCTACCTCCTGCTTCATCTTGCTGAGTTAGGAACATTCTTGGCTGAAAGTCAGAGGAGACTCACTAATGGGTCTCCTCAATTAATTGATTGATTGATTCCAAAGTCAAGGTGAGTCAGGAGGCTTTATAGCCACCCTGAGTTTCATGTTTAAGTTGGAATTTTTGACAGAACTATAGATTCACAAGTAGTTGTAAGAAATAATACAAGCTGGGTGCGGTGGCTCATGCCTGTAATCCCAGCACTTTGGGAGGCCGAGGTGGGTGGATCATGAGGTCAGGAGATCAAGGCCATCCTGGCTAACACAGTGAAACCCCATCTCTACTAAAAATACAAAAAATTAGCTGGGTGTGGTGGCATGCACCTGTAGTCCCAGCTACTTGGGAGGCTGAGGCAGAAGAATCACTTGAACCTGGGAGGTGGAGGTTGCAGTGAGCTGAGATCATGCCACTGCACTCCAGCCTGGGTGGCAGAGTGAGACTCTGTCTCAAAAAAAAAAAAAAGGGAAATAATACAAGAGGCCCTACGTAGTGGCTCACCCCTGCAATCCTAGCACTTTAGGAGGCTGAGGCGGGAGATTCACTTGAGCGCAGGAGTTTGAGACCAGCCTGGGCAACATGGAAAAACCTCATCTCTACAAAAAATACAAAAATTAGCGGAGCGAAATGGCCTGCTCCTGTGGTCCCTCCACAGGAAATAAATTAAATAGCCTTTGGGTGTGAGCTGAAATTATCTCTCCACCTACTTGGGAAGCTGAGGTGGGAGTATCACTTGAGCCCGGGAGGTGGAGGTTGCAGTGAGTCAAGACCATATCATTGCACTCTAGCCTGGGTGACAGAACAAGACCCTGTCTAAACAAAAAAAAAAAAAGAAGAAAGTACAAGAGATGTCTGTGCACTTTGCTTAGTCTCCCCCAGTGGCATAATCCACAGTTATTATTCAGATTTCCCCAGTGTTACCTGTATTCGTGTGCATGTGTGTGGGAGTGTGTATACAATTTATCACCTAAGTAGGTTTGTGTAACAGCACCATAGTTGAGATGCTGAAGAGCTCCAACCCCACAGGGTACTTTTATAACCAGGCCACCTCTTTCCTCTACCTCTTCCCCTGTCCCTAATCCTTGACAACCAGATATGTGTCCAACCTGGGTGACAGAGTGAGACAACATCTCAGAAAAAGAAAAAAATAAGAAATGCCTTGTGGACTTTGCATAGTTTCCCCACCTTTGGTTAGTTTCACTGCCACCCTAACTTTGCCATCTCCCCTTTAACAAGATAAAGCATGCTTTAGACTCAAAACATCTAAGGAGGCTGTAAGAACACTGCTTTTGGTGTGTGTGGAATACACAGTTGCTTCTGTTTATGGCAAGAGATGGTGGTCTTCCATTTTTCAGTTACAAGTTTCCTTTTCTAATAGACTTAAGGCAAATCTGAGCTTATGTAGAGAAAAATATTCAGTAAATCATACCACAGGCAGTAATGTGGCTACGGCAAAAAGTTGTCAAGGTGATACGTGACTAGCTGAGTGCTAAGAAGCATGGATTTAAAAGAAGTAAATTAAATAGCCTTTGAGTCTGAGCTGAAATTCTCTGTCCACCACTTACTGAGTGTCCTTCAGAACGGAACCTCTCCAAGCCTTAATTCCCTCATCTATGAACGAAAAGAATGATAGTCCTGTCAACCTTAAGAAACAGAGGGAGGCTCTCCAAAACTATGGAGTTTAACTGGGAATAAGCAGCAGCATTGCATGCAGAGCCCCGGCCTTAGTAAACTAGGGGCGCATCGGAGGAGGGGAGGCAAGGGGTGCTTTGAAAGGCGAAAGGAGCAGTGCATGGTCGGTTTTTGGTTTTTGTCTTTTTTTTTTTTTTTTTCTTGAGTTGCTCTGTTGCCCAGGCTGGAGTGCAGTGGCACAGTCTCAGCTCACTGCAACCTCTGCCTCCCGGGTTCTCCTGCCTCAGCCTCCTGAGTAGCTGGGACTACAGGCACTCACCACCACATCCACCTACACAGCTGTTTTGAAAGGAAGAGAACACTGATTCCAGGGGCTTATCCCAGGAACCGGCATAAGTTTATGAGTGGACACAGCGTTATTAGGCAAGTGTTCTTGTGCAGCCGGCTAGCCGTCCTTGTGACTCACATAGTGAGCTGCAAAGTCCCGGCAAAAAATAAAAAATAAAAAAAGGTCTTGTTGCAGGCATCTGTGCCCTTCCCAGAGGCTTCGGAAGGGCTCTGATCATAGGCAGGTGTGCGGGAGGGCCCTCCTTCAGAACCTCCCGGCCGCATGATTTTGTTGTTGCTCTTAGGGTTGGACAGAAGTGGCTCCATTTTGATTCTGACAACTTTCACAGAGCCTGGGTCTCGGGGCTGTTGCGGGGACTTAATTAGTCCAGGGCCTGCTGCAGAGTTAGCAGGGGAGCAGGGGGCAAGAGGCGACCCCTGACCTTTATGAACACGAGGCAAGTCCTGAACATCCTTGAAACCTGTTTCCAAGCTGCGGGTCTGCACAGCACACAGTTGGCCAAATGGTAGCGGAAGCAGCTCCTTCCTAGAGCACAAATCTCTAAATTCCTAATTAAGGGCTGTGTAGGCAGGACCTCCCTCTGGCCCATCCCACCTACCAAGGAGGGACATCCAGGCATTCCTCATGCACAGGAGAACTTGGGTCAGGTACCTGGGGTGGGAACAAGAAGGGACTGTCCCACCCCCAAGGCAGGAGACACCCCAACCTCCTCCCTATGGGCTTCCTGGGGAGGCCTCTCAACAGGCCATGGAGCCCCCTCAGCAGCACAAGCAGGACACTGGGGCCTCAGCCTGTGGGAAGCTGCAGGCACAGGAATGGGCTCAGTGGAGGGGGCACTCAGCCAGGCACCCCGAGCCCTGATCTGGCCACCTCCTTCACCCCTGCCCCCTAATACCAGCAGTAGTGACAGTGGCAGGGGTGGCTGGCAGGTGGGCCCTAGTGAATGGTTGTCCCCTGAGAGTGAGGGACAAAAGACAATTCTGCCCTGAAGGGTGCTTCGGGCGTCTATATGGATGTGTGGAAAGGAAAGTGTATGAAGTCAAGGATGCTGCAATTGTGTTTAGTGGTTTAACTTTGATCTTGTATGACAGGAACCAGGGGGACAATTGTATTCCAATAGCACCCTGGTGAGTTGAAAACCTGTTAAGTTGAATACACTATTGGAGAGTTTTTGTTCCATCTTCTATTTTGCCCTTCAATTTCTGTTGCTTTTTAAATATCTGGCTAAGTGCTTTCCAGAACTGAGCAATGTACTATTGATAAACATTAAGAACACAACACAGCTCATGAACGAGGTTGAGCAAAACTGTTTTTTAAGTAAAATAAATTATTTAGGCCGGGTGCGGTGGCTCACGCCTGTAATCTCAGCACTTTGGGAGGCTGAGGCAGGCGGATCACAAGGTCAGGAGATCGAGACCATCCTGGCTAACACAGTGAAACCCTGTGTTTACTAAAACTACAAAAAAAATTAGCCGGGCATGGTGGCAGGCACCTGTGGTCCCAGCTACTTGGGAGGCTGAGGCAGGAGAATGGCGTGAACCTGGGAGGCAGAGCTTGCAGTGAGCCAAGATCATGCCACTGCACTCCAGCCTGGGCAACAGAGCAAGACTCCGTCTCAAAAAATAATAATAAAATAAAATAAAATAAATTATTTAAATGGATCAGTTTCCCCCTCAAATGATTTTCTATCTGTTAAAAAAACAAATCGGCCGGGCATGGTGGCTCATACCTATAATCCTAACACTTTGGGAGGCTGAGACGGGAGGATCACTTGAGCCCAGGAGCTTGAGACAAGCCTGGCAACATAGTAAGACCCCATCACTACAAAAAATTTTTAAAACTAGCTGGATATGGTGGCACTCGCTTGTATTCCCACCTAGTGGGGAGGCTGAAGTGGGAGGATCTCTTCAGCCAGGGAGGTGCAGGCCTCAGTGAGCCCTGATCGCCCCACAGCACTCCAGCCTCTGCACTCCAGCCTGGTCAATAGAGGGAGACCCTGTCTCAAAAAACCAAAAACCAAAAAACCAACAACAAAAATAAGTAAAATTTCCCCCAAACCATAAGACCCCACAATTAGAGAGAAGGTTCAAAGAGATGATCTTACAATAAGGTTTTAAATCCAGAACCTAAACTCAGGCATGTGGAAACTAATACTCATCATTCCAAGAATCATCCCCTTCTCCAGAACCTTCTTTAACGTGAACATCCTGTATAGCCTCCACCAGGGCTCAAATATTTAATTCACTTCCCCCCTCCCAATTCCCATCCCGACTGCCATTAGCCCCTGAATTCTGTGATTCCAACCCAGGAACCACTCTTTGGTCCGTGCCCGGCAAGGACTGGGGCAGGCTCATGTGCAGAGCTGGCCACGGCCCGGCCAGCGGCACCATCTGTGCTGTAGAACTCCCTGGAGAAAGCCCATCCCACCTGTGACTTTGGTGGCCTATCCCCGCCAGGCCTCTCTGGACATCTGCACTGTCCCCTCTCAGCCCTTCCTCCTGGCACCTGGGCGATCACAGCCCCTCCTGCCTGGCCTCCCACTTCCTGCCTCGTGGCGGTGCTGCTGGGTGGTGGAGCCGCTGCAGTGGCCTCTGGTGCTGCTTCTGCACAGGCCTTGCCTCCTCTGGTGCCCCCTTCCCAAGCTTCATGCCCGTGCCTCCCTTCTGCGGCCTGACATCCTCCTCAGGGGCCAGGAGGCTGCCACCCCAGTCTGTGTGATTCCAGTTCTTTCCTGAGGTCCTTCCTAACAGGAACTGGGGAGGCGTCAGTCTCTCCCCAGGTGGGTGGCTGCAAGCTCTGGGAGCTTCAGCTCCTTCCCCAGGCCAGGTCACTGCCTGCACCATCTTCCCCCTAGGTCCAGGGGGCCGGTACTGACCCTTCAGGGTTGGGACACACTCACTGGCTTCTGAGCATCGCCAGGCCCTGGTCATGGAATGAGGTTGATGGTGTCTACCTCTCCCTCTCTCCCCCACGTTGTCTCCTTGAGGAAAAGACAGTCTCGCTCTGTGCCCGGGCCCTGGCCGGCAGGTGCTGTGGGACAGCCCAGGGAATGACCCTCCTTTAGATGAGGGTCGGTGTCTGGTCACTCTTTCTGTTGAGTCCTTTTAGTGAGGGGCCACATAAGAGGCTGGGCCCCCAGCGGACCCATGGAGAGCCATCCTGTGAATGCGCGGCACCGGATTCAGTCAACCATGTTCCTTAAAGGAGTGAATGCAGACGCGGGGCTCGGTGTGACTGGTGTGGGGAGAAGGCTGGGCTGCCTTCTCTGAGCTCTGGGTAGGGTGTGGCGGCTGCCTGGGCCTGAGCCCAGGTCCTGGCTGGGCACAACCTTGCCAGGTCACTGGAGGCAGAGACCTGACCTGACCCTCGTGGATACGGTTTCCACTTCCCCAGATGGGGTGGGGTGGGCTGGGGCTGCCATGGCCTCCACAGCTCCAGGGACCCGCCATGCTCTGGGGCCAGCACGGAAGGTGAGGCTCTCTGAAGAAACTTTGAGCCCAGCATCTGCTTCCCAAACAAGCCCAGGCAGCAGGAACCCCCTTGTTCACCCCCCTGGCTACTCCTTACTGGGGCCTGGGGGCGCTGGGACATAGGGACAGGTGTCCGTCCGGGTCTGTGCTGCCTGTGAGGGAACAGCTCCCATGCTTCGTGGGAGGCCCTGGGGGACAGGGCCAGCCTGGCCTGAGAAGCCCAGAGAGGAACTTGGCCACTGCTCCTCAGAGGGTGGGCAGCGTGGAGGGGAGGGGAAGGGGCTGGGATGTCTCCTGTTTGGGGCTCTCACAGTCAGGCTGCCTGGGCTGGGGCAGCACCCCACAGCCTTCTCCACCCCAACACCAAACCCCCAGATGCTCGCCTGTCTGTCCCTGCAGATACTTGGCTCCAGGAGAAGGTTCTGGGGACAGGAACAGATGGGGTGACCGTGGCCTCTGGGACATCTCGGGGGTGGCAGGACACACAGACTGAAGGCCGCCTGAGGTGGCTGAGCCCTGGAGGAGGGAAAGGCTCCCAGGGCAGGTGTGGGATGTCTTTGGTCGCCTCCCACAGCCAGCCCCATCTGACAGTGGCAGAACAAAGGCAGCCATAACCAGTCGCTGTCATTCAGGTGCTGCGACGCACTCTGACAAGGGACCCTATTGAGTGTTTCTTTGAAGAAAATTCACTGTAACCAGATCAAATGAGCTTGTTAATCCCGACACCCCAGGAAATGGTGCGGGGGAACAGAGGCCGTGCTCACCATGGCTTTCATCCTAGTTTCTAGCAGCTCTCGGGGACGCCAAGCCACGGAGCTTCCCCCACAGAGGGGGAGGAGTGCAGGCTGGGGTCAGGCTGGCTGGGGAAGGGAATGCCCAGTGGCCAGCCAGCTCTGCCCAGGCCCCAAGGCAGGTGGGATCCATGGGTGCTCAGGACACTGGGTGGGCAACGGGGCCAGGTTGGGAAGGCACTGGAGAGCCCTCGTCCCCTCCCCGAGGCCCAGGCCTGCTTCTGTCCCCAGAGCACAGGATTGGGCCTGGAGCTGCCAGGGCACTGACTCAGACCCAGGGTATAGACAGGGCCATTCAGAGTGTTGGCCAAGGAACTGCGGGGAGAGGGTGTTGCAGGACCTATGACCCCCACCAGGCCCTGCGGAGCTGGTGCAGAGAGGAAGTGGGGGCAGGGTTGGACACAGTCACATGCGTCAGGGTGACGGGGGCGCTCTCAGTCCTGCATACTAATTCCATTTTTAATCAGGCAGAATGAGACTCCGGCACCAATCTGCCACGTAGCCGACTCTGAATCGTGCTGGAACTGACAGGAAGGTTCCGGGTGGTGACATCGGCTCAGCAGTGAGGGGTGGAGCCTGAACTGGGTCCCTTGCCCTGGGTGCAAGGGGCATTCCGCTGCCCAGGCTTCCCAGAGGCGCCCCACACACCAGATGGCACTTCACACTTGATTTTATTCCCTGACACTGATTTGCAGAAAAGGCCCCATTCCCTGGGCTGGAGAAGGCAGTGGGGCCCGGGCAGAAGGGGAACCGGTCTCATTGCTGGCCAGGTCTCAGCCTTCCTTCCAGCTCCATCCTCTCCCCTGCAGTTTGTTTAAAAACTGAGCTGCAAACACTAAATAAAATGCAAAAGTAAAACCAAAAGCAAACCCTTGAGTTGTTAAAACCTAAATTAAAAATCCCCCTTGGTGTCATCAGGTCCTATTCCTAAAGCTAGCGGGGTGGGGCAGGAGGGTTTGGCTGAGCTTGGCCAGCACATCAGACCTCAGGTTCCTTTTCAAACTCGACCTACTCCTCCTCCTCTTCCTCGGGGACCAGGTGGCCCTGGTTGCTCGGCTGCCTCAGGGCAGCACTATACTAGAGGGCCATGGCTGCCCACAGGACCACCTCCACCAGGCTGAAGATGGTGATGACCTGTGCAGAGCCCGGCAGTGAGGGGACAAAGATGGCAGGGCTTGATGACGAGGCGCAACTCTGCCTCCATCCCTGCAGCAGGACCCCCAGGACCCTCCCTTGGCCTCTGGAAGCCTCTGCTCGCCTGTCTGTAACGGGGGCCTGCTCCAGGATGAATGCCCTGGATCAGGGCAGAGCTGGGGAGTCAAATGCATCCTGAGCGCTCCCAAGGCTTATAAAACACAACCTGAGGGCCCGGGTCCACCTTCAGGGCATGTTGTTAGTGAAAACGGTGCCAGACAATTTCTTGCTTGTAAACTCATAGCTTTCATCAGGTTCTCTAAAGGACCCCAGAAGGCCAGCACCCCTGCATTAGCAGGACAGGCAGAGCCCTGCCTCTCTCCACTGTGGTTGTCCCCAAGGAAGAGAAGGTGGTGCCAGGAAGCAGGACCCTCAGGAAGGGTCTGGGTGAGCTGGGAGGGCTTGGGGGTCCTGAAACCCTACCCGGGAGGATGCAGTGCTGGGGGAGCCCAGGGGACACAGAAGAGGGCAGGGGGCACCGCAGGAGGCAGGTGAGGGTTTGCCAGGACTAAGGGGGATGGGACACAGAGGGGGCCACCTGCCCTTCCACCCTGGAGGGCTTTACTGCTTGGAGGTGGCCCTTGGCCCTGGCCCACCCCTGCCTGGCTGGAGGGAGATTCAGGGAGGCCCTGCCAGGCCACCTTCGGCTGAGGCAGCAGGTGAGAGTGACCAAGGGCCAGGGGTGGGGGCTGGGAAGGCCCATGGCTCTGTGTGCTATTGGGGGCAAGTGGTGGGGCGTCCAGGGCTGACTGCACTGAGGTGGGGACAGAGAACTGTGGCGGCGGAGCGCTGCGCCCCCTGCTGGTGCCATCTGTCAGTGCAGGCAGGGCTGGGCCCACAGCAGGGTGAGCTAGGCTTGAACTTCAGGATACAGAGCCCCCAGGGTCCGCAGGGGGACTCTGTCATTCCTCTTCTGCCCAGCTCCCGGTTATGAACACCACGTTTACTGCACACAACGGGCTGGACACTGTCCTCCCAGGGCACTCTGGATGTTAGGAAATTCAAAGCCAGGCACAGGGGCAGGTGGTGACCTGCAGACCCCAGGGCCAGCTGGAGCCAAGCCCCTAAGGCAGCATTAGGACAGGCCCATGTCCCCTTGGAGAGAGAACTGTGAGTCAACAGTCACTCAGGGCAGGAGCCGAGCCAGGGACAGCTCTCTTCCTTGTCTTCAGGGGACACAGTTTCCAGAGCGGCCACGGACCATTCGCTGGCCTTTCATTCCTTCACGTTCCTATAAACACAGTCCCCAAAGCCTGCACACCTTGCCGAGCTGTACTGGCCATGGAGGGGCCTGCTCTCTGGTTCCTGGGTCCTTGGGGAAGGGGGCCAGGCCTGACCCTGGGCCTGGAGCCACCATCCCAGGTGGGAGAGCTGGGCGTCTCAGCAAGGCCCATCAGGTGGGCTTTGTGCTAGGGCTGGGGGAGCGAGGGGTGGAGTGTGACCCATCACAGCCTGTGCCCCTCCAGTGCGGGATGGCTTGGGCTGCCCCGCCCGCCCCCGGGCTCTCCCAGGGCACTCACGTTGCAGTAGATGCGCTTCTGCACGCCATAGCGCAGCACCAGCACGTCGAAGGCTTGCTTCAGGACGCCCATCACCATGGCTTCTGACTCCAGGGGGCCACTCTCCTGCAGGGACAGTGCTGCAGCCATGGCACCTCCTGGCACTGCCCTGGGCTCCTCGAGGCCTCCTGGTGAGCAGGTGCCCAGGAGGGTCGGGAGCCAGAGGGAGGTGAGGGGCACCAGGCTGGAGGGCTCACCTTGACCAGAATGGCAAAGAAGAGACCGGTGCTGAGTTCCTTCATGTGCTTGGACGCCATGCGGCCGTCGTTGCAGTGGTCTGCCTGCTTCTGCAGGGTATCGGGCGCCATGTCTAGTCGCTCCCTATAGCCTGGGAAGAGGGGGCGGGGTCGTGGGCGGTGTTGTATGGGGCATGAGGGTGGAGGGCGGGCAGTGGGGAATGGTGATGGCTGGGGGATGAGCTGCATGGTGCTCCACCCCAGACGACAGATTAGGACCCCAGCACCCAGCTCCCAGGGCAGCAGAAAGCAGCCCTCCGAGGTCAGCGCCCTCCTCTCGGCTGTGTCCAGGGCTGGCTGTAGACCCCCTGCAGCTTCCGCAGCACCGGCCCATAGAGAGAGTTCTCAGGTCGGGTTCCCCTACACTTGGGTCGCCCGACCTTTGGACCTCCACCATCACCGCTGAATGGTCTTGGGCCACCGAGCACCCACTGTGGGTGAAGTGTGTGTACAGGGGCATGATGAGCGCATAGTGCCCGAACTGTGCCAGGTCCTGCAGCAGCCCCGAGCAGAAGTAAAGTGCCATCTGTGGGGCGGGTCAGAGCCTGGCCAGCCCAGAGCTTTCCGACTATTCCCAGAGGTCCCATGCCACCCACAGCTTTGCCATCGGCAGCCTTGGTGTGCACAGACCTGGCGGGCTGCTGGCTGCTGAGCAAAGCCAGGGAGGACCAGGGCCAGGACCAGTGCCCCTTTCTGTACAAGGGAACCCAAGGGGAGGCCAGGAGGCAGGCAGAGCCCAGGGGTGCCCATACTTCTCTCCAGGAGACAAATCTGGCCTGCCTGGGCCTCCCAAATGCCCTCAAGGTGGCAGCACTGAGAATGGCCCAGACATGTGCCGTCGCTGCTGAGTCACTGCTGGGCACCACCAGGAGGGAACCGTCTCTGGTCTACCCCTCCCCAGCATGGGGCTGAGGCTGCTACTCTGGCCCAGGAAGGAGGAGGGGGAAGCCTGTGGCCATGTATGACCGGGGGCTGCAGGCGCTGTCTGCTGGAGACACAAGCAGAAGCTGAGGAGGCTGTGGTCTTTGTTCAAGGAGGCCAAGTCCATTGCTCCATCTGGCTAGAGTGGGAGGCAGGCAAGAAAGCCCAGGATGCCATTCCCTGCCCCGTGCAACACAGGCCTCAGGCTCCTGGCGCTTCCTCTCGGACCTAGGCACACCTTTGGTCGGAGCTGACCTCATCCCCTCTGGCATTGATCCCACGCAGCTGAAGCCACGCTTCACCCCAGCACCTCTGTGTCCCCTGGTACTCCACCCCACAGCAGCCAAGGGAGGCAGTTTCCGGCCTGCCAGCCTCGGCCCTTCTCGTCTCTGACACCTGACCCTCCCGGGGGCTGAGACACAGAGGGCTGAGTTCCAAAGGCCCTTGTGCTGGGCAGGAGGCAGGACTGGGGCAGGGGGAGATACCGAGAGTCTCTAGGGACCAGCGCATAGCCCGTCCCAGCTGGGGCCACAGCCCCTGAAGCTGTTTGTCCTGCAGTCTCCGAGCTTTCAGGGCTGGGTGTCAGGGCCAGTGCTACTGCCTGGGAGCGAGTGAACGGGTTCCTCGCAGAGGTCCAAGGTCACTCCTGTGTGTCTCTCTGGCTCCCTTGCTCCCTGGCTGCTGTACACACTCACCCTCCTGTGCCCTTGGCCAGACAGACAGCCAGCTCCCGTTACTCTGTGCACACGGGCCCTGGAATCCAGGGCGCAGCTGATGGTGACCTGCTCCGCTCCCTAACTCCACTTCCCTTCCAGCCCCTGCTGGGCCCTGGGTTAAGTCGGGGGCAAGTCTCTGGGGGAGGTGGGCACAGCCTCCACTCCCAGACATGTCTGGGCTTTGTTCTCAGTGGTGGCCCAGTTCCCCAGATGACCTGGGTGAGGTTGATGAAGGGCCCTGGCCCCTCTTGGCTGGTGGAGGTGGCTCAGGGTCGGGTGGGATGGGTGGGGACCATGGCTTTCCCACAGGCCCAGCCATCCCTGGGACAGCCCTGGGACAGCCCTGGTGTCCTGATGCAGATGCTCACTGGGGACTGTGTGCCCCCTCACACCTTTCTGTGCTCTCTGCTGCTGCTCTGTCCTGTCCCCACCCCAGTTCCCGGGGCTGAGGAACAGGAGCACCGCAGACCTGGTAACTCTCTGCCATCGGATTCCCGGGCAAGGGCGCCTCTGAGCTCCCTGGGAGGCGAGCCAGGAGAATGCAGCCTGTTCGGGCTCTGGCTAACTCCGGAGCGGCTCCGATCTCTGGAGCTCCAGCTTGGCTTGTACCTCCTTGGAGGTGATGGCGTCAGAGGCAGGGACATGGGAGGGGCCCCAGCAGGGCAGAGCCAGAGGCAGTTCTGGGACTCAGGGGCTGCTGCGCCTTCTCTGCCAGGCCTAGAGCCGCTGCAGTGTAGAACAGAGAGAGCCCAGTGGGCACGGCCCAGCCCCTCTCCGCTGTGGGTGCCACAGGTGCTTGGCTGGGCAGACACTTGTGACTGGGGGCAGGTCACGGTGACCAGGCCCAAGCAGGCCCTGATGGCTTCAAACCCAGCAGAGCTTGAAGTGTCAGAAAATAAATCCACTGAGGTCAGCTGAAGCCATCCAGTTCTTGTGAACAGATTGAATCTTCCGAGTGACCGAGCCCCTAAAATATAGCCTGTCCCTGGCCCTGGGCCGGGCCGGGACCCAGAGCCGACCCATCAGCAACCACTGCTCCCGCTGACCCGAGGGTCCTCTGGGGTCCTGGTCCCAGGATGCTCGGGCCCTGCACGGGGGAAGCTCAGCCTGGGACGCTGTGACAGGCATCCCAGAGCAAGCCCAGCTGTCCACCCCACAGGCTGCCACCTCCCTGCAGGCCCAGGCCTAGGCCCCCAGCCAAGTCCGCTTCTTTCCCACACTGGCCAGAGGCTGACAGCTGGTTCTGGACTCCACGTGGGGATGGAGGCTGCGGAGTGTTCCCTGGGACAGGAAGCCACATGGGACCCTGTCTCTCCTCCAGGACCCCAGCCTGACAGGAGGTCTCAGTAGCCCCTCAGCTCCAGGGCACTCTGTCCTTGAGCGAGTGTGAGCAGGAGACAGCGGCTCAAACTCAAGAGGCTCAGGGTGCCCCCTCCTAGGTGCTGCCTGGGGTCGGCCTCCTCTCCCACCCTCTGGCAGAGGAGGAGCAGCCCCCGTCCACCCAGCCATGTCCAGAGCAGGCAGGAACGGTGGGGGCCTGTGCTTGCACGTAGAGGTCACCGGTCTGGGGCCAGTGTGCTCCCGGGAGTGGGGGAGACTGGGGCTGGGCCCTCCTTACCTGCATGGGGACTGGGCTGGGCCCTCCTTATCTGCATGGGCCGGAAGCACATGTTGGTGAGCACCTCCTTCCAGGCCAGTGAGTACTTGTCATCTCCAAATGTTTGGGTCAGGCTTTTCTAGAAGCAAATCCCAGAAACCTGTGTGACATGTGGTCCAGCTCGGGGAGCTGGTGGTCATCCGCTGAGCACCTCATGCCCGGCTCTGGGGGGAGGAGTTGGCTGTGGGGCTCAGCCCTGCCTCATCTCATGTGTTCCGCCAAGTCCCTGTCTTGCCCAGCACCCCCATGGTCTCCCCTGCACCAGTTGGTCTACACCGCCTTCTCCTCTGACTGGTTAGCTCCTGTGCTGGCTCTCCCAGAGGGGGACCCTGGAGAGCAGGGAAGCACCCATCTATTAAATAATTCACGGCAGCAGCCCCAGAGCTCAGCAGCCCACCCAATCCAGAGAAGGCACCGAGGAAAGATCTCTGCTGAATGACAGGATGCCTGGAATGCTCAGGCAGCCCAGGCTGTAAGAGGGCACCATGCTCGCCCAGGCCATAGGAACCCAGGGGGGCCCGGCCCAGGTCCTAGTCCGAGGACTCCCTGGGGCATGTGGCAGTGGTGAGTGGACTGAGGACCCCACAGGGCCAGGAGTGCTGGGCTCCCTTCTCCCTGGGGATGGTGCCTTGTTGGAGGGAAGCCTCCCGACAGGGTCTCTGAGGGTAGACAGGAGAGTCTGAGGCAGCAGGAGGGAAGGAGTCAGGGTGGGGTGAGACCCTGGAGTCACCCTTTCAGGGCCTGTTGCTCCAGCTTTGCTGTACTTGAGCGTTGTTAGACTCAACAGTCGCTGTGAATGAATGTGGCTCCCGATGGAAGGACTGAGCCGGCCAAGTCCCTCGAGATCCAGGCGCTGCTTTCCTGTTGCCCCTCCTCCCCCAACATGGCCAGCCAGGGGTCTCCCACACGTGTCCTGTGAGTCTCACTTCTGCCATCAATCCCATCCCCTTGCCCCGCTCCAAGTCTTCCCTGAATGTCAGACAGAATTCTCTTCCATGGGCATTTATAGCTAGGGTCACGTGTGTCACTGTCTAGTGCCATTGGAATCTTATTTAGATTTCATACTTACATCTTGTCAGCCCAAGAGGAGTCCCAGTTCCTGCTGGAAAATGGCTCATGTAATCTATCTTGGTTGGGTCATCATCACCGAAAAGCATCAGATGCATAGTTCATTCATTCATTTGTTCACTCATTCCACAAAGATTACCATGTGCCAAGCACGGTTCTGGACTTTCTCCCCACGCAGTCGGACAATCCTCCTGGGCAGGAGCACCTGGGCTGTTCCCTGGTGCCCCTTCCCCAGCCCAGTTGCAGGCCTGGGGGAAGAGGGACACCTGTAGCCTCCAGGCCGACCCTGGGTTGCATTTTGAAGTGTGGCCAGCAGGTGGCAGCATGCCCCCATACTGGGTCGCTCCGAGGCTGCAGGCTAAGGAGGCCACCAGGCGGGCAGGGTGAAAGAGCAGGGCTGTGCCGGGCGGCCCCGGTTTCTCCTCTGTGCCCATGCCCCACCCTATGGGTTTAGGAATTGAATATCTGGGGGCCTCTCAGGGCTGAGCCAGGCTCCTGCTCTCAGTTCCTGCAGGCGCTCTCCACATCCCTTCTCATGATCTTCAGTAAACACGAGGACAAGGACAGGAGGGAGGGGACAGGGAGAGGGTGGGGCCGCTGTGGAAGCCCCTGCCAAGACCACAGACCTCAGGCAAGCTGCTTCCCTGGCAACTCCACTACCTGCTCTCCCTGGACCCCAGCACAGTCCCAGGAGTCACCCCTGCCCTCAACAGTGAACAAGTGCACTCTTGGTGACCTTGAACGTGAAGCCTGGTGAGGCTATGGAGGAGAGGCCCACCTTGCCAGGGCCCTTGGTGTGGCTGAGTCTCTGCTTCCCTTGCCGTCTCAGCCTCTCCCTCCCTCTAGGGGGCTGGGGGTCGGGACAGCGCCTGTGGGGCTCTGGCCCAGCCAGTTGGGCCACATCAAGCAGGGACCCAGATAAAGGTCAAGGGCACTGAGGAGGGAGCTGGCACTGCAGAGAGTCCACTTCCCAGGCACAGCCTTGGCCATGATGTTTGAGGACAGCTGCAGGGGCTGTCTGGTGCCCTCATGTCCTTCTGATGCTGCAGGTAGCAGATGGGGGTGGAGAGAAGAGGTGAGCTATGAGCAAGAGTGAATGAAGGTGGGGCTGGCCCCTGGCTGTGGTGGTGACGCCCTGGGATGGCTGGAAGGGAGGTCCCCAGTGGAGTCTGGGGACAGGAAGGTGCAGGCCAAGCCCAGCTGCCAGCAGCCAGAGTTGCACCGAGTTCAGTATTCGCCATTGCAAATGGGACCTGGCACCACGGGTCAGAGAACTGAGCTGGACGGTGCAGGGTGGGTGGGGTAGGGAAGGTGGGAGTCAGGGCTCTCATCTGCGGCCAGCACAGGCTCCACAGTCCCCCACCCTGTCAATTCCCTGGTGGGCCAGCAGGTGGCGCCCAGCCTCTTCCTCCCCAAGGTCCTGGGATGGGGAGGCTCCAGCTTAGAGCCTAGGCGCTCCTATGGGAACCCAGGGCCAGAGATGGAGGCTGTGACAGTGACCTGGTCAGCAGGGCCCTCTACTCTGACCTCCTCCCTCCCTCTCCTGGGGAGCAGTGCTAGGTGCACAGCCTAGGCAGCCAAACCTCCGAAACGCCCCAAGCTATCCTGGGTGGTCAGGCCGCGCCGCTCCACACTCTGGGCCACGGGAGCCCCGAAGGAATGGAGTGGGCACTGGGGCCGCTGGACGGGAGGGTGCCCTGCCCCCTGCCCTGGCTTCAGACCTTCCTCCTCTGATGTGGGCACCGGCCCTAGTGCCAACCCGCTCCTCCCAGCACCAGGGGCACAGGCATGAGATCACTGGGCCCTGCTGGGAATGGGGCGCTGGAGCTCAGGGACTGCCTGACAACTGCTCTCCGAGGGGCTGGGAATGGCTGCCAGCCAGCATCACCTTCCAGAACAGCAAGCCAAGGCCTCGGAGACGGGGGCCTCGGTCCCAGACCTGGCATCGACCAAGCTTCTGGAGCTTGTGCCACCAGAGTCCCACGACTCTGGAGGTCTGGGGTGGGGCTGTGGTGTGACAGTGGCTGCAGGGCCAGGACCCCAGCTCCTCAGCACTCACTCCCAGCACCCCTCCTCCCTGGGTCTGTGCCTCCCCGGGGCAGGAGGGGATGGGGAAGGATAGGGCAGGTGTGAGGCTCAGCGAGCCCCTCACACGCTGTGGCAGACAGCAGAGAAAGGCCACCAGCCCCCCGCACACGGTACACACTCCCCACAGCAAGGGTGACACTGGTAGAGACAGAGGTTCCCACAGTGCACAAACGTTCCTCTAAAGAAAAAGCAACAACATCAATATATGAAACGCAGGGCTCTTCATGCGTTTACGACAGGGCGTCCTTCACCCTGAAGGTGCCGGCGAGCATCAAGACTGCAGAGCCAGCCACTGGGTGCCGCATTCCTGCTGGCTCAGGTGGGACCTGTTTCTGTTGCATCTTAAAGGACGATGCTGGGAAAGGCTGCTCTCGCCCTGGCAGGGCTTAGAGGTGATGAGATGAGAAAGGGGTGAAGCCATCTGCGCTTCAGAGGAAGCCTGCCTTCCCTGATCACGGAGGAACCAGATCTGAATGTTTCTCTGCTCAACTGGGAGATTGGGACTCGATTTTGACATTCAGGGATCTGGGGCATCTGTGGCCAGGAAAGACCTGTCTGGGGGAGGGGTGGAGGGGCGTCCTTCACCTCTCATGGCCCTGCCATTGAGAGAGGGGCTTCTCCTCAGTGGCTCGCATGGAACACCAGCATCAACATCAATCCCATGAAACATGCGCTCTTCATGCGTTTATGATCGGGTCTCCTTTGCCTTTAAGGTTCCAGCAAGCATCGGGCCTGTGCAGAGGCAGCACTGGGTGCCGCGTTCCTGCTGTCTCAAGTGGGACCTGTTGCTGTCACATCTTAAAGGACGATGCTGGAACGCCAGCCCTGCCACTCTCACTGCGTGATTTCAAACTTTTTTTTTTTTTAATTTTGAGACAAGGTCTTGCTCTGTTGCCCAGGTTGGAGTGCAGTGGCATGACCTCGGGTCACTGTAGCCTCCACCTCCCTGGTGGCCCAAGTGATCCTGATCTTCCCATCTCAGCATCCAAGTAGCTGGGACCACAGGCGCGCACCACCTTGCCCAGCTAATTTTGTCTATAGAGAGGAGGTCTCACTATGTTGCCCAGGCTGGTCTCCAACTCTTGGGCTGAAGCGATCCTCCTGCCTCTGCCTCCCAAAGTGCTGGGATTACAGGCATGAGAGACCATGCCTTGCCAGATAAATTAGTTAAGCTTTCAGAATCTCCATTTCTTTCAAAGCCTGTAAAATAGGGAAGCAATGTGCCAGTGCCTGGCCTTGAAAAAAAAATAAGACATCATTGTAACACGTCCTATGTTGTGACTGGCATGGTTGCCCCAACTCTAGGAATTGGGCTAAACACGCAGCTACATTTCTAGAAGCTTCTCCTGGCCTCCCTCTGACAAGGGCACCAGTCTTGTCCCAGCCTCCGTCTCTTTTACCAGGTGGCCTCCCTAGTCATGCTCTGCTCTGCGGCCTTCACGCCAAAGCTGGTCCCATCCCTCTGCTGGAAGGGCCCTCTGCGGCTCCCCCGTCATGGGCTCAGTCCTACCTCCAGGGAATGAGGTTCTGCGTCCAGCTCCCCTCCCCTTCCACACGCCCAGCAGTGAGCATCATCGTCCTTCGCCCTCCCTCCACCCATCTCCTGCCACCTGCTTCTTGACATCCCATTCAGAGCCCATCCCAGCACTCAGCCGCCATGTCTGTGACAGCCTCTTTGAACACAGGGGCCATTTCCTTCCATGCCGTGTCGTAGACTCCGGTCCCACTCTAGATGCCAAGTGCATCTGCACAGAATGAAGGACTCTAAGATGGGGCATGCCAGGCTCCAATTCAGGAGCTGAGAAGGCTGGGTCCCTGCCCCAGTGCCCTGTTCTGCTGGGCACACAGCTCTGGGCTGCGTGTTTCTGATGATGATGCTTGCTGCTGGGCGTGTGGATACTGTCAAGCTCCGCCTGAGGGAGCTCATTCCCAAGCAGGCCAGAGGCAGCCAGGGCCCTGTCCTCTCTCCTCCCTGCTCCCCACGGGTGGACCGAGCACCACCCTTGGGCTCAGACAAGACGGTGGCGACATCCCAGCATGGCATCCCTCCTCCTTCAGAGCTAGGCTTTGCTAGTGTCCTTGTGTCCTCACTCTCTTTTGCATCCTCAAGGCTCCCCTAAGTGGCTGCGGTCACCAAACTGTGCCCTTGGAGCAGCACCGGGAGAAGGAGAACAGGCAGCCCCTGCCCCTGCAGCTGCCCCGCGTGGTGCCACCCACATGCTCGTCCCTTTCCAGGCCCCTGCAGCCCAGGCTGTTCCATCTCTTTCTGTGTGGGTCAAAGCCTAAGGTGTAAAAAATAAAAAAATAAATAAAAAATAAAAGACTGGCCACACACAGTCTCCCCACCCCCAGGCCGCGGTCTGCACTGCTGCACCAGAGGGCCTTGGCCCTAACTTCCTGGAGCCTCAACAGCAGAGGTGCATTCCTGAGTGCCAGACTAATTCCAAGAGATGGTGAGAAAGGACTGTTTTATAGGAAAGGGGTGAGATAGCAAAGTCACGGAGGCAAAACAAAACAAAAACAAACAAACAAAACAGGCTGGGCACAGTGGCTCACACCTATAATCCCAGCACTTTGGGAGGCCCAGGTGGGTGGGTCACCTGAGGTCAGGAGTATCGAGACCAGCCTGGCCAACATGGTGAAACTCCCGTCTCTACTAAAAATACAAAAATTAGCTGGGCATGGTGGTGGGCGCCTATAATCCCAGCTAGTTGGGAGGCTGAGGCGAGAGAATTGCTTGAACCCGGGAGGTGGAGGCTGCGGTGAGCCGAGATTGCACCATCACACTCCAGCCTGGGCAACAAGAGCGAAACTCCCTCTCAAAAAAACAAACAAATAAAGAAAAGCATCAGGTTAGTTTGGAAAATAAGAAGTCAAGGGCAGACTGTGTCAAGGGGAGACTGAAGGGCTGCGCCAGGAGGGGTACAGGGACAGCCTGGTGCCTGTCACACTCTACAACCGGCACCTTTTCTGGGAGCTGGGGAAGGCTGTTGGAACAAGGGAAGGACTTTGCACGGGGACCTTAAGCAGGACACAGTGAGGGACGGAGGCTGGACCAGAGGCAGGGCATGGCTGGGATGAAAGCTGAGCAGCCCAAGGCTCCCAAGAAGCAGCCCCAGGAAGCAAAAAAGAGCAGGGTAATCCCAGCACTTGGGAGGCCAAGGCGGGCAGACCACCTGAGGTCAGGAGTTCGAGACCAGCCTGGCCAACATGGTGAAACCCTGTCTCTACTAAAAATACAAAAATTAGCTAGGCATGGTGGCGGGTGCCTGTAATCCCAGCTACTCGGGAGGCTGAGGTAAGAGAATCACTTGAACCTGGAAGCCAGAGCTTGCAGTGAGCCAGGATTGTGCCACTGCAGTCCAGCCTGGGTGGCAGAGTGATACTTCATTTCAAAAAAGAAAAGAAAGAGCAAGGCTGGAGACTGGGGGCCACAAGGGCGCCCTCTTCCCAACTGGGCACAGCGGGGCAGGAGCTGATAAGCTCCCAGGCAGAGGCAGTAGGAAGTGGCCGAGAAGCAGCTCTGGGACTTCAGAGGAGCCTGCGGGTTGTCCCCAGTGTGAGAGCTGCCAAGAAGAGCAGGGGCTTGCACAGGGCCCTTGGATTTGGCCAGAAGGAGTAAGTCACAGTGGCAGTGCGGCTGGAGAGGCTGGTTCAGAAACCCAAGAGGACGGAGGGAGGGAGACTGGCAGGTGTGGACAGTTCCCCACCAGGTTGCTGCTGATGGGGCCGGAGTTGGCCTGGGGGAGATGCGGGGTGTCTGTCTGCTTCCTGCTTGCTGTCTGAAGCATCCCAAAGGCCGGAATGTATCTGCAGAGGAGCTCACAGAGGGAAAGACCCCAGGAGAGCAGCCAGCTTATGGGACAGCCCGCAGGGCCCAGGGCAGGAGGAAGGAGCTCAGGGTGGAAGCCTGAGGTCCTGTCCTGGGGAGGGCAACTGGCCAGCTCCCAGGACGGAGCACCGCTGTGGTGTTGGGGGAGATGAGGAGGCCTGTCTGGGTGGGTCCTGAGGCCAGCCCCTGCTCAGTGTCCACAGCTCTGTCCTGACCATGGTCCCTGCAGAAAGGGTGGGTGCAGTCAGATGCCGCTTCCTTACAGCATCCTGGAGGCACTGAGGAGTGTCGCCCAAGCCATGTGACAGTGGCCAAGAGATGAAGGACCTTGCCCAGATCAGACAGTCAGTCAGGGGCACAGAGGGCTGGACCCCACCTCCCTGGGCCCCTTGACCAGCGCCCTGCGGGCCCAGGTCAGACACTTGCCCTGACAGCCCTAGCATGGAGGAAACAGGCTGGAGGCCAGACAGGTGACCCTGGAGCTCAGGTCAGAGGACTGCACCCCTGGATCTATCTTTTCCAGTCTACTGGGCACAGCAGAGAGGAGAAAGCAGAGAGCATGGCCACCCCACAAAGTGGGGTTCAGGTTCCATCAGCTCAGCTCTGGCCTGGCCACACCCCAGCTGCCTCCTGTCCCCTCCCTGAGGACTCCATGGCTCCAGAGGAGTCGAGGGAGACTGGGCCGGCAGTGGGTCTCTCCTCAGGCCCAGGCACGTTGCTAAGGCAGGGCCCAATCTCCTGACCTAGACTGCTCGGGCCTGGCCCTCAGACTCTCGGCTCCTCTGCACTTGGCCTCTCAACCCTGCCTGGCAAGGAGGACGTGTCTCCAAGGCTGTCCTGTTTCAGATCCACGCACCTGCTGAAGTGCTGAGAAACTCACCTCACCCCTTCCCCACACAGGACACTCAGAGAGTGGCTTTGGAAATGAGCGGGAGCCGGGGCAGAGGAGCAGGACCAGTGCCCAAAGCTGAAAATGTGTCCATTTTCAAAGGCCAAAGGCAAATGTGGGACAGAAACAGCCTCTTCTGCCCTCAGCCACCAGGGCCCTTGTCACGCTCTGTGGGAGGCTCCTGCTAATGGAATGAGGCCACTCACAGAGCTTGTTCAATTAGCTCTTGCTGAAAACTGCTAACGTGGCTTTGATAAGAATTGCTCCCAGCCAATTTCAGCCTCATTTCTTCTGCAGACCAAATTTTCCACACTTGAGCACATGCTCCCTGTAAGCTCCAGAGCCCTGGGCTCTGCCGAGGCCATGAAGGCAGCTGCTGGGCCTGTCTCAGAAGCTGTGTACCCAACCATGGCCCGTTCTCCATGGCCGGGCAGCCCATGGGGTGCAGGTGACGGCCACCTTTACGTAGAACCTGCTGTGTTCTTAGCAGCTGGAAATTGAGTGTAGTGTGGTGGGAACCGCAGGGCCCCGGGAGGCAGGGGTCTACGGAGCACTGAATTGCAGGCTGCTGGGGAGGGAAAGTGGAAGAGATCTTGGTGGCAGCTCTGTTCCAGGCCAGGCCGGGTGGGGCTGGGTGCCTGGGAGCTGGAAAGTGGAGGCCTGGAGAAAGGGAGCCGCAGGCAGAGCACCTTGCCTGGGTCGGGGAGGGGGATGGGGAGAAAGTGCAGCTGCTTGACTGATGGACCCCCACCCACAGCTGGCCATGCACCCTGCTGCCAGTCTCCAGCAGAGGGTGCCGTGGCCTCTGGGTGGCCCACCAGTCACAGCTCGTGCCTCTCGCTGACCCCTCTCCTCCTGGGCACACTGCAACCTCCTGAATGCACTGGACGTTTCCATGAAACCACAGGGAAATGAATGGGGCCCAGTTCACAGGCATGGAAAAGCCCAGAGGAGAAGGCCTCTGGAGCCAAACATCACATGCTGCAGGGGAGGCCAGAGCCAGGTTTCCTAGGCTGGGAGGCTCAGTCCACAGCAGGGCCTTGTCACTACCATCATCCTGCTCCTGACTGCCGAGGGCGCCTCCTCCCCTCTGCCAGGATCACAGCAGCTGCAGAGCCCAGGGTCACCCATCTGAACCTGGCTCTCCACCTGCCCGGCCACCCCCCAGGGACAGAGCCTTTCCCCTGGTCTGCTCCCTGCCCCTAGGCCCTGAGGCTGGTCACAGGCACAGGCGCACACGCATGGGCCCCTGCAGCCACCGCCTGGCTGGGCTGGGACACTGTTGCCACCTTAGAAGCCTTGCTTCCAGGCCCCCACTTTGCCTCTGCCTCTGTCCCGCTGCAGTTGGATGAGGGCAGAAGCAGCACTCAGGCCTGCGGCACGGCCTCCCTGATAAGGCTGCCCCCTCCTGGTTGCCTCGGGCTCAGGCCCTTTCCTGTCTGAGTCGCCCAGGGCTGAGCAGGGTTGCTTTTCCTGCTCTTGGTTTCCCGTCACTGCTGAAGGCGCCCTGTGCAGCCTCTCCTTTGCTGACGCTCCTCCCACCCCACAGAGACGCACTGGGCTCCTGGGTCAGGAGGGCAGGGCAGAGTGGGCCACGGGCCATGGCAGCAGTGGGATGGGGAAGGCCCCTGCCCCTCAGATGCCTTGGCCCACGTGACATCATGGCCCCTGGGTGCTGGGCCTCAGGTGAGCCTCTTTCTAGACTGTTCCAAGAGGGAGTTTTTGTGCTGAGCTCGGAGCTGGGCAATGAATCCAGGCATCCGCCATGTTTTCCCTGGTGAGCTCCATACAGTCGGAGAAACCTCAAGAAGTCCCCAGGTCAGTCCCTCGCCCAGGCCTGAGTGCGGCCCGGGGTCCTTAGCAGGCTGGCGCTCTGCTGGTCCTTGGCTGTCACACTGAAGGCTCCCTGGCTTGTGCAGGCTCTCACTGGCCTGTTCCTGGCCTCAGCCCTGCTCCCTTACCCGGCAGGAGGAGATCGGTGCCTCTGTTCTTCAGGGACCCCTTGGGGCCTCCTCATGGGTGACAGGCACCTAGACCTTTAAGAACCCCTGGATTCCCATGCTGCCCCCTCTGCTCCCAACACCCAAGCCCACCTTCTCCACTCAGCTCCCCGTGGGGCTGTACAGGCTAAGTTCAGCCCAGTCCTAGGCATCCTCCAGGTACTGACTCACGGAGCTCCACAGCAGCGTCATGCAGTAGGGGCTATAATCACCCCCTTTACAGATGGGCAAACTGAGGCACAGTGAGGTCCCCTTGAGGAGCGAGCCCTGTGTGTTTTGGGTGTGCACATGTGTGTATACACATGTATATGCATGTGTGTGTGCATATCTGTGTGCATGTGTGCATATCTGTGTGCATGTGTGCATGCACGTGTGTGTATGCATGTGTGTGTGCATGTGTATATGCATCTGTTTGTGTGTATGCACAGGGGGCGGGGGCTGAGGCCCTGCTCTGTGCCAGACTTGCTGCCACTTGGGATTTTCACAGCATGGCCTTATACAAACCCTGCAACAGCCCTAAGAGGTTGGTTGGTCCTGTTATTATTCCCATGTTACAGATGAGAAAACTGAGGCCCAGAGACAAGAAGGGCTCCAGCAGGGTCACTCAGCAGGTGTTGGGGGAGAGGACTCACTCCCTGCTCTGGGATTCCACTGGCCTCCATGGGGCCCTGTTCCCAGGTGTCCCAGTGGCCCCAAACACTCCATGAGCCTTGATCCTGCAGTCCCTGTCCATGTCACTGTCTCCTAGCCCTGCCCTGTGGGGTTCCCTCTCTTTAGGAACAAAGCGGGTCCCCTTTTATTTTTTTTTGAGACCGTGTTTCACTCTTTGTTGCCCAGGCTGGAGGGCAGTGGCACGATCTCGGCTCACTGCAACCTCTGCCTCCTGGGTTCAAGCAATTCTCCTTTCTCAGCCTCCCGAGTAGCTGGGATTACAAGCGCCCGCCACCACGCCCGGCTAATTTTTTGTATTTTTAGTAGAGACGGGGTTTCACTGTGTTAGCCAGGCTGGTCTCGATCTCCTGACCGCAGGTGATCCACCCACCTTGGCCTCCCAAAGGCGGGTCCCATTTTTAAGAATTCCACAGAAGGCTGGGCGCAGTGGCTCACGCCTGTAATCCCAGCACTTTGGGATTACAGACCTTGTCTGAAAAAAAACAAAACAAAACAGGAATCTCAGATTATCAAACCTCTTGAGGCTAGGAAGCCAAACCAAGACAGACTTTAGATTTTTTTCTGCAGTCTGAAGTTTCCTGGGCCTGCCAGGAAGTGACAATTTTTAGTTGCTCACTGTAAGGCTGGGAACCCCAGAAGCCAGGCATTCTATGCATATTCACAAATATATTGCAATCAAAGCTTTGGTAATATAGCCAATGTTTCCAATTGTATCCTATATAAAAAGAGAGCAAATTCTTAAACTTCAAATAACCATGTTGTCATAAGAATACTCATGAATAGTGTCTGAATTTTGGAGGGATCCACTCTTGCCTGGATGACAGACCAAGACCCTGTCTCAGGAAAAAAAAAAAAAAAATGAAAGCTTCAGTTTAGATGGCTGTTAAACACAGAAGTAAAAATTAATGCTTCTTGTGGATTTACTAAAAGCAGATTTAGACTGGGCGCGGTGGCTCCTACCTGTAATCCCAGCACTGTGGGAGACTGAGGCAGGCAGATCACCTGAGCTCAGGAGTTCGAGACCAGCCTGGCCAACATGGTGAAACCCCATCTCCACCAAAAACACAAAAATTAGCTGCGTGTGGTGGCACGTGCCTGTAATCCCAGCTACCCGAGGCTGAGGCAGGAGAATCACTGGAACCGGGAGGCAGAGTTTGCAGTGAGCTGAGATTGCGCCACTGCACTCCAGCCTGGGCAACAGAGCAAGACTCTGTCTCAAAAATAAATAAATAAAAATAAAAGCAGATCTATATTTCAAGGATATCTTGTGGTACTAACATAGGGGACCAAATTTTTAGTTTTTAAATCAGCGTAGGTTTGTTTTGTTTGTTTTTTACTTCTCCTAGAGCCTTCAGATGAGAATACCAGTGTAGTTTTAATATGAAAGCTCCATCTTTAGAAAGACTCGTGAATAATTTCCTTCTAATTTTAGCCAACTTGATCACATACAAAAATTCCTTTCCCAAATTCATCCTTCCCAAAAAAATGGGAAGACATTATATGTGTCTCTGCTAGATGTTTCAAGGTCATAAAACTATAAACCCAACCTAAAAACAGTAATCTTTGTTCATGTAGTTCTTTGATAAATAAAACTAGTTGAGTATTGCTGGTTTATTGAAAGCAGCTCTGTTTTATACATATACATACATATATACATAGTAATGAACCAAATACCTTTTAGTTCATGTGATTTAACTACATCTCTGATAAATAAGCTGGTTTTAAATTGGTTGATAAAATAGAAATACCTCAAGCATTTCCTTTTTTTTTTTTTTTTTTTGAGACAGAGTCTCTCTCTGTTGCCCAGGCTGGAGTGCAGTGGCACGATCTGGGCTCACCGCACACACCTTTCATGACTTAGCACTTCTATGACATGCTTAGGCCTCTGCTTTAACCTAAACTTCCCCTTTCTTAGCTAACAAGTCATTTTACTTTAGGACACAAAAACTTACAAGATCCTTTCTCATTCCAAATTATTCTTTTTTCTTTTAACTGTACTTATCAAAAATATATCTTCATACCTTTCTTCACATTTCTGTCCTACTTACGGGTTCCTTTCTATCCTGTTTTTATTTCTTTCATAAATCCATATTTTGGATTTATGAAAACACATTTTGGCCAGGTGGAGTGGATCACACCTGCAATCTCAACACTTTGGGAGGTGACCACTTGAGCCTAGAAATTCGAGACCAGGCTGGGCAGCGTAGCAGGATCCTATTTCTATTTTTTTTTTAATTAAAAAAAAGTTAAAATAATTTTTAAATATACAAAAAACTCAAATAAAACAAAAACATGTTTTTACACATTTTAAATAGTTTTTCTCATCAAACATACATATTCTGTACACTTTGTCTACAGAATTGTATAAATTAATTAGAATTTTTAATTCTTAGCAACCTTAATTTGTAGTGAAAACCTAGGAAGCAAAAAATGTTTAAATGACTGTCACATATTAGTATTTTACAGATGGGAACCATTTATAATTTTAGAAACATGTTTCCCCATTGCATAATTTTTATGTGTATTAACCCCTATAAATTTGGTAGTTCCATAAAACTGAAGAAGCCAATGGTGGCTCACGCCTGTAATCCCAGCACTTTGGGAGGCCGAGGCAGGTGGATCACGAGGTCAGGAGATTGAGACCATCCTGACTAACATGGTGAAACCCTGTTTCTACTAAAAATACAAAAAATTAGCCGGGTGTGGTGACGGGCACCTGTAGTCCCAGCTACTCCGGAGACTGAGGCAGGAGAATGGCGCGAACCCGGGAGGCAGAGCTTGCAGTGAGCCAAGATCGCGCCACTGCACTCCAGCCTGGGCGACAGAGCAAGACTTGGTCTCAGAAAAAAAAAAAAAAGAAGAAGCCAAAAACAAACATATTTGTGTTCAGCAATTTATGTTTTTGTGTTTTCTCTTACTTGGAAATGACCAATATATTTAATGAGTATCTGTCAGTTAAGGTAGCATAACATGACTTTAAGATTTCAAAGTCTGGCCAGGCACAGTGGCTCATGCCTGTAATCCCAGCACTTTGGGAGGCTGAGGTGGAGGACTGCTTGAGACCAGGAGTTCGAGAGCAGCCTGGCCAACATGGTGAAACCCCGTCTCTACCAATAATACAAAAAGTAGCTGCGTGTGGTGGCGCATGCCTGTAATCCCAGCTACTCAAGAGGCTGAGGCATGAGAATCATTTGAACGCGGGAGGTGGAGATTGCAGTGAGCCGAGATCACACCACTGCACTCCAGCCTGGGCGACAGAGGAGACTCTGTCTCAAAAAAAAAGAAAAAAAGATTTCAAATTCTATGAAAAGCTCATTTATAGACATTCATCCTATTTACATTTACCTAATTTATATTTTTAACAATTATACCTCCACTAATTATGAATACTGAGATATTACACAAAGCTAGTACTCATTTCCGGGTATTTTCTTGTTCACTATTTTCATAGCCTGTGACTCTCAGGTGTTCACTTAAGAAGCTTAAAGTTAAATACATGGATATTTTGCCAGTAACTCCTAAGACAGAGCTGTTTACATTAAACCAGCAATACTAAATTAGTTTTATTTATCAAAGAACTACACAAACAAAGATCACTGTTTTTAGGTTGGGTTTAAAGTTTTTCTATGACCTTAGGCCAGGCGCAGTGGCTCACGCCTGTAATCTGAGCACTTTGGGAGGCCGAGGTGGGCAGATCACTTGAGGTCAGGAGTTCGAGACCGGCCTGGCTAACATGGTGAAACCCCGTCGCTAATAAAAATGCAAAAATTAGCAGGGCATGATGGCACATGTCTGTAATCCCAGCTACTCAGGACGCTGAGGCAGGAAAATCACTTGAACCCTGGAGGTGGAGGTTGCAGTGAGCTGAGATTACACCACTGCACTCCAGCCTGGGTGACAGAGTGAGACTCCGTCTCACAAAAAATAAAAAATAAAATACAGTTTTAGGACCTTGAAGCATCTAGCAGAGACACGTATGATCCTAACTGACCCACAAACCGAGGGGAAAATGTACACTGCAAATGCTAAAGATGGACGTGCGTGGTGGCTCACGCCTGTAATCCCAGCACTCTGGGAGGCCGAGGCGGGTGGATCACTTGAGGCCAGGCATTTGATTAAATTAATTTTAATTTTAATTTTAATGTTTTTTGTCTTGAGGCCAGAAGTTTGAGACCAGCCTGGCCAACATGGCAAAACCCATTCTTTACTAAAAATACAAAAAAAATTAGCTAGGAGTGGTGATGAGCACCTATAGTACCATCTACTCAGGAGGTTGAGGCATGAGAACCACCTGAACCTGGGAGGTGGAGGTTGCAGTGAGCTGAGATTGCACCACTGCACTCCAGCCTGGGTGATAGAGAGAGGCTCTGAGAGAGAAAAAAAAAAAAAAAAAAAAAAAAAAAAAAAAAAAAAAGAAGGAAGGAAGGGAGGGAGGGAGGGAGGAAGAGAGAGGGAAGAAATGAAGAAAGAAAAGAAAATGCTAAAGATATTTCTATTTTTATTTTATCAACAAATTTAAAACCAGCTTATTTATCAAAGATGTAGTTAAATCGCATGAACTAAAAGGTATTTGGGTTAATTACTATGTTATATATGTATGTATATGTAATATGTATACATGTATTTATATATGTATGTATCTACACAGGTGTGTGTGCATATATATATATATATATATATATATATATATTTTTTTTTTTTTTTTTTTTTTTGAGATGGGGTCTCACTCTGTCACCCGGGCTGGAGTGCAGTGGTACAATCACAGCCCATGGAAGCTTCTACTTTCCAAGTTAAAGTGATTCTCCTGCCTCAGCCTCCCTAGTAGCTGGGACTACAGGCACACACCACCATGCCTGGCTAATTCTTGTATTTTTTTTATAGAGATGGGGTTTTGCCATGTTGCCCAGGCTTATCTCGAACTCCAGCTACTGGGCTCAAGCAGTCCACCGACCTCAGCCTCCCCAAGTGGTGGGACTAAAGATGTTTGACACCGCACCCAGCCTATATACATATTTTTTTTAGAGATGGGGTCTTGCTATGTCACTCAGGCTGTCCTTGAACTCCTGGGCTCAAGTAATCCTTCTGCCTTAGCCCCCTGAGTAGCTGGGAATACAGGCATGCTCCACCATGCCCTGCTCACTATATATTTTAACAAGTTTAATTAATCTAAGTTAAACTGAATAGAATTCCTTAAGGAATTTCTGGCCTATTGTGCCAGATTTCAAATTGGAGACATAACATACAACATGCAAAAACATACATAAACATAGATACACACAAATAAGACCTTATGGCTTTAATTTGAGCGTTTCGGTCATGAGACAGCAAAACATACTAATACAGACTCACAGGTTTATAAGACACAGTAGGATCCAAATGAGATTTCTGAGAAAATGGGAGAGGTCTCAAAGCTAAACTTTAAGATTTGCATTTGTCTTTATGAGCAATCTTATGAGGGCTGTGAACCAAAATTTTGGGTAAAGCAGTTTGGTTTTCTTTTTTGTTTGTCTTTAATTTTTATTTCTTCGATCGTACCTTTTCCCTTTTTCAGTTTCAAATGAGTTTAGGGGTTAAATATTAAATGTTTATATTTTAACTAGGACTGCCTGGATTTTATTAGAGAAAGAAAATCACCAAGCAGTTTTGAAGTCCATAACTAATTGCTTTTGTTTGCCACTCTTATTTGCTTGACAGTTCCACGCAGGTAGGGAAGCATTTTAGCAGGTTTTTTTTTTTTAGTTCTTCTGGCCCTGTGTAGCAGACAAAGCAATTTTTATGCTGGGCAGAAATCCTTTTTATTATTGCTCTGAGCTCACAATTTTGACCTCTTTGATCTGAGAGCCTAATTTTTATAAACATTTCTCTCATTCTATTCTTTCTAATAGCAGTCCTTCCATGGACTGGTCCATCACCCAAAGCAACTGTTAGACAGGTAAACCTAAATTTACATTTCCAAAAGGCGTCTAGGTTGTGGGTTGGCCATGGAGCTGTTGTAATTTGTAGAACCATTAATTTGAAAACCTTTTAAGACCTCTTCCTTATTGGTTTTTATCTTGGCTGGAATGTGATATTGTGGGTTTATCTTAATACCAGCAGAAATGTCAGCAGATTTCAAGTAGGCAGAAAAAAGAGAGAGAGAAGTAGAGAACTTAGAAGGCTCTCCATTTAACTCTGTAGTTGGCAATTTTAAAATTCAGTATAAGGAAAAAACAAACTTGGGGAGTTCAAATGATTCCTATCGTGCCACTGATTTTAAAATGTACATGAGGAAAAGCCATGTAGCTGGCTGTTAATGTTTGAGAATGCCATTCCCTTTCTTATTAATCTCGAGAGCAAAGAAAATCCTATAAATCCTGGAGTTTGCACAAGTATTTAGAGGTAGTGATGCCCTAGTTTCTTTTAATTGGCTATCTCATACCCATCTTTTTAAATTGTTTTGTTGTTGTCGTTGTTGAGACAGGGTCTCATTCTGTCAACCAGGCTGGAGTGCAGTGGTGTGATCACAGCTCAATATGACCTCCACCTCTCAGATTCAAGCAATTCTTATGCCTCAGCCTCCTGAGCTCAAGCAATGCCCCCTACCTCGGCCTCCCTAGTAGCTGGGCCTACAGGCATGGACCAACATGACTGGCTAATCTTTGTATTTTTTGTAGAGACAGGGTTTTGTAATGTTGCCCAGGCTGGTCTTGAACTCCTGAGCTCAAGCCATCCTCCCACCTTGGCCTTCCAAAGTGCTGGGATTATAGGCGGGAGCCATTGTGCCAGGCCTGCACTCGACATTTATTTATTTATTTATTTTTAAATGTTTCCTATGGTACCAAATCATTTATGTTTATTTTTGCTATCAGATGATCAGAAGATGTTCACAAGCATGAAAAAAAATGAACCAAATCATTTACAGACGTGGGAAACCAAACCAAAATCAGAGTGCTCACAAAATTTCAACCAAGGTGTGCACATCAAACAAAATATTCAGCCAGGCATGCAGAAACAAAAGTGAATTCACCAGAAAAGTCTTGCCGCCTAGACAGAAAATAAATTCTGTAGAAACCAGAGCCCTCAAACCAGAAGGGCACTTCTGTTTATACCAGAAAGTGCTTGCTAAAAGCAAAGAAGCAAATAAAAAAACAAAACTGGCTGGGCACAGTGGCTCACCCATGTAATCCCATCACTTTGGGAGGCGAGGTGGGCAGATCACTTGAGGTCAAGAGTTCAAGATCAGCCTGGCCAACGTGGTGCAATCCAGTCTCTACCAGAATACAAAAATTAGCCGGACATGGTGGTGCACGCTTGTAGTCTCAGCTACTAGGGAGGCTGAGGCACAAGAATCGCTTGAACCTGGGAGGAAGAGGTTGCAGTGAGCCGTGATCCTGCCAAGCACTCCAGCCTGGGCAACAGAGCAGGACTCTGTTGGGTGACCGAGCAAGACTGCCTCACACACACACACCCCAACCAAAAACAAAACTCCAACCTCTATACTCCCAAGAAGGATGCAAGGTCCTTTGTTTAAGGGAGGCTTATAACCAAAAAAGATCCAGGATAAAGTAAAAAGGAACTGACTAAAGGGAGGGAGTCTGAGTATTCGAGGAGATTCACCAGAACATGAAGGGGTGGGTTGCCCCTCCACACCTGTGGGTGTTTCTCGTTAGGTGGAACGAGAGACTTGGAAAAGAAAGAGACACAAAGTATAGAGAAAGACAAAAGGGGGCCCAGGGAACCGGCGTTCAGCATATGGAGGATCCCACCGGCCTCTGAGTTCCCTTAGTATTTATTGATCATTATTGGGTGTTTCTTGGAGAGGGGGATGTGGCAGGGTCATAGGATAATAGTGGAGAGAAGGTCAGCAGGTAAACACGTGAACAAAGGTCTCTGCATCATAAACAAGGTAAAGAATTAAGTGCTGTGCTTTTGTTGTGCATATACATAAACATCTCAATGCCTTAAGGAGCAGTATTGCTGCCAGCATGTCCCACCTACAGCCCTAAGGCGGTTTTCCCCTATCTCAGTAGATGGATATACAATCGGCTTTACACTGAGACATTCCATCGCCCAGGGACGAGCAGGAGACAGAAGCCTTCCTCTTACCTCAACTGCAAAGAGGCGTTCCTTCCTCTTTTACTAATCCTCCTCAGCACAGACCCTTTACAGGTGTCGGGCTGGGGGACGGTCAGGTCTTTCCCTTCCCATGAGGCCATATTTCAGACTATCACATGGGGAGAAACCTTGGACAATACCTGGCTTTCCTAGGCAGTGGTCCCTGCAGTCTTCCGCATGTGTCTCTGGGTACTTGAGATTAGGGAGTGGCTTGAGATTAGGGAGTGGTGATGACTCTTAACAAGCATGCTGCCTTCAAGCATTTGTTTAACAAAGCACATCCTGCACAGCCCTTAATCCATTTAACCCTGAGGTGACACAGCACGTGTTTCAGGGAGCACAGGGTTGGGGGTAGGGTTACAGATTAACAGCATCTCAAGGCAGAAGAATTTTTCTTAGTACAGAACAAAATGGAGTCTCCTATGGCTACTTCTTTCTACGCAGACACAGTAACAATCTGATCTCTCTTTCTTTTCCCCACAAGAACAGAAAAGCAACTCCTGGAAAGGCAGTCTGCAGAGGGCTCAGTCAATGCAGTGTTAGATTCCAGGAGACACTGATTCATCCAAGATGAGTTCACTTCAGTCCCACTTCTGACACCACTATGTGACATTGCATAACAGATACAGGAAGACCCTAAAATAAAATGAACTTTCTTTGGAAATAGGTACTGCAATGGGAATAAGCAGGCCAGAGGAAACTATGTGTGAATTTAGAAAGGTGAAGGAAGACAAAGGTTTTTAAAGAAAAAAGGAGGAGGATCACAGGATTGTTTTGAGATATTCATCCTTGGCTACAAGGATCAAGGATATGAGTGGCACCAGTTTGAGGATGGACAGGCAGGTGCTGGGCAGATGTCCTTGCAGAAGTATTTTTTGGTGAAAGGTTGTGAAGGCCATTATGCAAGCTGGTTGTTTGCAGTCTTCTGTGATAGTTCTTGATATCAGGTTTTGTGCATGATAAATCCCCTTCATGTTCCTGGCTTTACTTCTCAGGATTTTTAACAAAAGGAACTCTGTTTTGATTCTGACGAGGTGCATAGGCTGGATGACTGGGATCTGTCGTTAGTCAGGGGGTAGGCAGCGAGTCAGATTCTGAAGCCCTCACGGTCTGTGCCTGGTCTGTGCCCGGCACCCCCTCGGGCCTTCTCTCTCCAAGGCAGCTCTGGCTACTCTACCCACCCGCTCACCCTCACATCAGGTATCCAGCTGCGTCACTCAGGGCTTCACTGGGTGTCGCTGGGCACTGCTGTGGTCTGCCATGCTCTTGCATATGAGTCATGGGGTCACCTGGGCAATCAGGGTGTATTAGTCCGTTCTCACCCTCCTATGAAGAAATACCTGAGACTGGGTAAATTATAAAGAAAAGAGGTTTAATTGACTCACATTTCCTCATAGCTGGGGAGCCCTCAGGAAACTGACAATCATGGTGGAAAGCACCTTCTCGCATGGCGACAGGAGAGAGAATGCGCGCAAACGGGAAATGTCAGACGCTTATAAAACCATCAGATCTGGCGAGACTCACTCATTCGCACAAGAACAGCACGTGCGGAACCAGCCCCATGATTCAATTACCTCCACCTGGTCTCGCCCTTGACACGTGGGGATTATGGGGATTACAATTCGAGGTGAGATTTGGGTGGGAATACAGAGCCAAACCATATCACAGGGGTAGGGGAAGACCCCACAGTGAGGGAACTGGAGCCTGGACCACGGACATCACCCACTCACCCACAGCCTCAGCTTCCCTTTTGGGGAAACTGCAGAGGAGCCAAGGAGCTGGGCCTCAGACCCTTCTTTATTGACAGTCTGTGCAGGGTGACCAGGACTGTGTGGTCAGAGGCTAAACCCACGTCACCTCCTATAGGCAGTGATTGCTGTTCTCTGGGACAACCGCCTATTGGGACCATGGGGGCCACACTCACAGCCCCAGGCCTGCTTCTGGCAGGGCTCTGCGTTGCTCTCCGTGGATCAGAGGCTGGGGGAAGGGGGCGAGACAACCAGAAGCCCAGACACCCCGGGGAGAGCTGATCCCGGACAGGGGTTCCGAGGAGGTAAAGGAAGCTCCCTGGTGAAGGTGAGCTCTGCGCAGGCGCTGTGCGGGCAGCCCAGGCACTCCGTCAGCGCCCTCTCAATCCTTAGGAGGAGTCCTCCCTGGGTGGTGCTCCAGGGCTGTGGGCTGGACCATGACGGCCCCCAGCTGCGTAGCTCCAGCTCCTTTCCAACCGGTTGGTGGGCGGTTCCGAGTGGGGACACGGGATCGGAGGGGACTCCTGCCGGGTGTACCCGCTACCCTCACTAGTCCCGGGATGCGACTGGATCCGGAGTCCCCTACCGCAGCCCGCGCACGACCCTCGGAAGCCTGTCTCCGCGGCCCCCGACCCAGGTCCCCGCTGCCGCCGCGCTGCCAGGTAGCCAGAGGGTCGCAGGAGGAAGGAAGGGAGCGCGGGACGGGCGGAGGAGGGTGGAGCCACCGGCGCGTCCTCTCCCTCGGGCAGGCAGGCAGGCGGGCGGCGGGCTGGGGCGGCGGCAGAGAAGGCAGCGGGAGCGGGGAGACACCGGCCGCTAGCGCCGCTTCGCTCCTGCTCAGGCAGCGGCTTCGGCCCGACCCGCTCCGCCTCTGCCAGGCTCCGGCGCGCACCTGCCGGGTAGGTGGCGCCTGAGTCCCTGCAGCCGCGGCCACTTCCGTCACCTTCGTAGCCGCTGCGCGGAGCCTCCCGGCTTTGTTTGCGTCCATCCGCCGGCTGCGACTCCCAGGCTCGGCTCTGAGGCTCCATGGACTGCGCGCCGCGCCTGCATGGCTCTGGGCTCGCCCGGCCAGCTCGCGCCCCAGCGTGGGTGAAACTTCGCGCAAGTGTGGGTTCTAGGGAGAACCTGTTGAAGCCAGGAGTGGAGCGGAAAGGGGATAGAGACGGACAGGTCTCGGGTTCCCCATCACTGCCGTGCAGGGGGTGGGTTGTGTATCCGCGACCCTGGAGCAATAGTGCGTTCCCCTTGGGAAGGGGCGGGTGGGCCGTCGGGCCACCGAGCAGAAGGAGCCAGCGAGCGGGTTTGAAGTGGTAGATCCCGCAGACTTCCACGAGGACAAAGTTTGGTTCTTTGGCCGTTTTGCGAAGCGTCTGTCTGTGTCCAGCTCGGAGAGCTGAAAGTGCCGCATAGACGCGCCCCTGACCGCACCTCCTCACTCCAGCCTCTGCTCCTTCCCCCACCCCACTTGGCCTTGGCTAGGACAGGTCGTGGACAAGAAAGGCGAAGGGAAGAGAGATGCAATGAAGGCCCCCTACGTGCCAGGCCCCGTGCCCAGCGCCTCCCCCTTCCCATAAGAGGCCTCCCAATCCAGCATCCGACACGTGTGTGCAGGGAGGAGGACAGGGGAGAAGACTCCACTGTGCACGCGGGGATGGTGGCCCCGCCAGACTCTCCTCGTCCCTGGTTTCCGCAGTGAATGAGGCCGGCAGCTGGGGCCTCTGCACCCAGGCCTGCGTCTCTCCTCGCGGTGCCTGGGAGCCCCGTCGGGCTGCTGCGCCTCCTGAGCCTGACTCTGCTCTTCCCGCAGCTTTGGCCCCCCGGGGCCATGCAGAGGCCCACTAGGAGGCCAGCGGCCGCGCGCATCCCATAGCCCAGGTGGCCCAGGGCTGCATCGCGGCGGCCTCGGTGCCATGGAGCCCGGTATTCGCTGACGGCGCACTACGACGCGTTCCAGGAGGTCAAGTACCTAAGCTGCTGTGGCGCGGGGATCGTGCAAGGGCCTTTCTGCCGCCCAGGCTTCTCTCAAGGAGCAGCGCCACCAGGACCTGGGCTGCCGCGCTGGAACCCTGCGTGAGGTGAGCCTGCGGTCGGGGCTGGTGTTCGCCGCTGATCTCTGCGCCATCCTGGCGGCTATGCTGGCGCTCAAGTACCTGGGCCCGGTCGCGGCGGGCGGCGGCGCCTGTCCCGAGAGCTGCCCCGAGGGCAAGGCCTTAGCGCGCGCCGCCGGCCTCCTGGCAGCCAACCTGGACGCCAGCATGGACTCGTACCAGAACTTCTACTTTTTCGTCTGCGGCTGCTGACTGAAGCGCCATGCCACCCCCAACGAAAAGCTCACCTATGGCACCATCGCGGCCTTCGGCGAGCAGAAAGAGGAGCGCCTGAGGCGCCTGCTGGCACGGCCCAGGGATGGGCCCGGCGGCGCGGCCCAGTGCAAGGTGAGCGCCTTTTTCCGTTCGTGCCTCGACATGCGCGAGATAGAGCTACTGAGTCCTCGGCCCATGCTAGAGGTCATGGAGGACTGCGGGGGCTGGGACCTGGGCGGCGCGGCGGAGCGTCCGGGGGTCGCGGGACCTCAACCAGCTGGGACCTCAACCAGCTGCTGTACAAGGTGCAGGGCGTGTACAGTGCCGCCGCGCTCTTCTCTCTCTAGATCAGCCTAGATTACAGGAACTCCTCGCGCTACGTCATCCGCCTGAGTGCGATTCCCGAGCGCCCAGCCAGCGGCCGCAGACCCGGGGCGTGGCCCTGACTAGGGGTCCCTGCGCGTGGGAGGAGGGTGCGCAAGAGGAGAGAAAGGGAAAGCAGGGGAGGGGAGCGCTTGGCGGCAGAGCGCGGGAGGAAGGCGCAAGTAATTTCCCTGGGTTAACTGAAGTGTTCAGCCGAGCCGCGGGAGCCGCAATTTCCCAGCCCTCTGGAAGGCAGTGAGGGCAGGGAGGGAGGGACGCGCCGGCGGGCTGGGCTGACATCTCCGTGAGGGCTGGGGCTGGCGCCAAAGCCAGGAACCCCAAGGGTCAGTGCGGCACTGCGCAAGTGCCCCCGACAGGTAGGGAAAGTGCAGGCTTTCAGGGGTAAGCTGAGACAGTCAGGGATGGGGCTTTGGTCATCTCGTCTGGGTGGAAAGAGGGGCTGGGGTCTGCGTGCTTCTGGGTCTCTACCCATGGATGTCTGGTCGCTCTCTGGGCATTGGGGTGAAAATTCCATCTGTTTGGGGAGTCTGGCATGTGGATCTCTGACCTCTGGCCCCTGTCTCCCTCCCTAGATTGACCAGGATGGGCTCAATCTGCTAGAGAGGACTCTGTACCTCGCTCAGGATGAGGAGAGTGAGAAGGTGCTGGGACATGGGATGGGGAGGCAGGGAAGGCCTGGGGCCCCAGGATGGGTGTCCCTAGGCTAGGCCTGTCCCTGTCCCTGGATGAGCCCCTTCCCGTGGTGCAGATACTGGCAGCACACAGGGTGTTCATGGAGCGAGTGCTCAGCCTCCTGGGTGCTGATGCTGTGGAGCAGAAGGCTAAGGAGACCCTGTGGCTGTAGTGGGGGCAGCTGATGACAGGGGACCATGGGGCAAGGCTGGCTCAGCCCTGATTGCTACGCCCACCCAGATCACTGTGTCAGAGTATGATGATTTCCAGCGAGATGTCAGCTCCATGTACAGAAAGATGACGCTGGGACAGCTGCAGAAGATCACCCCCCCCCCCCATGTGAGTATGGCCCAGGCCCCTCCCCTGCCCCCTGGACTTGCTGGCTGGGTGTGCCATGAATTTCCACCCCTACTTCTGTCCAGTAGTCACACTAGAGGAGGCAGCACTAAAAAAGGACCCAGAGCCCGGGTATCCGATCCTAGCTCTCCCCTCTGCTTTCCGAGGCCCTCGGCAGGGCTGGGAGCTTCCTGAGCTGCAGTTTCCTCACCTAGGGATGGTTGGAAAGAGAAAGTGTGGCTACAGCTCTGCTGTCCCTGGGCCACCCTTGGGAGAGCCTCGTGGTATCTATCCACCATGGGGAGGAACAGAGGCCTTTGCAAGCCAGCTCTGAGTCAGACAGTCACCCTCAAGGACAGACGCTGTCTCCCCATGGCAAGTCAGGAAATGATAGAAGCCCTGACCCATCAGCTTCAGGGGCTGGCATCAGTAGCGAGAGTGTCCTGCTGTGTCATTGAGCTCAGCACACTCCAATTTCAGCCTCCACATACCTGGGATGACCTCCTGCCCCTTCTTTGAGGGACTATCTGAGTGCTGGGTCCAGCCGCAGGCTGGGTAGTACAGGCGGGGGTGGTGCCCTTGGTGGCCCATATGAATGTCTTTCTGGACACCCCACTGGCTTCATCTGGCCCCCAGGGTCCTGCATAACTACCTCGTGTGGGACGTGGTGGTGGTCCTGAGTGAGCACCTGTTCTTACCATTCCATGAGGTGCTGCACAAGCTGGCACAGGAGATGGAGGGCAGCGGCAAGCTGCAGGAACTGGCCCGGGTCAGCCTGGGCCAGGCCAACCACCACTATGGCATGGCGCTTCGTGCCCTCTTTGTACATGAACACTTGTCAGCTACCAAGGTGGGCCGCCCTGGTTTAGGGTGGGGAGGATGGTGCTGAACTGAGGGTGGAACCCTCCCGAGGCCATGGTCCTCGCATGGGGAGCCCCAAATGTCCCCCTGCAGGCAGGGGGACCAGGCCCTGCTTAGGCCTCAGCCTATTCTGAGGCTCCAGTCTGCTCCTCCGCAGGCCTCCTCCTCCTGGTCTGTCAGCGGTAGGTGGCCCTCCCTGCCAGGCCCCTGCCCACCTTCTCAGCCATGCTCAGGAGGCATCTCCTTAGGGATGCCCATGGTGGTTGCTGCAGCCATTTCCTCTTCTAGCCTGTGAGCTTATTGTCGGAGGGGAAGGGTCTGGATCCCTACCTCCAACATGTCCTCTTGGCGCCTAGCACCGAGCTCTGGGCTTAGGAAGTGGTGCTGAAAGACTCCTTCATGCCAGGAGTGATGGACCAGAGTGAAAGGCTGCTGGGTTGACCCTTGCTCCCTGACCCCTGACCCTGCATGTGTGGCAGCTGGTGGAAGACACCAAGTACATCCTGGGCCAGCGCCTGGAGGAGCTGGACTGCATGGAGACCAGAACAGCTACTGGGGCCGTGGTGAGGGGCCCCCAGTGCCATCTGTTGGTCCCATGCACATTGACTGAGCACCTACTGTATGCCAGTGAAAGAGAATAAAAGGGACAAAGAGGACTTCGTGGAGTTGAGCAGGCCTGCCTCCCCCACCGTGAAGCCCACTCCTAGGCTGGCCTAGTGCTCCTTTCCTTGGTGGGCAGGGGGTGGGCAAGGATGCTGTGCCCTGAGGCCCTGTGCCACCTCACCAGCCCTCCGGCCCGCAACTTCAGTACATGGTGGTGATGGTCGGCTACCCAGACTTCCTTTTCAAACTGGGTCTGTGGACAAGGAGTATGAGGTGGGACTGTGTCCCTGCCTGCCCAGCCTGACCACAGCCTCTCTGCTAATGGCACCTGGGAGGGCAGGTGGCCTGCATGGCCCGGTTGTGGCGCTATCTGCAGCCTTGCCCTGGTCTGCGGCTGAGTGCTGCCCATGCCCCTCATAGTTTAAGGTCCATGGGAAGACCTATTACAAGAACATCTTGAACAGCATCTGCTTCAGCATCCAGCTCTCAGTCAAGAAGACTGGGCAGGAGATGGACAAGTCCATGTGGGTGCCTGGCCCAGAGCTGGGGTGTCAGAGGAGGGTCATGAGGCAGTAGCCGGGAAGGTGGTGGCCCAGCCCAGAGGTGGCACAGAAGATGCATTGTCAGGAGATGGGTGTGGCTGGGCTGCCAGGAATGTCCTGCAGTCCGGGCTCTGTGACCTTTCTACAGAGGTGGTTGTTCCCCCGACAGGTGCTCATTGCCTTCTATCTACGCAGCAAGAACCAGATGGGTTTGGGGTGTGTTTCTATACCTATTGGGTCCATATATAGGTGGGTCTCCCACTTGACCACACCCTCCCTATAGTGTAACCACAGAATGTCCTGCAGTCCAGGCTCTATGACCTGACTTCAGTGATCAAGACATAACATACTCTGGCCAATGCATGCCCGGTGGCATCCTAGGTGGCAAGCTTCTATCAAGAGGAACTTCAGCTGCTTCTTGGTGTTGGGGTCCAGTGTGTGGCCTGGTAGCAAAGGGGGAAGCTCTGGTCGGAGGGAGTCAGTAGGTCCTGGGGCCGCCTTAGCTCAGAGGGTACAATTACAAGTCCCACATAGTAAGTCCCACACACTGTAGACATCTTGGGACCCCCTTGGGATGGGGGCAAAGGCCAGTTATGCAGATGCTAACCCGGTGGGGAGGCCTGTTCCTAGAACCAGTGGGACCAGGGCATCATCAGATGCAACATCAGCACCCAGCAGAAGGGCACAGCTGGGATCCCCCTTGAGTCCTGAGAGGCTGCAGGGAGCATACTCCTCTTCCCCGATCATGAGGCTTCCTGTGCCAATCACTGGAACTGTGTAGGGGCTCACGGGCACTCAATGGGCAGGGGGCCTCGGATCTGGTGGGGACTGAACTTGTGGTGCCATCTGGGGTCTGAATTTTGCAGGGAGTGAGACGCCCCTGCTCACAAGGAGTTGCTCAATTTGAATGGCCTGCCCAGGCTGCAAGCACCTCAAGACTAACCTGGACCTTGGGGTTTGGTTAAAGGAACATCAGGCCCTCCTGAGTGCTTACTGTTTGCTGGGCTCATCACATGCCTCAGCACAGCCCTGGGCAGTGAGCGACCCAAGAGCTCATGTTTAATATTGAGCTGAATGCTGGTGCCTTCACCCTTCATGCAGGCACCCACCCCATGTGGTTCCCGGGTGCCCCGGAGGAAGGGAATTGGGTGCCTCAGGCCAGGGGTTGACACAGTACGCCCTCCAGATCACAAGCTTTCAGCAAATTGTGGAGTATTAGTGTGTCTGCCTAAGTAGATTGACAGATTATATGATCTAGTTTTCTTTTTTTTTTTTTTTTTTTTTGAGACGGAGTCTCACTCTTTCACCCAGGCTGGAGTGCAGTGGTGCGATCTCGGCTCACTGCAAGCTCCGCCTCCCGGGTTCATGTCATTCTCCTGCCTCAGTCTCCCGAGTAGCTGGGACTACAGGCGCCCACCACCATACCTGGCTAATTTTTTTTTTTTTTTTGTATTTTTAGTAGAGACGGGGGTTTCACCGTGTTAGCCAGGATGGTCTTGATCTCCTGACCTCATGATCTGCCTGCCTCGGCCTCCCAAAGTGCTGGGATTACAGGCGTGAGCCACTGCGCGCAGCCTTATATGATCTAGTTTTAACCGACCTAATCCTCCAAAAGGGCCAAGAGGCTCACACAAGATTCCTGTAAAGAATCTGCAACTAACAACAGAAATCCAGAGCAGATGAACCACAGCAGAAGGGGGAGCTGAGAATTCCTTATTACTCCTGGCAGAGCGCACGTCACCCGGGGTACGGACCTGACCAGACGTTACCCCTAATAATAAAAAATCAGCAAACAAAACTCTTTGAATTTCCCCCACTCTGATTACTGCTGAAGTTTGCCCCGGGTGCCTTGTTCCTGGAGGTATTACTTAATTACTTATGAGCAGTGTGAAATCCTCATGGTTGGCAAGGTGTCTAAAACTAAGCTTTTTGTTTTTTCTGAGACAGAACGTCGCTCTGTCGCCCAGGCTTGAGTGCAGTGGCAAGATCTTAGCTCACTGCAACCTCCGCCTCCTGGGTTCAAGTGATTCTCCCTCCTCAGCCTCCTAAGTAGCTGGGACTACAGGCATGCATCACCATGCCTGGCTAATTTTGTATTTTTTAGTAGAGACAAGGTTTCACCATGTTGGCCAGGCTGGTCTTGAACTCCTGACCTCAGGTGATCCACCTGCCTCTGCCTTCCAAAGTGCTGGGATTACAGGCGTGAGCCACTGTGCCTGGCCAAACTAAGCTTCCGGAACTGAAGAAAGAGTGCAATTTTTTCCCATCAATGTTTAAATTTAGGTGCAGTTCAACCCAGTACTTCTTGATATTTCCATACGCAATGACAGATATTTGGAAAGCTCTTTTAAAGTTTCTTGCATGATACCATGAGACTAAAAACACCTACCACCAGGGAGAAACTTAATTCTTTCTGTTGCAGGAAAAATGGCAGAAACAATGAGCAGTAAATGATCTGTCGACAAACCGAAAGACTTCTTTGTCAGCAAACACCGTCGGAAGATGTGGAGAAAACACTGCCGAAGATTGGAAGAAACTCGTGTTAGAGCAAAGTACCCAGTGTGGGAGGTTTGCTTTGCAATGAGCTGAAAGCACAGATGTTCCCAACATGGCTCAGCTGAAGGTATTTGCCAGGTGCTGTTCCAATAGGGAAATACACAAACCACTTCTTTCATTTTTTTTCATGTCCCACTAAAAGGTAGATATAGCAGACAAGATATATTGCCAACAGCAAATGCCTTTTTAAATAAAAACAATGTTATGAGGAAATGGTGGAAATGCAACCACAGATGGAATAGCTACTCAGGAAGGGTTTTTTCAAAAAAAGCATTCCGGATACAAATCAGTGTGCAGAGGTAGGTTCACCCTTACCCCTCACTCATTGGCTCACCCCCCGTCTAATCAGCGCAGGAAAGAAGCCCAGCGTGTACATGAGATGTTGCAGAAGGCAGTGGGGTTGATTTTGTAAAGTTTAGATAGCCGCATAATAGAAACTTAAACATAAATAGAAACTTTAAGATACTTGGTAAGGGGAGTGGGTGGAAACTTTCTGGCCACATAGAATGAGTCGCAGAATGACAAAGTACTGAACCCACCTGTCCTGAGTTCTCCCTCTCTTTCTTCCTAACTCTCCCTCCCTCCTTCTTACAATCCAGTTTGCTGACTTTGAACTGAAAAGCTCTCCATTTTAGGCGTACCATGAAAAGATTGAAAATATAAATATACTTCCTGTGTGTCCTTCAGGTAAAGATGTCATTTCAATGACAAAATGAGAAGGTAATTATCTTTCAATGAAAACTCATGCTAAGGAAAGTGCATATTTTTGAATAGAAGTTTGAAAATATTTTCATGACACTTGATTTTGTGGTCAATAACATAGCTGACCGATAAGCCCTTATACCTACACATGAAAAACAAAAACATAAAACAAAAAACAAAAACCTAGACAACAGAATAATCTAATAGCAGAACAATCTATTTTAAAATTTGTCCAGTTTTAAATAATAGAAGTCCGTGGGTGTGAGCACTCATGTAAAATATAATCATGCAGCACCTCCACATTGGTTAGAAAGAGGAACTGACTGACAACTAGGAAGATAGAAATATACTAGCTGGATTTTACCAGAAACCTTTGCATACTTGATGGATGGAATTTAACAATGAGTGTGATAATTTAGTAAGGCCAGCTATTTGAGTCTATCTTCTGTTCACCTCCCATATTTCTGTGACAGCCACTGAAACCCAGAATTGAAAAAACTGTCCTGAAACCCAGGTTCTCAAATACATGTTTTGTTTTGTTTTGTTTTGTTTTGAGACAGGGTCTTGGTCTGTCACTCAGACTAGAGTGCAGTGGCAAAATCTCAGCTCACTGCAGCCTCAACTACCCTGGGCTCAGGTGATCCTCCCGCCTCAGCCTCCCAAGTAGTTGGGATGACAGGCACGTGCCACCTGGCCTGGCTAAATTTTTTAAAAATCTGGGGCTAGGCATGGTGGCTCATGCCTGTAATCTCAGCACTTTCTGAGGCCAAGGCGAGCGGATCGTTTAAGGTCAGGATTGAGACCAGCCTGGCCAACATAGTGAAACCCCATCTCTACTAAAAATTCAAAAATTTGCCTGGCATGGTGGCAGGCGCCTGTAATCCCAGCTACATGGGAGGCTGGGGCGGGAGATTCACTTGAATCCAGGAGGTGGAGTTTGCAGTGAGCCTAGATCCTGCCACTGCACTTCAGCCTGGGAGACAGAGTGAGACTCTGCCTCAACACTAAACGAAAACGTGTAGAGGTGAGGTCTCACCATTTGCCCAGGCTGGTCTGCAACTCCTGAACTCAAGCAATCCTAACCTCTTTTCCTCCCAAAGTGCTGGGATTGCAGGCATTGAACCACCATGCCTGGCAAATAGACGTCTTACAATGTTAATTCAATTTTCATAAAGAAGTATTCAATCATTCTAGTATTTCTAGTGAGTACAAAGTCTTTTTGTTTTGTTTTCTTCTTGAGACAGGGCCTTGCTCTGTCACCCAGGCTGAAGTGTAGTGACGTGATCGCACCTCACTGCAGCCTCCACCCTCCCAGGCCCCAGACAATCCTCCCACCTCAGCCTCCTGAGTAGCTGGGACCACAGACATGGGCAACCAAGCTTGGCTAATTTTTGTATTTTTTGTAGAGACAGAATTTCACCATGTTGACAAAGTGCTCCTTGTACCATTGTAAATGTACAAATAAATCTGTAATAATGTAAACTTTCCTGGAAAATGTGGTTGATTTCACCTTCATTTAATTCTTTTCAATGTTCTCTTGGGGCAAGTGTGATACTAAGTATGGCTGTATTGGGATGGGTGCTCCAGAATGCTTTCGGAGGGAGGTCAGAAACACCTGGAGTCAGCTCCTTCCCCAGCTCTCACCTCTACCCTCCACCACCCCCACCCTCTATCCAAAAGACCAGACCCTTCTCCTGGCAGCAGCCAGAGTGCTCATTTCCCAGCCAGGGCAGGTCACAGCCCTCCTCAAAGACCTCCAACCACACCCCTCTACCTAGACTTCACGGTCCCCCATGTCCCCCACCCTCCTGACCCCTCAAGCTTTACCCCATCTACCCACCCTCTGATCCAGCCCCTGGCCTCCCAGACAGCCTGCTGACACTGCCCCAGGGCCTTTGTGCTGCTGTGCCACCTTGCTCAAGCCCCGACTCTGTTCAGGTCTCCTGCTCAGTCATCTGCTCCTCAGCAGCCCCTCCTGGCCTGTGTTATCCACCCCTCCAGCCACTGTGTCCACATTCAGTCATGATTTTTATGCTAGGAAGTAGTACTGGCATTACATTGTCTAACACTTCCTTTTATTATTGCTTTGTGTTTCCCAGAAGAATGGAGGCCCAGGGAGGGAAGGTAATGAGTCTTCCTTGCTGAGAAATCCATGCCCAGCACCCAGATGGCCTAGGCGGGGCCATGGACTCTGGACTGCTATCCTGCACCCAGAGCTTCCCAGGTGCTCCTCGGAACTCAGGTGGGTGCTGGAATGGACCTTAGGGGGCGTCGAACATCTGAGTGGCTGTGACTTGGGGCAAGCCTCTCTGACTCATGGGCCCCTAGGAGGGGCACAGGGGTGTAGAATTAGCCCAGTGGAGGGACAGCAGAGGACTGTGTCAAAGCCCCCCTGGGGATCCCCACCACAGCAGCCTCCTTGGCTGGGAGGGTGGGTTGCAGGGTGGCAGGAAGCCACGCTTCTCCAAGGCGTCCTGATGCACCCAAGTCCTTGTGTCCCTCAGGTGCTGCCATGACTGAAGCTAAAAAAGGCGCAGGGGGTCCTAGGTATGGGTGCCTCATGTCCCCGGGGAGAGAGCCTGCCTGATCCACCTCAGGATATGGGCGGGGGCTGGATGGTCTGAGCCTCCTCTTTTCCTGAAATGCAGGCAGCTGCCAGGCACAAATCCCCAGTCCCTGGAGTTGGGGCCAAAATTTCAAGAGCAAGATAAAGCAAAGGGCGTGGTGTCAAGGGCTCGGTCCCCAGGGTGCACCGGGAGGGGAAGGTTCCATGGCAGGACGTCTGTGTGGCGACTCCGGGGGTGACAGCTCCAGGTGGAGGTCCGGCAGGACGACTGGAGGTGGGGAGCAGGGGAACTCCGGGATGGGGAAGCAGGAGCCCCAGGGACGGGACACTCAGGGAGCAGTGGCCGTCCCCAGCAGCAGCAAGGTCCCTGCCAGCAGAGGAAGCAACGCGGGGACCACGGACGGCCCCGGGTGCGCGGCGTCGGTGGTGCCGGCGCGGGGCGCCAGGTCGCAGGCGGTGTAGGGCTCCAGGCAGGCGGCGAAGGCCATGACGTGCGCTATGAAGGTCTGCTCCTGCACGCCGTGAACCAGGTGCGCCTGCGGGCCGCGCGCGAACACCGCCACGTCCTCGCCTGCGTGGGTCTCTCCGTCCAGGGGCACTGCTGACTGCTGCCGATACTCGGGGCTCCCTGGTTGGAGGGTTCAGTTTCAGTAGGAAGTTTCAGTTCCAGGCAGACAAGAGGTGACCCCTTCCCGCCAGCCCCCCATCCTTGGCACCCTGGTCCCCCTCAGGGGGCCACCCCACGGCACTCACCGCTCTCGCTCTCCGTAACATCCGGCCGGGCGCCGTCCTTGAGCACATAGCCTGGACCGTTTCCGTATAGGAGGACCGTGTAGGCCTTCCTGTCCCGGGCCTTGCCAGGGGCCAGCCCTGCAGAGAGAGGGGTCCCTGTGGTTGAGCTGAACACAGCTGTGGAGTGTCTCCCACGTGCTAGGCACCGCCACGTTTTGCCTGGTCAGGGGCTTAGTCCGCAGGAGACCCTACAGGGCTGGTGCCAGCATTACTCCCATTTGACAGAGGAGGAGACTGAGGCTCAGATTTCACCCACTTAATTGCTGCAGCAGCACCTGCCACTCTCCCCAGGCCTACCGAAGATGGAGCTCCCTCGCAGGGGGTAGCCTCCGAAGGAGAAGACGTGGGAGTGGTCGGCAGTGACGAGGCTCAGCGTGTCCTCCTCGCTGGTGAGCTGGCCCGCCCTCTCAATGGCGTCGTCGAACATGATCGTCTCAGTCAGTGCCCGGTAAGCCCTGCTTTCATGATGACCATGGTCGATGCGACCACCTGCAGGAAGGCCAGAGGGGGGAGATGCTGAGCCTGCCCTGCTCCAACCCCCAACCCCCACTCCCCAGGGGCCACCACGCACCCTCCACGAAGAGGAAGAAGCCGCGGGGGTTCCTGCTCAGCAGGAGCAGGGCAGCCTCTGTCATCTCCATCAGGGAGGGGTCCAGTGTGGAGTCTCGGTGGATCTCGTATTTCATGTCTCCAGGCTCAAAGAGACCTGTGGGACAAGGGGTCCTGTGGTGACTGGCAGGCTGGGGGTGGGAGGGTGCTGGCGGATGTGCACACAGGCTCAGAAGGTGCCATCTGAGGCCATCTGAGGGATGCCAGGGCAGGAAGGGGGTCATTACCCATGAGATGGGTCACAGACGGGTCCAGGGAAGCCTGCAGGAGCTCAGTGCGGTTCCACACGTACCGGGCACCCTGCGGGGAGGGAGAGAGCCAGGCCTCAGCCCACAGCCCCGAGCCCCACACCTCTGCCCTCCCCCTGCTGTGCCCAGCACACCCACCAGCCCCCATCACCTGGTGCTTCGCCAGCCATTCCTGCACCAGATTCTTCCCGTCCAGCCTGGTCCCACCTTGGCTGTAGTCATCTGGGTACTCAGGGTCTGGGGTCCCCATGGGAAACATGTACTTTCGGCCTCCACCTAGGATCACCTGGGAACAGAGGATGGGGCAGGTGGATTTGGGGGCCTGGCTGGCCCCGTGTCCCCTCCTCATGCACAGCCCCTGACTCCCCTCCCCAAGGCTGTGGGAATGGCCCAGCCTGGGCTGCGCCTTCTACGCCCCCAACCCCACCTCCAGACCCTGCTGGCCCAGATAAGGCTTTTGGTTGCCTGGGTCTGAGCTGGTGCCCCCTCCCTGCTACTCTCTGCCCAGCCCCAGCCCTTGGCCCGGGGGTCGCACATCAATGTCCATGTTGGAGATGAGCTGCGTGGCGATGTCCTGGCACCCCTCCTGGCGGGCCGAGGCAGGCACGTCGGCATCCGAGTACCAGTTGCGGTTCACCGTGTGGGCGTAGGCGCCGGCTGGCGAGGCATGCTGCACCCGTGTGGTGGTTACCACTCCCACTGACTTTCCTGAGGGTGATAGAGGTCAGGATATGCGATAGAGGTCTGTCACCTGGCCCTGACCCCACAGCGGGCCCCAGCTCACCTGCTTTCTTGGCCCGATTCATCACGGAGATGACCTCGTTGCCGCGTGTCGTGTTGCACTGGTTAAAGCGGGCGGCTGCACTCAAGCCAATGGTCTGGAAGTTGCCCTTGACCCCGCACAGGTAGGCCGTGGCTGTGGCTCCACTGTCTGGCACATGCTTGTCTACACTGTATGTCTGGGGACAGAGACACTCTGAGCTCTTCTCTGGGGCAGACAAACAAGACCCTGATCTCTGTCCTCTGGGATTCCAACTGCCTCCAGCTCCTTATTGGAGCCCCAGCTGTTTAGGGTCCCTCCCTCCTACCACACTCCATAGCCAGGATTCCCCTTCTCTGCTTGGAGGACTCTAAGGTAGCCCAGCACTTACCTTGGACAGAGCCACGTACGGGAAGCGGTCCATGGCCAGGAAGGTCTCAGGCCCCAGTTTGTCCTTCTTCTGCCCTTTTAGGATCCTGGCAGCTGTCACCGTAGACACCCCCATCCCTGAAGGAGCAGAAGTGTGTGAGGCTTGCTCCCCAGGGCTGTCCTGGAACCACTGAGGGTCCGGGCGCCGGGGCTGTGAGGGCTGCGGGGCTGGAAGGCCTGGCTCACTCACCGTCACCCAGGAAGATGATGAGGTTCTTGGCGGCTGTCTGTGCAGGCTGCAGCTTCTTGGCGGCACCCAGGGCCTCGGCTGCCTGGCGGTTCCAGAAGTCCGGGTTCTCCTCCTCAACTGGCCAGGGGGAGAGCAAAGATCAGGTCAGCCTGGGCTGGGGGGTGCCCTGTGTGTGTGTGTGTGTGTAGGGGCAGCTGGGGGAGCCTCATTACCTGGGATGATGCCCAGGGAGAGCTGTAGCCTCAGGCCCAGCAGGAGCAGCACCCAGGGCCCCTGCATGTCTGGAAGCAGTCGGAGAGCGGCGAGGCGGAAATCCCAGGTATGGAGTATGAGCTGCACTCCAGGCTGCCTGGGTTTAAATCAGGGAAAACTGTGTCCTGGCCCCTCCCCTTGTTACCACCTTGACCCCGCCCAGCCTCTTGACCTGAAGCCACACTGGCTGAAGGGAGTGGCAGGGTGTGGCTGGGCTGGGCTGGGGCTGGGGTCCTGAGAAAGGCAGCTTAGGGTGGGACCAGGTGTCCCCCAGGGAAGGGTGGGATTTTGGGTATAGTGCAGTGTGCATCCTGCCGCCAGGGGCCCCTCCCCCAACCCCTGCTCACTGTGTCTTGTGTGGAACTAGACACCCTGTCACTCGTTCATCCACCATTTTTTTTTTCTGTATTTCCTGGGAGCTGGGGGCCAGGCTCTGTTCTGGTGTCGAGAGGAGGGGAGGCTGGAAGCACACAGCCCGGGCCAGATACTGGGTTCAGCTTTCTGATGCCAGGAGCCTGGGCCCGGTGGGAAAGGGGCACATGGGGGGCTTTGCCGCTCTGGCACCCCCTTGCTCCAACATCTGGCCTTGGCCTGGACAGGTGGGGCTGGCAGGAATCTAGGCCCAGAGCTCCAGGGCTGTGGGCATCTGTGGGGCCAATGGTGACAACACTGAGTGGGGCCGGGCCAGTCCTGCCCATTGCTTACATGTTGTGTTTGATTGTGTATGTGTTTGTGTGGGTGCACTCGCACTAATGTTTGGACGACGCAGTGGGGGAGAGTCCAGTGCCCTCGGCCAGACAGGCCTGGGCTGGGTCTTCCAGAGCAGCTTGTGCACTTGATTGTGACACCTGTTCCCTTGCACAGGCAGAGGGTGCCTGGGCGGACTCTGTTTTCGGTGGGCCCTGAGCATGCCCAGAACTGTAGCCTTTCACATGGGGATCAGATGTTTTGATAGCCTCAGGCTGAGTTAAAAAGTATTTCTGCAGTTCAGATACCTTGCCATCATTTTTTTCTTTCTGTTTTATTATTATTATTTATTTATTTTTTTGAGACAGGGGCTGGCTCTGTCACCCAAGTTGGAGTGCAGTGGTGCATTCACGCCACACCTCCTAGGCTCAAGCGATCCTCCCACATCAGCCTCCCGTGTATCTTCCATTATGTGAAGCTAATTTTCAAAAATTTGTGTAGAGTCAGGATCTCTTTCTGTTACCCGTGCTGGTCTTGCACTCCTGGGCTCAGGCGATCCTTCAACACTGCTAGGGTTCCAGACTTGAGCCACCAATCTGGGCCCACATTCAGGAGAAATGGATTTGGAGAGGAACCAGAGTGCTCAAGGGTGTGTGACATGTGCCACAATCGTGGGCAAAACAGACCTCTGCCCTTGTGGAGGGCACAATCTAGTGGAAGAGGAATGTTTTTAGAGATGTACAAAGTGCTGGCCATCAAATTGTGGGGAGTTGCTGGAATAGGACAAGGGGCCTAGGAAGGCCTTTCCTAGAAAATGTGGTTTGAAGGCCGGGCACAGTGGTTCACGCCTGTAATCCCAGCACTTTGGGAGGCCGAGGCGGGTGGATCACAAGGTCAGGAGATCGAGACCATCCTGGCTAACACGGTGAAACCCTGTCTCTACTAAAAATACAAAAAATTAGCCGGGCGTGGTGGCAGGCACCTGTGGTCCCAGCTACTCGGGAGGCTGAGGCAGGAGAATGGTGTGAACCCGGAGGTGGAGCTTGCAGTGAGCCAAGATCGCGCCACTGCACTCCAGCTTGGCCGACAGAGCAAGACTCTGTCTCAAAAAAAAAAAAAAAAAAAATAGAGGAAGTGTGGTTTGAGCTGAGAATTAGGGATAACTGGGAGTTAGGCTGATAAAGGAAGGGAAGTGGTGATTGGAGGAGAAATCCTCTGTCCTTGTCTGAGATTACCCTGTGTTAGGGCAGTGGCTGACCCTTTTCTGGGATCACCCAAAATGGGATAGTGGGTGGGTGAGACATGTGGACTGTCAAAACTAGTAGATTCTGAATCCTGTCTCTGCCATGTCCTGCTGTGTGGCCTTGGGCAATTTACTTGTCTCTCTGTTGCTTCTGATAGAAAAGGAGGGTAGTGAGGGAGATTCAAGTTGAAGACAGACAGAGTTAATCATGTTTAAAGTGTTGGCTTTGGCTGCTGTGTGGAGATTGGATTAGAGCGGGGGTGTTAAGGAAGAGGGAGGGATTTGGGTTCCTGGTGAGAATCAAAGTGGCTGGGGCCAGGGTTTGGTGTTGTGGGTGGGGAAGAATAGAAAGTGATCTTTTTTTTTTTTTTTTTTGAGACTGAGTCTTGGTCTGTTACCCTGGCTGGAGTGCAATGGTGTGATCCCGGCTCACAGCAACTTCCGCTTCCGGGATTCAAGCAGTTCTGCCTGAGCCTCTTGAGTAGCTGGGATTACAGGCATGAGCCACTATGCCCGGCTAATTTTTGTATTTTTAGTAGAGATGGGGTTTCACCATCAAGGCCAGGCTGGTCTCAAACTCCTGGTCTCAAGTGATCTGCCCGCCTCCGCCACTCGAAGTGCTGGTATTATAGGTGTGATTAGAAGTGAAAATTAATTGGACTTGGTTGGTGAGGGAGTGGTCAAAGGTAACTCCCAGGTTTCTGGCTTCTGTTATTATGAGTAAAACAGAAGAGTGACTGAACTTCATTAATATATTTTCCATTTGTTGTGGTCATGCAAAAAAATGTTTTCCATCTGTTCCATTTAAAGATGAATAACAAAAATAAACCCTTATTTACTCTGTAGGGATAAATCTTTTTGAGAAAAAGATTTAAAGCCTTTGAGTCTCCCACCTTTCTCCCCAGAGGTAATGACTATCCTGTATTTTGGTTAATCTTGACTTTGCTGTTGATTGCTTTTTACCACATATGCATGTTTTCCTGAATGATATAGTGATTTGTTTAGTGTGTTTTTCAACTTTATATTTATTCTGATTAGGGTTCATTGATAATTTTATTTATTTATTTTTATTTTTTAACTCTTTTTACTTTTTTATTTTTTACACTGTAGAAGTTATCATTATAAACTTTTTCAATCCAAGGGTTTATAACAGTATTTTTTTTTTTTCATTTTCGAAAGACATTTTTTCAGTGTTTCACTCTGTCACCCAAGCTGGAGTGCAGTGGTGTGATCTCGGCTCACTGCAACCTCTGCCTCCCAGGTTCAAGTGATGCTCCTGCCTCAGCCTCCCAAGTAGCTGGGACTACAGGTGCAAGCCACCACACCCAGCTAATTTTTTGTATTTTTAATAGAGACAGGGTTTCATCATGTTGACCAGGCTGGTCTTGAACTCCTGACCTCAAGGCATCTGCCCGCCTTGGCCTCCCAAAGTGCTGGGATTACAGCCATGAGCCACCATGCCTGGCTGGTTTATCACAGTCTTAATAAAATTGGGAAAAAATTTGAAAACCAGAATAACCAAAAGGATGGCTGGGCATGGTGGTTCACACCTGTAATCCCAGTCTTTGGGAGTCCAAGTCAGAGAATTGTTTGAGCTCATGAGTTCCAGGCCAGCCTGGGTTATATATGTGCATATATATATATACCCAAAAGGTAGAAGAAACCAAATGGGGTCATCCACCCAACGAAATATCATGCAGCCTTGAAGGAGGCCCTGGAGAAGACTCTGTTACAACGTGAATGGACGGTTAGGACATTACACCTAGTGAAATATGAAAGTCACAAAAGGACAAATACCGTCTCCTGTAAAATAAGATTCTTAAAAACAATAACAAAAAGGGCAAATGCATATGAACACACTTCTCTGAGGTCCCTAGAGGAGTCAAATTCATAGAGACAGAAGTGGAATGGAGGTTACCTGGGACTGGGGGAGGGGGCAATGGATTAGGGTTAGGGTAGGGTTCGGGTTAGGGTTAGAGTTGGAGTTTAATAGGGACAGAACTTCAGGGTTGCAGGATGAGAACGTTCTGGAAATCAGCTGCACAACAATGTGTGTGTACTGAACACTTGAAAATGGTGAAGGAGGTAACTCTGATGTACCATGTTATGTAGCACAATTCAAAATTTGGTCCAAGAAGAAAAGGCTCCTCCAGCTCCACCCACCCCAGCCCAACCACAGCAGCCCCTTCTCCACTCAGGCCTGTTTACCTCAAGCCCCAGGCTTGGCCCCCAGAATCCAGGGGACCTCACCTGCTGCCCAGCCTCTGCCTGCCCTACCCCACTCCCCACCACACCTAGGGCCTCCCTCAGGCCGAGCTTTCCTGGGTCCTCCTGCCTGCACCCGCCTGACTTCCTGCTGGTTGTCCTGGACCTCTCAGGGAAGATGTCACCCTCATGGGCCCTTCCTGTCTCCTGCTTGTTGCCCCCTTAGTTCCCTCTACCTCCTGCTTCATCTTGCTGAGTTCGGAACATTCTTGGCTAAAGGTCAGAGGAGACTCACTAACAGGCACGCCCTTAATTGATTGATTGATTCACTCCAAAGGCAAAGCCAGTCAGGAGCTTTCCCAGCCATCCTGAGGTTTGGTTTTGTTTTGTTTTGTATTTTGTTCGGTGTTTTTTTTTTTTTTTGAGACGGTGTCTCACTCTCTCGCCCTGGCTGGAGTGCAGTGGCGCCATCTTCCGCACACTCTGCCTCCCAGGTTCAAACGATTTTCCCACCTCAGCCTCCCGAGTAGGTGGGGTTACAGGTGTGCACCACCACGCCCGGCTAATTTCTTTTAAATTTTTTAAATTTTTATTTACTTTGTTTTAGATGGAGTCTCACTCTGTTGCCAAGGCTGGAGTGCAGTGGCACAATCTTGGCTCACTGCAATCTCCACCTCCCAGGTCCAAGTGAGTCTCCCGCCTCAGCCTCCCAAGTAGCTGGGATTACAGGTTCCCGCCACCATGCCCGGCTAATTTTTGTATTTTTAGTAGAGATGGGGTTTTACCATGCTGGCCAGGCTGGTCTCAAACTCCTGGCCTCATGTGATCTGCCCGCCTCAGCCTCCCAAATGGATGGGATTACAGACAATGGCCACCGCACCCAGCCGAGTTTCGTATTTGTTTTTGTTTTTGTTTTTTTGACACTGAGTCTCGCTCAGTTGCCCAGGCGGGAGTGCAGTGGCATGATCTCAGCTCACTGCAACCTCCGGCTCTTGGGTTCAAATGATTCTCCTGCCTCAGCCTCCTGAGTAGCTGGGATTACAGGCGGGCACCACCATGCCTGGCTAATTTTTGTATTTTTAGTAGAAACGGGGTTTCACAATGTTGGCCAGGCTGGTCTCAAACTCCCGATGTCGTGATCTGCCCACCTCGGCCTCCCAAAGTGCTGAGATCACAGGCCTGAGCCACCCTGCCTGGCCCGAGTTTCCTTTTGGAATTTTTGACAAACTGTAGATTCACACGTAATAGTAAGAAATAATACAAGCAGGCTGTGCACGGTGGCTCAAGCCTGTAACCGCAGCACTTTGGGAGGCCGAGGTGGGTGGATCACCTGAGCTCAGGAGTTCAAGACCAGCCTGGGCAATATGGCAGAATCCCAATTATATAAAAAAATACAAAGAATTAGCCAGGCATTGTGGCGTGTGCCTGTGGTACCAGCTACTCCTGAGGCAGAGGTGGAAGGTTGGTTTAAGCCTGGGCTGCAGAGGTTGCAGTGAACCGAGATTGCACCACCACGCTCCAACCTGGGTGACTGAGTGAGAAAACATCTCAAAAAAAGGAAAAAGAAAGGAAGAAAAATAATAAAAGAATGGCCTTGGCCAAGCGTGGTGGCTCATACCTGTAATCCTAGCACATTGGGACGAGGCGGGTGGATTGCGAGGTCAGGAGTCTGAGACCAGCCTGACCAACATGGTGAAACCCTGTCTCTACTAAAAATACAAAAATTAGGCGGGTGTGGTGGCACAAGCCTGTAATTCCCCGCTACTCAGGAGGCTGAAGCAGGAAAATCACTTGAACTCGGGAGGCAGAGGTTGCAGTGAGCCGATATCATGCCACTGCACTCCAGCCTGGGCTACAGAGCATGGCTCTGTCTCAATAAAAAAAAAGAAAGAAGGAAAGAAAGAAAGAAGGAAGGAAGGAAGGAAGGAAGGACAAATGCCTTGTGCACTTTGCTTAGTTTCCCTCAATGACGTAATCCCCAGTTATTATTCAGATTTCCCCAGTGTTACCTGTACTCGTGTGCATATGTGTGGGAGTGTGTATACAATTTTATCACCCAAGTAGGTTTGTGTGTAACGGCACCATAGTTGAGATACTGAAGAGCTCCAACCCCACAGGGTCACTTTTATAACCAGGTCACCTCTTTCCTCCACCTCTTCCCCTGTCCCTAATCCCTGGCAATCTGCTATGCATCCTGTGTCTCTAATATTTTGTCATTTCAACTAAGTTACATCAATGCAAACAAACAATGTGTGATCTCTTGGGAAGGGCGTTTTTTTTCACTTAACATAACTTCCTGGAGCTTCATCCAAGCGTGTGCCAGCAGCTGGCTCCTCCGTAGTGCTGAGCACTATTTCACGGGATGGAAGCACCACAGTGTGTTTAACCAACCACCTGCTGAAGGAAGCTTGAGCAGCTTTCAGTTTTGGCTTTTATAAATAAAGCTGCTATGAGCATTCATGGGTAGGTTTTTGAGTGAACATGTGTTTTCATTTGTCTTGGATAAATGGCCAGGGCTGTATGTTGGTTGCATGTGTAGTTTTTGGAGAAATTACCAGCTTGTTTTGCAGATTGGCTGTACCATTACGTGTCCACCAGCAAGCTGAGTGACTTTTTCAGCATACTTGCCAGCATCTGGTGTTGTCATATTTTGTATTTCAGCCGTTCTGATAGCTGTGTAGTGGGAAGTTTCTTTCAATGCTCTTCTTATGATGACCTTAAGCAATCCTCGCTACAATTCGCCCTGGTTTCCTAACTCAGGCCTGTAATCCTAGCACTTGGGGAGGATGAGGCTGGAGGATCCTTTGAGGCCAGGCTGGGCAACATGGAGAGACCCTGTCTTTACAAAAAATTAAAAAATTACTCAGGTGTGGTGGTGCACACCTTTCGTCTTGGCTATTCTGGAGGGTGAGGTGGGAGAATCACTTGAGCCCAGGAGATTGAGGCTGCAGTGAGCCATGTTTGAGCCACTGTATTGCAGCCCAGGTGACATAGGGATACCCTGTCTCAGGAAGAAAAAGAAAAACAGAAAAAGAAGAAATATCAATAAACGTGTGTGAAAAGGTGTCTACCAATGTAGAAGAGACCACACTGGGTGGGGTGGTGTCCCAGATCCCAGACTGGCCAAGATTTAAAAGTCCATCCCTGGGGAGCTGGCAGGAAGTGGAGGAACCAATAGGAGCAGCGTTCTGAATGTTGAGCTGTGCACATCCCACGAGACAGCAATTCTGTCCTGGGTAGGTGTCCTGGAGAAACTTGGCACATGTCCAGGAGGAAAGCACCAAACGTGTACAAAGTGGCATTGTTTAAATAGCCAGACATGGAAACAGCCCCAAATGTTGATTGACAACAGAAAAGATAAAATGTCGCAGGGCACGGTGGCTCATGCCTGTAATCCCAGCACTTTGGGAGGCCGAGGCGGGCAGATCATGAGGTCAGGAGTTCGAGACCAGCCTGACCAACATGGTGAAACCCCATCACTACTAAAAATACAAAAATTAGCTAGGTGTGGTGGTGCACACCTGTAATCCCAGCTACTCAGGAGGCTGAGGCAGGAGAATCTCTTGAACCTGAGAGGCAGAGGTTGCAGTGAGTCGAGATCGTGCCACTGCACTCCAGCCTGGGCGACAGAGGGAGACTCTGTCTCAAAAAGACAAAAAGAGAGAAGATAAAAAGTCAATTGTTTCATGATTGGAATCGTATACAGCAATGGAAATAACCAGTTGTAATATGCAACAGATTAAATGAATCTCACAGACATAAAGCTGGACAAAAGATGCAAATCACAAAAGAATACATAGGATCCAACATATCTTTTATGTATATAAAGTTGAAATTAGGCAAAACTAAACTATATGAGGGATAAAACTATGAAGAGGAAATGAGTATCAAAAAATTCAGGGAGACCAGGTGCAGTGACTCATACCTGTAAGCTCAGCACTTTGGGAGGCCAAGGTAAGAAAGATTGCTTGAGCCCAGGGGTTTGCAACCAGCCTGATCAACATAGGGAGATTCTATCTCTAGAAAAAATTTAAACATTAGCTTTGTGTGGTGGCACATGCCTGTACTCCCAGCTACTTGCGAGGCTGAGTTGGGAGGCTCACTTGAGCCAGAGTGTGAGGCTGCGGTGAATTACAATGCTGCCACCGCACTCCAGCCTGGGTGGGAGAACAAGACTCTGTCTGTAAATAAACAAACAAAAACCAACAAACAAACCCAACAACTCAGTTTCCTTTGGTGACAAAGGAATGGGAATTATGAACAGGGAAGGTATGGGGTGGGGTGGGGAGATCCTGGTCATAGTCCATTTCTTGATCCGGGTGGTGGTTTCTTCAGTGTTCAATTCTGTAATTATTCTTTAGGTCATAGCTCTCTGTTTTAAACACTGATTTAAGCACTGTTTAAGCTTTCTGTTTAAAGCACAGATTTTCACTGGTTACTTAACTTCATGTCGTTAATTTTTGTTCTGTCTGATCTTGATTAGTTGTTTCACAAATTCATGTTTTTTCACTTGTGTTCTGAAAAAAATTTTATTTAGTCCTTTGATTTTTTTTTTTTTTTTTGTGAGACTGAGTCTCGCTGTATCACCCAGGCTGGAGTGCAGTGGCGTGATCTCGGCTCACTGCAACCTCTGCCTTCCAGGTTCAAGCGATTCTCCTGCCTCAGCCTCCTGAATAGCTGGGTTACAGGCACCTGCCACCATGCCCAGCTAAGTCTTTTTTTTTTTTTTTTTTTTTTTTGGAGAGACGGGGTTTCACCATGTTGGCCAGGCTGGTCTTGAACTCCGGACCTCAAGACCTCAAGTGATCCACACGCCTCGGCCTCCCAAAGTGTTGGGATTACAGGCGTGAGCCACGGAGCAAGCCTAGTCCTTTGATCTTAAAGTTATCAGAAACTTGTCCTAAGAGTACTTGGTAATGTCTTTACCATGAATCTGATTGGAAACGTTTTTAGGGAAGGACAACACTGTGGATGACAGAGACTTTGAATAGCCATTCTTAAAAATATGATTGAAGTTCAGACCTGACATGGAGGTTCACACCTGCAATCCTAGAACTTTGGAAAGAACTTTGGGAGGACAGCTTCAGACCAGGAAATGCAGACCAGCCTGGGCAACATAGCAAGATCTCATCTGCATAAAAAATAAAAACATGGCCGGGTGCGGTGGCTCACGCCTGTAATCCCAGCACTTTGGGAGGCCGAGGAGGGAGGATCAGGAGTTCAGGAGACTGAGACCATCCTGGCTAACACGGTGAAATCCCGTCTCTACTAAAAAAAATACAAAAACTTAGCCATGCGTGGTGGCGGGCGCCTGTAGTCCCAGCTACTCAGGAGACTGAGGCAGGAGAATGGCGTGAACCCGGGAGGCAGAGCTGGCAGTGAGCCGAGATGCCCCACTGCACTCTAGCCTGGGCGACAGAGCGAGACTCCATCTCAAAATAAATAAATAAATAAAAATAATAAAATAAAATAAAAAATAAAAACATTAGCTAGGCATGGTTACATGCACTTAAAGTCCCAGTTAATCGGGAGGCTGAGGCGGAAGCATCACTTGAACCCAGGAATTCAAGACTGCCGTGAGCTATGATTGTGCCACTGCACTCCAGCCTGGGTGACAGAAAGAGAGTCTCTACTTATATTTAAAAAAAAAAAATCTGATGATAGTTTATTGTAATTAGTAATTGACAAGGAAGTTTGGTTATTTCTGTGACATACAATGTAATCGTGGAGTGAAATCCCCAGTGAAATATTAGATTTCTAAGAGTTTTATCCAATGATGCAATGATGGAATTTTCATAGACCTTGTCTATACAAAAATAAAAAAGCCAGTTGTGGTGGCACACACAAAAAAGTTAGCACAGTAGGTGGTAGTCCTAACTACTCAGGAGGCAGAGGCAGGAGAATCCCTTGAGCCCTGTTGGTCAAGGTGGCAATGAGCCAAGACCACACCACTGCACTGTAACCTGGATGACAGAGCGAGACCCTGTCTCAGAAAAAAAGAAAAGAAAAGAAAGCTTTAGTTTAGATGTGAAATATATTTCAGAAGTAAAAATTAATAACTCTTTTAGATTTTCTAAGAGCTGATCTATACTTCAAGAAAACTTTGTTGTACTAACACAGGGGACCAAATTTTTAGGTATTTTTTTTTTTTTTCTTTTTTGAGAAAGACCCTCACTCTGTCACCCAGGCTGGAGTGCAGTGGCGTCATCTCTGCTCACTGCAACTTCCGCCTCCCACGTTCAAGCAATTCTCCTGCCTCAGCCTCCCAGCTAGCTGGGATTACAGCCACCCGCCAACACACCCAGCTAATTTTTGTATTTTTCGTGGAGACGAGGCTTCCCCATGTTGAGCAGGCTAGTCTCGAACTCCTGACCTCAAGGTATCTGCCCGCCTCAGCCTCCCAAAATGCTATGATTATAGGCATGAACCACCACACGCGGCCGCAAATTTTTGGTTTTTTAATCAGAGTAGTTTTTTTTTTCTTTTTCTTTCTCTTTCTTTCTTCTCCTTTTTTTTTTTTTCCTTCTAGAGCCATAAGAGGACAATATCAGTGTAGGTTTTTTTTTTTTTGAGATGGAGTCTCACTCTGTTGCCCAGGCTGGAGTACAGTGGCACAATCTTGGGTCACTGAAACCTCTGCCTCCCAGATTCAAATTCAAGCGATTCTCCTGCCTCAGCCTCCAGAGCAGCTGGGATTTCAGACATGTCCCGTCATGCCCGGCAAACTTTTGTATTTTTAGTAGAGATGGGGTTTCACCATGTCGGCCAGGCTGGTCTCCAACTCTTGACTTCAAGTGATCCACCCACCTTGGCCTCCCAAAGTCCTGGGATTACAGGGATGAGCCACTGTGCCCAGCCTCAGTGTAGTTTTAATATGAAAGCTCAATCCTTAGACTCATAAATAATTTCCTTCTAATTTTAGCCAACCTGATCACATACAAAAATTTCTTTCACAAATTCATCCTTCACAAACCTTTCATGACTTAGCAATTCCATGACATGCTTAGACCTCTGCTTTGACCTAAACTTCCCCTTTCTTAATTAATAAGTTGTTTTATTTAGGACAGAAAATTTACCACACAAGATCCTTTGTCATTCCGAATTCTTTTTTTTTTTAACTGTTTTTACCAAAAATATATCTTCATACCTGTAACATTCTTCACATCTCTCTCCTACTTACTGGTTCCTTTCTGTCTTGTTTTTATTTAGTTCATACATCCATATTTTGAGACAACATTATATAATCTCCAAATTAGACAAAATTATTCCTTTATTTCCGTGAATAACACATTTTGGCCAGGTGCAGTGGCCCACACCTGCAATCTGAACAGTTTGGGAGGCTGTGGCAGAAGGATCACTGGAACCTAGGAATTCGAGACCAGGCTGGGCAGCATAGCAGACTCCTATCTCTATTTTTCTTAATTTATAAAAAGTTCAAATAATTTTAAATATACAACAATACCAAATAAAGCAAAAACATGCTTTTACACATTTTAAATAATTTTTCTTGTCAAAAATGCATCTTTTTTTTGGTACACTTGGTCCACGGAATTGTATAGATTAATTAGAATTTTTAACTCTTAGCAACCTTAATTTCTAGTGAAAAACCAGCTAGCAAAAGAAAAAAGTATTTTTTTCTTTTTTTTTTTGAGATGGAGTTTTGCTCTTGTCACCCAGGCTGGAGTGCAATGGCATGCTCTCAGCTCACTGCAATCTCCACCTCTCGGGTTCTAGTGATTCTCCTGCCTCAGCTTCCCCAGTAGCTGGGATTATGGGCACCCGCCACAACACCCAGCTAGTTTTTGTATTTTTAGTAGAGACAGGGTTTCGCCATGTTGGCCAACTGACCGTCACATATCAGTATTTTACAGATGAAAACCGTTTATAATTTTAGAAACATCACTGTTTTATGTGTATCAGTACAACCCCAATATATTTGGTAGTTCTATCAGATTTTAAGAAGCCACAAACACACTTATATTTATGTTCGGCAATTTATGTTTTTGTGTCTTATTTGGAAATGACCCCTATATTTAATGAGTATCTGTCACTTAATGTAACATAACCTGACTTTAAGATTTCATATTCTGGCTGGGTGTAGTGGCTCTTGCCTGTAATTCCAACACTTTAGGAGGCCGAGGCGGGCCGATCAACTGAGGTCGGGAGTTCGAGACCAGCCTGACCAAGGTGGAGAAACCCCATCTCTACTAAAAATACAAAAATTATCTGGGCTTGGTGGTGCATGCCTGTAATCCCAACTTGGGAGGCTGAGGCAGGAAAATCCCTTGAACTCAGGAGGCCGAGGTTCTGGTGAGCCAAGATCATGCCATTGCACTCCAGCCTGGGCAACAAGAGAGAAACTCCATCTCAAAAAAAAAAAAGATTTCAAATTCCGACTGGACGCGGTGGCTCACACCTGTAATCCCAGCACTTTGGGTGGCCAAGAGGGGAGGATTTCTTGAGACCAGGAGTTCGAGACCAGCCTGGTCAACATGGTGAAACCCTAAAATTAGCTGTGCATGGTGGCACATGCCTGTAGTCCCAGCTACTTGGCAGGCTGAGTCAAGAGAATCACTCGCACTGAGGTTGCGGTGAGCCGATATCGCACTACTGCACTCCATCTTGGGCCACAGTGAGAGAATCTGCCAAAAAACAAACAACAAGCAAGCAAACAAAAAAATCTCAAATTCTATGAAAAGCTTATTTATAGACATTTATGCCATTTACAGTTACCTAATTTATATTTTTAACAACTATATCCCCATTAATTTTGAATACTGAGATATTACACAAAGCTAGTCGTCATTTCAGGTTTTTTTCCTGTTCACAACTTTTGTAGCCTGTGACTCTCAGATGTTCACCTAAGAATCTTAAAATTAAATAAATAGATATTTTGCCAGTAACTTGTAAGACAGAGCTATTTTCATTAAAGTAGCAATACTAAATTAGTTTTATTTATCAAAGAACTCCACAAACAAAGATCACTTTGTTTTTAGGTTGGGTTTAAGGTTTTATAACCTTGAGGCATCTAGCAGAGACACATATGATCCCATCTGACCCGCAAACCCAGTGGAAAATGTACACTGCAAACGCTAAAGATGGACATGCACGGTGGCTCACGCCTGTAATCCCAGCACTCTGGGAGGCCGAGGCGGGTGGATCGCTTAAGGCCAGGAGTTCGAGACCAGCCTGGCCTACATGGCAAGGCCCATTCTCTATTAAAAATACAAAACAATTAGCCGGGGGTGGGGAGGCGTGCCTGTAGTACCATCTATTCAGGAGGCTGAGGCATGAAAATTCCTTGAACCTAGGAGGTGGAGGTTGCAGTGAGCCGAGACTGCACCACTGCACTCCAGCCTGGGTGACAGAGCAAGACTCTGCCTAAAAAAAAAAAAAAGAAACAAAGAAAGAAAGAAAGAAAAGAAGGTGCTAAATATATTTTATTTTTATTTTATCAACACATTTAAAACTAGCCTATTTATCAAAGATATAGTTAGATCATGTGAACTAAAAGGTATTTGGGTTCATTTTTATGTTATATATGTATACATGTATTTATATATGTATGTGTGTATACATGTATGCATATACATACATAGATATGTGTGTGTATATATCTGTGTGTGTATATATAATATATGTAATATATATTATATATGTTTTATATATATATATTATATATATATTTGAGATAGGGTCTCGCTGTCACCCAGGCTGGAGCGCAGTGGTGCAATCACAGCCCACTGCAGCCTCTATTTCTCGAATTAAAGTGATTCTCCTGCCTCAGCCTCCCCACTAGCTGGGACTACAGGCACACGCCACCAAGCCCAGCTAATTTTTGTATTTTTTTTTTTTTGTAGAGATGGGGTTTTGCCATGTTGATCAGGCTGGTCTGGGACTCCTGAGCTCAAGCAATCTACCCACCTTGACCTCGCAAAGTGGTGGGACTAAAGACGTTTGACACTGCACCCGGCCTACATACATATTTTTTTTAGAGATGGGGTATTGCTGTGTTGCTCAGGCTGGCCTCGAACTCCTAGTCTCAAGTAATCCTCCTGCCTCAGCCCCCTGAGTAGCTGGGAATACAGGCATGCTCCACCATGCCCTGCTCACTATATATTTTAACAAGTTTAATTTATCTTTTTTTTCTTTTTTTGTTTTTTTAAGACAGAGTCTCGCTCTGTCACCCAGGCTGGAGTGCAGTGGCATGATCTCAGCTCACTGCAGCCTCTGCCCCCGCTGGTTCAAGTGATTCTCCTGCCTCAGCCTCCTGTGTAGCTAGGAATACAGGTGCACACCACCAGCCCCAGCTAATTTTTTTTTTTTTTTTTTTTAGTAAAAATGGGGTTTTGCCATGTGGCCCAGGCTTGTCTCGAACTCCTCACCTCAGCTGATCCACCTGCCTCAGCCTCCCAAAGTGCTGGAATTACAGGCATGAGCCACCATGTCCAGCCACCCCAAATAGAATTTCTTAAGGGATGTCTAGCTGACCATGCCAGATTTCAACTTGGAGACACGACATACGACATGCAAAAACATACATACATAGACAGAAACACAAATAAGACCTTATAGCTTTCATTTTAGAATTGTAGTCATGAGACAGCAAAACATTGTAATGTGGACTCACAGGTTTATAAAACACAGTTGGATCCAAATGAGATTTCTGAGAAAATGGGAGAGGTCCCAAAGCTAAACTTTAAGATTTTCAGGGCCAGGCCCCGTGGCTCATGCCTATAATCCCAGCACTATGGGAGGCCGAGGCGGGCATATCACCTGAGGTCAGAAGTTGGAGACAAGCCTGGTCATGATGTTGAAACCCTGTCTCTACTAAAAATACAAAAAGTAGCCGGGTGTGGTGGTGTGCACCTGTAATCCTAGCTACTTGGGAGGCCGAGGCAGGAGAATCACTTGAACCCAGAAGGCGGAAGTTGCAGTGAGGTGAGATCACTCCACTGCATTCCAGCCTGGGCGACAACAGAGAAACTCCATCTCAAAAAAAAAAAAAAAATTGTCATTTGTCTTGATAAGCAATCTTATGAGGGCAGCAACCAAAACTTTGGGTAAAACAGTTTTCTTTTCTTTTCTTTTTTTGAGATGGAGTTTCGCTCTTGTTGTCCAGGCTGGAGTGCAATGGCTCGATCTCGGCTCACTGCAACCTCAGCCTCCAGATTCAAGCAATTCTCCTGCCTCAGTCTCTCAAGTAGCTGGGATTACAGGCGTGCGCCACCACACCTGGCTAATTTTGTATTTTCAGTAGAGACAGGGTTTCACCATATTGGTCAGGCTGGTCTGGAACTCTTGATGCCAAGTGATCCACGTGCCTTGGCCTCCCAAAGTGCTGGGGTTACAGGCATCAGCCACCGCGCCTGGCAAGCAGTTTAGTTTTCTGGTTTTTATTTTAATCTCTTTGAGCCCACCTTTATCCTTTTTCAGTTTCAAATGAGATTAAGGATTAAATACTAACTGTTTAATTTTAGCTAGGACTGGCTGGATTTTGTACAAGAAACAAAATCTCCTAGCAGTTTTGAAAAGTCCAATAACAAATTTCTCTTCTGTTTGCCACTCTCAGTTGCTTGACAGCTCCGTGCCGGTGGGAAGCATTTTAGCAGTTCGTTCAGCTCTTCCTGGCCCCTGTGTAGCAGAGAAGCAGTTTTTATGCCAGAAACAGAGATCCTTTTCATTATTGCTCTGAGCTCATGATTTTGACCTGTTTAATCTGGGTGCCTAACATTTATAAACATTTCTCTCATTCTGTTCTTTTCTAATATCAATCCTTCCGTGGACTGTTCCATCACCCGAAGCAACTGTTAGGCAAACCTGAATTTACATTTCCAAAAGGTCTCTAGGTTGTTGTTTGCCACGGAGCTGTTGTAATTTATAGAGCCATTAATTTGAAAGCCCTTCAAGACCCCTTCCTTAGTGGTTTTTATGTTGGCTGGAGTGTGATATTATCAGTTTATCTTAATGCCAGCAGAAATGTCAGCAGATTCCAAGTAGGCAGAAAAGAGAGAGACAGAAGTAGACAACTTAGAAGGCTCTCCATTTAACTTTGTAGTTGGCAGTTTAAAAATTCAGTATTAGGAAAAAGCAAATTTGAGGAGTTCAAATGATTCCAATGATGGCCATTGATTTTGAAATGTGCACAGGGAAAGCCATGTAGCTGCCTGGAGTCCCAGAAAATCTGGCACGCCTTAGTGTCTGAGAATGCCATTCCATTTCTTTTTCATCTCTGAGAAGCAAAGAAAATCCTATAAACCCTGTCAGGGACTGTCAGGAGTCTGGACCAGTGTTTTAGATGGTGGTGACACCCTGGGTTCTTTCAGTTGGCTTTCTCACACTCACCATATGTGTATTTTTTGAGACAATTCTCACTGTTAAACAGGCTTTAGTGCAGTGGCAGGACCACAAGTCATGGTAGCCTCGACCTCCTGGGCTCAAGCAATCCTCCCACATCAGCCTCCTGATAGCTGGGACTACAGGTGGGAGCTGCCACACCCAGCTAATTTTTGTGTTATTTGTAGAGGTGGGGTTTCATCATGTTGCCCAGGCTGGTCTCCAACTCCTTAGCTCAAGCCATTCTCTCACCTTGGCCTCCCAGAGTGCAGGGATTACAGACAGGAGCCACCTCGAGGGGCCGACCCTCACCGTGTGTACGTGTGTTTTAACATTTCCTATGGTGCTAAACTATTTATGTTTATTTTTGCTGTGGGATGATCAGAAGATGTTCAGGAACAAGCAAGAAAAAAAAATGAGCCAAATCATTTAAAGACGTGGGAAACCAAACCAAAATCAAACCCAAATCAGAATGCTCACAAAATTTCAACCAAGGTGTACACATCAAACATAATATTCAGTCAGGCATCCAGAACCAAAAGTGAATTCACCAGGAAAGACTTGCCTCATGGACAGAACATAAATTCTTTAGAACTCAGAGTCCTCAAACCAGAAGGGCACTGCTCTTTACACCAGAAAGTGCTTGCCAAAAGCAAAGAAGCAAAAAAAAGAAAGAAAGAAAGAAAGAAAGAAAGAAAGAAAGAAAGAAAGAAAGAAAGAAAGAAAGAAAGAAACCCAACCTTTATACCCTCAGGAGGGATGCAAGGTCCTTTGTTTAAGGGAGCCTTATAATCAAATCACATCCAGGATAAAGTAAAAAGGAACTGACCAAAGGGAGGGAATCTGGGTATTTGAGGAGATTCACCAGAACAGAAAAGCAACTCCTGGAAAGGCAGTCTGCGGGGGGCTCAGTCAACACTGCGTTAGATTCCAGGACACGCTGATTCATCCAAGATGAATTCACTTCGGTCCCACTTCTGGCTCCGCTATGTGACACTGCATAACAAATACAGAAAGACTCTAAAATAAAATGAACTTTCTTTGGAAATAGGTATTGCTTGGGAATAAGCAGGCCATAGGAAAGCACGTGTGAATTTAGGGAGGTGAAGGAAGACAAAGGTTTTTAAAGGAAAATGGAGGAGGATCACAGGATTGTTTTGAGATATTTATCCTTGGCTACAAGGATCAAGGATATGCGTGGCACCAGTCTGAGGATGGACGGGTGGTTGCTGGGCAGATGTCCTTGCAGAAATATTTTTCGATGAAAGGTTAAGAAGGCCTTTGTGCAAGGTGGAACTGGGCCTGGACCACTGGCATCACCCACTCACCCACAGCCTCAGCTTCCCTTTTGGAGACACTGCAGGGGAGCCAAGGAGCTGGGCCTCGGACCCCTCTTTATTGGCAGTCTGTGCAGGGTGACCAGGACTGTGTGGTCACAGGCTAAACCCAAGTCACCTCCTATTGGCCGCGATTGCTGTGCTCTGGGTCAACTGTGCATTGGTACCATGGGGGCCGCACTCGCAGCCCCAAGCCTTCTTCTGGCAGGGCTCTCCGTTGCTCTCCCTGGATCAGGAACTGGGGGAAGTGAGCGAGGCCAACCAGAAGCCCAGACGCCCTGGGGAGACCTCATCCTGGACAGGCGTTCCCAGGAGTACAAGGAAGCTCCCTGGTGAAGGTGCGCAGGCGCTGTGCGGGCAGCCCAGGCACTCCATCAGGGCCCCCTTATCCTTTAGGAGGAGTCCTCCCCGGCCGGTGCTCCAGGGCTGTGGGCTGGGGCATGACGGCCCCCAGCTGCGTAGCTCCAGCCCCTTTCTAGCCGGCTGGTGGGCAGCTCGTAATGGGGACGCGGGATCCGAAGGGACCCCTCCCGGGAGTACCCGCTGCCCTTACTGGTCCTGGGACACGGCTGGACCCCTCGGGCTGGCAGCTCGGCGGCAGAAAAGGCAGCGGGCGCTGGGAGACAGCGGCTGCCCACGCAGTTCTGCTCAGGCTCAGGCTCTGGTTTCGAGCGGGCCCGCTAGTCCTGGTCCTGCTCGAGTGCGCACCTGCGGGGTAAATGGCGCCGAATCCCTGCAGCCGTTGCCGCCATCGCGGCCGCTGCGCGGAGCCTCCCGGCTTCGTCTCCTTGCGCCCCGCGGGAGGTGAAACTTCACCCAAGTTTGGGTTCTGGGGAGAACGTATTGAAGCCGGGAGTGGCTCGGGTCGGGGTCACAGACTGGGAATGGGGGTGGGTGGGGGGACGGAGCCGGTCTCCATCAGGGCCGTCCAGGGGGTGGGCTGTGTATCCACGACCCTGGGGCGTTGGCGCTCGCCCCTGGGGAAGGAGCGGGTGGGCTGTCGGGCCACCGAGTAGAAGGAGCCAGCGATCGGGGTTGAGTGGTAGATCCTGCGGACTTCCGCAAGGACAAAGTTTGGTTCTTTGGCCGCTTTGTGGAGCCTCTGTCTGTGTCCAGCGCGGAAAGCGGAAAGTGCAGCATAGACGCGCTCCTGACCCCACCTCCTCACTCCAGCCTCCGCTTCTCCACCCCCCACCCCCATTCTGCCCGGCCTTGGCTGGGGCAGGTCCTGGACCAGAAAGGCGAAGGGAAGAGGGACAGCCTTTCAATGAAGGCCCACTACGTGCCAGGCCCCGTGCCTGGCTCCTCCCCCTTCCCATCAGGGCCCTCCCAACCCAGGGACCCGCACGTGTGTGCAGGGAGGGGGACAGGGGAGAAGACTCCACTGTGCACGCGGGGGTGGTGGCCCCGCCGAGCCCTCCTGGTCCCTGGTTTCCCCAGTGAATGAGGCTCGCGGCTGGGGCCTCTGCACCCAGGCCTGTGTCTCTCCTCGCGGTGCCCCGGAACCCCGTCGGGCTGCGGCGTCTCATTAGCCTGCCTCTGTCCTTCCCGCAGCTGAGGCCCCAGGGGCCACGCGGAGGCTCACGAGGAGGCCGGCGGCCACGCGCATCCCGTAGCCCAGGTGGCCCAGGGCTGCACCCCGGCGGCCTCGGCGCCATGGAGTCCTGGTATTCGCTGATGGCGCACTACGATGAGTTCCAGGAGGTCAAGTATGTGAGTCACTGCGGCGCGGGGGGCGCTTGCGGGGACTTTCTGCCCGCAGGCCACCGGGCCCAGGCCGGGCTGCAGCTCTGGAAGCGGCGCAAGTTGAACCTGCTGTCGGGCTGGTGTTTGCAGCCGGCCTCTGCTCCATCCTGGCGGCTATGCTGGTGCTCAAGTACCTGGGCCCGGTCGCGGCCGGCGGCGGAGCCTGTCCTGAAGGCTGTCCTGAGCGCAAGACTTCGCGTGCACCGCTCGCTTCTTGGCCGCCAACCTGGACGCCAGCATCGACCCATGCCAGGACTTATACTCGTTCGCCTGCGGCGGCTGGCTGCGGCGCCATGCCATCCCCGACGACAAGCTCACCTACGGCACCATCGCGGCCATCGGCTAGCAGAACGAGGAGCGCCTGCGGCGCCTGCTGGCTCGGCCCAAGGGTGGACCCGGCGGCGCTGCCCAGCACTAGGTGCGCTCCTTCTTCCGCTTGTGCCTCGAGATGCGCGAGATCGAACGACTGAACCCGCTGCTCATGCTGGAGGTCATCGAGGACTGCGGGGGCTGGGACCTGCGCGGCGCGGCGGAGCGCCGGGGGGTTGCTGCGCGATGGGACCTCAACTGGCTGCTGTAAAAAAGTGCAGGGCGTGTACAGCGCCGCCGCGCTCTTCTCGCTTATGGTCAGCCTGGACGACAGGAACTCTTTGCGCTACGTCGTCCGTGTGAGTGCGCGCGTTGAGCGCCCCGCCAGCTGCCGTAGACCCGGGGCGCAGTGGCCTTGCCCAGGGGTCCCTGAGGGCGGGAGGAGGGTGCGCGAGAGGAGAGGAAGGGAAAGCAGGGGAGGGGAGGGAGCGCACAGTGGCAGCGCGCGGGAGGAGGTCATAAGTAATTTCCCCGGGGTAACTGCGGTGTTCAGCGGTGCAGCCATTTCCCAGCCCTCTGGCAGGCAGTGGGGAGCGGGTGGGGTGCGCGGCAATATATTCAAGCTTATGTACAAAGCATTTGAGGTCTAGTTGAAGAAACAACTTGAAGAATGGTCTCGCAGCAATTACAAACAAATACCCTTCAGCAATTACAAGAAGGCTTTCAATGACTGAACCCGAATACTTGGTTGTCTGGGTTAAACATACGCATTTGGGTGATGGCCGCTATATTCTTTTTTGTATCTGATTGCTAGGGTGATGGCCGCTATATTCTTTTTTGTATCTGATTGCTAGGCTTCTGTAAATGGCTCTGTGCTGCCACCCGAAGCATCTATGACCAGGGAAGAAGGATAGAAGCTTATTTTGCGTTGGATAACCAGCAAGCTCTAAGAATTAAAGAAGGGGGAGATGTGGGGGGTGCACGACGATATATTCAAACTTATGTACAAGGCATTTGAGCTCGAGGCATGGAAAAATACTGAGGCACTGTGTGTACGTTGTTTGTGCGTGAGAATGTAACTCCTTGACACTGAAAACAGGACAAGGAGTGGAATGTGTGATAAGGAGCGCTGAAAACAGCCTCCTAGGAATGTGGTCTGAGTGCTTTTACAAGGCCGTATGTGCCTCATGACCCCACGGCAAAAACCCATCTGGTGGATGTTTGTGGTTTAACAAGCCTTCTAATAAATACTTGGCGGATGGATTTTGGGGCGGCACTCTCTCAGAGGAGTTGCCGCCTGCCCCACTCAGCTGGAATTGTCTGAGTACTTCATTCTCTGGCGTTCACAGCAGCTACAAGCTGCAAGGGGTGACCCCAACGTGACCACCTTGAAATTACGCGTGGAGCAGGTCGACTCATCAACTTTGGGTACTAAAAATACCAAAACTTAGCTGGGCGTGGTGGCGGGTGCCTGTAATCGCAGCTACTCAGGAGGCTGAGGCAGGAGAATTGCTTGAACCCGGGAGGCAGATGTTGCAGTGAGCCGAGATCGCGCCATTGCACTCCAGCCTGGGCAATAAGAGCGAAACTCTGTCTCAAACAAAACAAAACTCTTGCTAAGGAAAGAGCAAATTTTTGAGCAGAAGTTTGAAAATATTTATTTGACACTTGATTTTGGGGTAAACAATGTATTAGACTCATAAACACTCATACCTACACAGGAAAAGGAAGCTTGAGAACAGAATGACCTAATTTCAGAATAATCTTTTTCCTCTTCTTCTTCTTCTTTTTCTTCTTCTTCTTCTTCCTCTTCTTCCTCTTCCTCTTCCTCCTCTTCTTCTTCTTCCTCTTCTTCCTCCTCCTCTTCCTCTTCCTCCTCCTCTTCTTCTTTTCCTCCTCCTCCTCCTCCTCCTCCTCCTCCTCCTCCTCCTCCTCCTCCTCCTTCTTCTTCTTCTTCTTCTTCTTCTTCTTCTTCTTCTTCCTTCTTCTTCTTCCTTCTTCTTCTTCTTCTTGGGATGGAGTTTCACTCTCGTCACCCAGGCTGGAGTGCAATGGTGCGATCTCGGCTCACTGCAACCTCTGCCTCCCGGATTCAAGCGATTCTCTTGTCTCAGCCTCCTGAGTAGCTAGGATTACGAGTGCCTGCCACCACACCTGGCTAATTTTTGTATTTTTAGTAGAGACAGGATTTCACCATGATGGCCAGGCTGGTCTCAAACTTCTGACCTCAAGTGATCTGCCTGTCTCGGCCTCCCAAAAGGCTGGGATTACAAGCATGAGCCACAACTCCTGGCCAGAATAATCTGTTTTTAAAATGTCTTCACTTTTAAAATATAGAAGTCCTTGGGTGTGAGCACTCATGTAAAACCTAAACATGCAGCACCTCCACATTGGTTAGAAAGAGGAACTTTCTAACCCACTGACAACTGGGAAGATAGAAATACACTAGCTGGATTTTACCAAAACCTTTGCATATTTGGTGGATGGAATGTAACAATGAGTATGATGATTTAGTAAGGCCAGCTAATGGTGTCTACCTTCTGTTCACCTCCCATATTTTTATGACAGCCACTAAAACCTAGAATTAGAAAAGAAAAAAAACTGTCCTGAGAGAGCCAGGTCCTCAAATACATGTATATATTTTTCCAGACAGGGTCTTGCTCTGTTGCCCAGGCTAGAGTGCAGTGGAGCAATCTTCTTTCACTGCAGCCTCGACCTCCCTGGACTCAGTTGTTGTTTTTGCAGAGACGGGATCTCACTATGTTGCCCAGGCTATTCTCAAACTCCTGAACTCAAGCGATCCTACCCGCTCTTCCTGCCAAAGTGCTGTGATTGCAGGTGTTGAGCCGCCATGCCTGCCAAATAGATGTTTTACAATGTTAAAATAATTTTCATATGCAAGGAAGCATTCAATCATGCTAATATTTCTAGTGAGCACAAAATGCTTGCTTTTTTTTTTTTCTTAAGACAGAGTGGCTCTGTCGCACAGGCTGGAGTGCAGTGGTATGATCTCAATTCACTGCAACCTCCCAGGTTCAATCAATTCTCCTGCCTCAGCCTCCCAAGTAGCTGGGATTACAGGTGCCGACCACCACGCCCGGCTAATTTTTGTAGTTTTAGTAGAGACCGTGTTTTAGTTTAGACCAGTTTTAGTTTCACCATGTTGGCTGGGCTGGTCTCAAACTCCTCACTTCAGGTGATCCTCCCACCACAGCCTCCTGAGTAGCTGGGACCACAGGCATGGGCCACGAGGCTTGGCTAATTTTTGTATTTTTTGTAATAGTGTAAACTTTGCTGGAAAATGTGGCTGATTTCACCTTTAATTCTTTTCGGCCAGACACGTGGCTCACACCTGTAATCCCAAACTTTGGGAGGCCAAGGCGGGTGGATCACCTGAGGTCAGGAGTTGGAGACCTGCCTGGCCAATATGGTGAAACCCCGTCTCTACTAAAAATACAAAAACTAGCCAGGCATGGTGGTGCACACTTGTTGACCCCTGGCTACTTGGGAGGGTGAGGCAGGATAATGGCTTGAATCTGGGAGGCAGAGGTTGCAGTGAGCCGAGACAAGGTCATTGCACTCCAGCCTGGGCAACAGAGTGAGGCTCTGCCTCAAATAAAAAAAATTCTTTTCAATGTTCTTTTGGGGCAGGTGTGGTACTCACCAAGCATGGCTGTGTTGGGATGGGTGCTCCCGAATGCTTTCGGACGGAGATCAGAAACACCTGGAGTCAGTTCCTTCCCCAGTTCTCACCTCTCCCTGCTACCCTCTACCACCCCCACCATCCACCCAAAAGACAAGACCCTTCTTCTGGCAGCAGCCAGAATACTTATTTTCCACCCAGGGCGGGTCACAGCACTCCTTAAAGACCTCCAACCACATCCCTCTACTCAGACTTCACACTCCCCAACACTACCCACCCTCTTGACCCTCAGATTTACCCCTCTACCCACCCACCCTCTGATCCAGCCCTTGGCCTCCCAGAGCACCTGCTGGCGCTGCCCCAGGGCCTTGGCACTGCTGTTCTGCCTTGCTCAAGCCCCACTCTGTTTAGGTCTCCTGCTCAATCATCTGCTCCTCAGCAGCCCCTCCTGGCCTGCGTTATCCACCCCTCCAGACACTGTGCCCACAGGCACTCATGATTTTCCTCCTAGGAAGTAGTACTGGCATTACATTGTCTAACACTTCCTTTTATTATTTATTTATTTTTAAAATTTATTTGTTTATTTTTGAGGCAGAATCTCGCTCTGTCGCCCAGGCTGCAGTGCAGTGGCATGACCTCGGCTCACTGCAATCTCCGCCGCCCGGGTTCAAGCGATTATCCTGCTTCAGCCTCCTGGGTAGCTGGGACTACAGGCGCATAGATAAGGGGTTTCACCGTGTTAGCCAGGATGGTCTCCATCTCCTGACCTCGTGATCCGCCCACCTCGGCCTCCCAAAGTGCTGGGATTACAAACACTTCCTTTTATTATTGCTTTGTCTCCCAGGAGAGCAGAGGCCCTGGGGAGGCAGGGGAGTCTTCCTTCTTGAGAAATCTATGCCCAGTGTCCAGATGTCTGGGGAGGGACCTTTGGCTCTCGACCAGTGTCCTGCACCCAGGGCTTCCCAGGAGCTCCTCGGATCTCAGTTGGGTGCTGAAATTGGCATGTGGGGGTATGGAACGTCTGAGAAGTTGAGATTTGGGGCAAGCCTTTGCCATGAGGCAGAGGGCCCCCTGGGGGGGTACAGGGGTGTGGAATTAGCTTAGTGGGGGGCAGCCGAAGGCTGTGTCAAAATCCCCCTGGTGATCCCCACCCCAGGAGCCTCCTTGGCCAGCAGGGTGGCAGGAAACCACCCTTCTCCAGGCGTCCTGAAGATCCCGAGTCCTCAAGTCCCACAGGTGATTCAAGGACTGAAGCAAAGATCAGCGGGGCGCGGGGTCTGGGTGCTTCTTTTCCCCAGGAAGGGAGCCTGCCTGGTACCCACTGGGCTGTAGGTGGTGGCTGGATGGCCTGAGCCCCCTCCTTTCCTGGGGTGCAGGCAGCCACAGGGCACAACCTGCAGTCCCTGGGGTTGGGGTAGGGAGTCCGAGAGCAGCCAAGGGGCAGGTTTGGTGTCATGGGCTCAGTCCCCAGAGCGCACGGGGAGGGGAAGGTTCCATGGCAGGACCTCTGTATAGGGACTCCGGGGATGACGACTCGGGCTGGAGGCCAGGCAGGACGACAGGAGGTGGGGAGCAGGAGAACTCCGGGATGGGGAAGCAGGAGCCCCAGGGACGGGACACTCAGGGAGCAGTGGCCGTCTCCAGCAGCAGCAGGGTCCCGGCCAGCAGAGGAAGCAACGCGGGGACCACGGACCGCCCCGGGTGCGCGGCGTCGGTGGTGCCGGCGGGGGGCGCCAGGTCGCAGGCGGTGTAGGGCTCCAGGCAGGCGGCGAAGGCCATGACGTGCGCTATGAAGGTCTGCTCCTGCACGCCGTGAACCAGGTGCGCCTGCGGGCCGCGCGCGAACACCGCCACGTCCTCGCCTGCGTGGGTCTCTTCGTCCAGGGGCACTGCTGACTGCTGCCGATACTCGGGGCTCCCTGGTTGGAGGGTTCAGTTCCGGTAGGAGGGTTCATTCAGTTCCAGGCAGACAGGAGGTGACCCCTTCCCGCCAGCCCCCCATCCTTGGCACCCTGGTCCCCCTCAGGGGGCCACCCCGCGGCACTCACCGCTCTCGCTCTCGGTAACATCCGGCCGGGCGCCGTCCTTGAGCACATAGCCTGGACCGTTTCCGTATAGGAGGACCGTGTAGGCCTTCCTGTCCCGGGCCTTGCCAGGGGCCAGCCCTGCAGAGAGAGGGGTCCCTGTGGTTGAGCTGAACACAGCTGTGGAGTGTCTCCCACGTGCTAGGCACCGCCACGTTTTGCCTGGTCAGGGGCTTAGTCCTCAGGAGACCCTACAGGGCTGGTGCCAGCATTACTCCCATTTGACAGAGGAGGAGACTGAGGCTCAGATTTCACCCACTTAATTGCTGCAGCAGCACCTGCCACTCTCCCCAGGCCTACCGAAGATGGAGCTCCCTCGCAGGGGGTAGCCTCCGAAGGAGAAGACGTGGGAGTGGTCGGCAGTGACGAGGCTCAGCGTGTCCTCCTCGCTGGTGAGCTGGCCCGCCCTCTCAATGGCGTCGTCGAACATGATCGTCTCAGTCAGTGCCCGGTAAGCCCTGCTTTCATGATGACCATGGTCGATGCGACCACCTGCAGGAAGGCCAGAGGGGGGAGATGCTGAGCCTGCCCTGCTCCAACCCCCAACCCCCACTCCCCAGGGGCCACCACGCACCCTCCACGAAGAGGAAGAAGCCGCGGGGGTTCCTGCTCAGCAGGCGCAGGGCAGCCTCTGTCATCTCCATCAGGGAGGGGTCCAGTGTGGAGTCTCGGTGGATCTCGTATTTCATGTCTCCAGGCTCAAAGAGACCTGTGGGACAAGGGGTCCTGTGGTGACTGGCAGGCTGGGGGTGGGCGGGTGCTGGCGGATGTGCACACAGGCTCAGAAGGTGCCATCTGAGGCCATCTGAGGGATGCCAGGGCAGGAAGGGGGTCATTACCCATGAGATGGGTCACAGACGGGTCCAGGGAAGCCTGCATGAGCTCAGTGCGGTTCCACACATACCGGGCACCCTGTGGGGAGGGAGAGAGCCAGGCCTCAGCCCACAGCCCTGAGCCCCACACCTCTGCCCTCCCCCTGCTGTGCCCCCTGCACCCGCCAGCCCCCATCACCTGGCGCTTCGCCAGCCATTCCTGCACCAGATTCTTCCCGTCCAGCCTGGTCCCACCTTGGCTGTAGTCATCTGGGTACTCAGGGTCTGGGGTTCCCATGCGAAACATGTACTTTCGGCCTCCACCTAGGATCACCTGGGAACAGAGGATGGGGCAGGTGGATTTGGGGCCCTGGCTGGCCCCGTGCCCCCTCCTCATGCACAGCCCCTGACTCCCCTCCCCAAGGCTGTGGGAATGGCCCAGCCTGGGCTGCACCTTCTACGCCCACAACCCCACCTCCAGACCCTGCTGGCCCAGATAAGGCTTTTGGTTGCCTGGGTCTGAGCTAGTGCCCCCTCCCTGCTACTCTCTGCCCAGCCCCAGCCCTTGGCCTGGGGGTCGCACGTCAATGTCCATGTTGGAGATGAGCTGCGTAGCGATGTCCTGGCACCCCTCCTGGCGGGCGGAGGCAGGCACGTCGGCGTCCGAGTACCAGTTGCGGTTCACCGTGTGGGCGTAGGTGCCGGCTGGCGAGGCGTGCTGCACTCGTGTGGTGGTTACCACTCCCACTGACTTCCCTAAGGGTGTCAGAGGTCAGTATATGTGACCAACGTCTGTGACCTGGCCGTGACCCAGCAGCGGGCCCCAGCTCACCTGCTTTCTTGGCCCGATTCATCACGGAGATGACCTCGTTGCCGCGTGTCGTGTTGCACTGGTTAAAGCGGGCGGCTGCACTCAAGCCAATGGTCTGGAAGTTGCCCTTGACCCCGCACAGGTAGGCCGTGGCTGTGGCTCCACTGTCTGGCACATGTTTGTCTACATTGTATGTCTGGGGACAGAGACACTCTGAGCTCTTCTCTGGGGCAGACACGGAGACCCAGACCCTGATCTCTGTCCTCTGGGATTCCAACTGCCTCTAACTCCTTACTGGAGCCCCAGCTGTTTAGGGTCCCTCCCTCCTACCACACTCCATAGCCAGGATTCCCCTTCTGTGCTTGGAGGACTCTAAGGTAGCCCAGCACTTACCTTGGACAGAGCCACATATGGGAAGCGGTCCATGGCCAGGGGTATCTCAGGCCCCAGTTTGTCCTTCTTCTGCCCTTTTAGGATCCTGGCAGCTGTCACCGTAGACACCCCCATCCCTGAAGGAACAGAAATGTGTGAGGCTTGGGCCCCAGGGCTCTCCTGGAACCACTGAGGGTCCGGGCGCCGGGGCTGTGAGGGCTGCAGGGCTGGAAGGCCTGGCTCACTCACCATCGCCCAGGAAGATGATGAGGTTCTTGGCGGCTGTCTGTGCAGGCTGCAGCTTCTTGGCGGCACCCAGGGCCTCGGCTGCCTCGCGGTTCCAGAAGTCCGGGTTCTCCTCCTCAACTGGCCAGGGGGAGAGCAAAAATCAGGTCAGCCTGGGCTGGGGGGTGCCCTGTGTGTGTGTTGTGTAGGGGCAGCTCGGGGAGCCTCATTACCTGGGATGATGCCCAGGGAGAGCTGTAGCCTCAGGCCCAGCAGCAGCAGCAGCAGCAGCATGCAGGGCCCCAGCATGTCTGGAGGGCAGCAGGACAGTGGCGAGGCAGGAATTCTGGGCATGGAGTATGAGCTGCACTCCAGGCTGCCCGGGTTTAAATCAGGGAGAACTGTGTCCCGGCTTCTCCCCTCGTTGCCACCTTGACCCTGCCCAGCCTCTTGACCTGAAGCCACACTGGCTGAAGGGAGTGGCAGGGTGTGGCTGGGCTGGGCCGGGCTGGGGCTGGGGTCCTGAGAAAGGCAGCTCAGGTTGGGACCAGGTGTCCCCCAGGGAAGGGTGCGGTATTGAGTACAGATGCCATTTGGGTGAGTGTGGTGTGCCTCCCGCAGCCAGGAGCCCCTCCCCCAACCCCTGCTCACTGTGTCTTGTGTGGAACAAGACACCCTGTCACTGGATCATTCACCCATTTTTTTCTATATTTCCCAGAAGCTGGGGCCAGGCTGTGTTCTGGTGTCGAGAGGAGGGGAGGCTGGAAGCACACAGTCTGGGCCAGGGCCTGGGTTCAGCCTCCTGATGCCAGGAGCCTGGGCCCTGTGGGAAAGGGGCACGTGGGGGGCTTTGCTGCCCTGGCACCCCCTTGCTCCATCATCTTACCTTGGCCTGGACAGGTGGGGCTGGCAGGAATCTGGGCCCAGAGCTCTAGGGCTGTGGGCAGCTGTGGGGCCAATGGTGACAGCACTGAGTGGGGCCGGACCAGTCCTGCCCATTGCTCACATGTTGTGTGTGATTGTGTATGTGTTTGTGTGGGTGCACTCACACTAATGTTTGGACGACGCAGGTGGGGAGTCCACCCCAGCCCAACCACAGCAGCCCCTTCTCCACTCATGCTTGCTCGCCCCGAGCCCCAGGCTTGGCCCCCAAAACCCAGGGGACCTCACCTGCTGCTCAGCCTCTGCCTTCCCCGCACCACTCCCCACCACCCCCACGGGCCTCCCCTCAGGCCGAGCTTTCTGGAGTCCTCCTGCCTGCCCCCCGCCTGGCTTCCTGCTGGTCGTCCTGGGGCTCTCAGGGAAGATGTCACCCTCATGGGGACATTCCTTCCTCCTGCTTATTGCCCCCTTAGTTCCTTCTACCTCCTGCTTCATCTTGCTGAGTTAGGAAATTTCTGGGCTAAATTTCAGAGGAGACTCACTAACAGGCAGGCCCTTAATTAATTCATTGATTCACTCTAAAGTCAAGGCCAGTCAGGAGCTTTTGCCGCCACCCCACAATTATTTTTCGAGCTGGAATCTTTTGGTTTTGGAGACAGGGTCCCATTCTGTCAGCCAGGTTGGAGTGTGATGCCTGAGTTACGGCTCCCTGCAGCTTCGGACCTCCCAGGCTCAAGCAATCTTCCCACCTCAGCCTCTCACGTAGCTGGCACCAATGGCATGTGCCACCACACCTGACTCATTTTTTATTTTGTGTAAAGACATGGTTTTGCTATGTTGCCCAGGCTGGTCTCGAACCTCCACCTCAGCCTCCCAAAGTGTCTGGATTTACAGACATGAGCCACTGCGCTCACCTTCCTCTTTTTTTTTTTTTTTTTTTTTTGAGGCAGGGTCTCATTTGTCACCAGGCTGGACTGCGGTGGCATGATCATGGCTCACTGCCTCAGCCTTAGCCTCAGCCTCCCCAGTAGCTGGGCTTATTGGCACCAGCCACCATGCCTGGCTAATTTTTTTTGTTTTGTTTTGTAGAGTCTCACTGTGTTGCCCAGGCTGCTCTCAAACTCCTGGCTTCAAGTGATCCTCCTGCCTCAGCCTCTCAGACCACTGGGATCACAAGTGTGAGCCACTGGGCCCAGCTGGGTCTTGTCGTTTGGCAACAACATTCGTTCCCAGCCCCTGCCATGCTGTCCCCTGAGTGGCAAGGGCTGTTGCCATATTTCCCAGTGAAATGCCCTGGTAAGATCTGGAGGGCAGGAGGCAGGCAGAAGCCATTCATCCGTGGTTGGCAGTAGCTGGTGAGGGGGCGAATTCAGCCCTGCCCGGCCACTTTGGGAGGCCAAGACAGGTGGATCACCTGAGGTCGGGAGTTCAAGACCAGCCTTACCAACATGGATAATCCCCATCTCTACTAAAAAATACAAAATTAGCCAGGCATGGTGGCGCATGCCTGTAAGGTGGGCACTGAGCTGGAACATGGTCTGGACTGCACAGAGCTTGGTATCCCCAAGGGCATCAGGTGGTAGAGGGTGCTAAGGGATCTAGATGGGGCCCTACAGGACCAGCCCTTCCTTCCCAGGAAACAGAAGGACCAAGACGACCAATCCTCTGAGAATACACGCCACAGCCTGGGCCTCCCCTTGCCCCAGGTAACAGCAACCAAGAATCCCAGGAATGGAGGCTTTGGCTCTTCCTCCAGCCGGGGAAGACCTGCTGCTTCTGCTTTGAAATCCCTGGACCTCAGAGGAAGGGCTGTAACCAGACATTATGACAGGCGACTCTGGCATGAAGGTAGGAGGCAGGGTGGCCAAGCATCCCCATGTGGCCAGGGTGTCACCATAGACTTTGAATGTGGACAAATATCCTTTGTTTACTGCAAGTGACATTGGTGTGTGTCTGGTCTCCAGTCTTGCTCAGCACCTGAAAAAATTCACCACATAGTGAGCAACATAGCAAGACCCTGTTTCTATTTTATTTTATTAATTAATTAATTAATTTATTTATTTATTTTTATTTTTTTGAGATGGAGTCCCACTCTGTCCCCCAGGCTGGAGTGCAGTGGCGCAATCTCAGCTCACTGCAACCTCCACCTCCCAGGTTCAAGCGATTCTCCTGCCTCAGCCTCTTGAGTAGCTGGGATTACAGGCGCCCGCCAGCACGCCCAGCTAGTTTTTGTATTTTTATTTTTTTATTTTTGTTTATTTACTTGTTTTAGAGACGGAATCTCGCTCTGTCGCCCAGGTTGGAGTGCACTGGTGAGATCTCTGCTCACTGCTCCGCCTCCCAGGTTCAAGGGATTCTCCCACCTCAGCCTCCCGAGTAGCTGGGATTACAGGCACCTGCTACCACACCTGACTCATTTTGTATTTTTAGCGGAGATGGGGTTTCACCATGTTGGCCAAGCTGGTCTCGAACTCCTGACCTCAGGCTATCCACCTGCCTTGGCCTTCCACAGTGTTGGGATTACAGGCGTAAGCCACTGCGCCTGGCTGATTTTTGTAGTTTTAGCGGAGATGGGTTTTCACAATGTCGGCCAGGCTGGTCTCGAACTCCTGACCTCAAGTGATCTGCCCACCTCGGCCTCCCAAAGCGCTGGGATTACAGGCGTGAGTAGCTGTACATGCTGGCTCGTATGTCGCAGGTCTCATTAGCTTCTTAAATCTCCACCCGGGGTGCGCTTTTTACTATTATAATGAGCAAAGGGTCAGTTTGAGGATAGGTAAAATCAAAATGCGCATGCTCTCTAGAAAGAAAAGTCCCCACTGAAGATAGCTTTGCTTGAATGAGCTCAATTACAATTCGAATGCTGAGGCTTATTGTGTTGACTGTGCGGTCACCACGCTTGCTGCATCCCAAGAACACGGTCACTTCCTTGATTACCTATCCTGTTTCAGTACCGCCCTTTGGAAATACGTGCATGTCACATTTTGAAAAATACTGGCTGAGATGAAAATGGAAAACGCAGCTGGAACAGTTGCATCTAATCTGGATCAAATGGCAAGCTTGTTCCTTCCTTTTCTTTCTTTCCTTTTGAGATATGTCAAACATTAAAACTGCAGAAAACAGAAAGATATGGCCTAAAGAAGAGTTACAGAATTGAACGCCAAAGTAATACCACTCAGATCAAGAAATTGACTACAGCCAGGATCTCCCCATATGTACCCTGCCCCCCATTCAAACCCCACTTCTTCCTTCCCCACCAAAGGGAACCATTGACTTTGTTTTTTGAGACAGAGTCTTGCTCCGTAGCCCAGGATGGAGTGCAGTGGGGCAATCACGGCTCACTGCAGCCTTAACCTCCTGGGCCCAAGAGATTCTTCCACCTCAGCCTCCCGAGTAGTGGGGACTACAGGTGTGTGCCACCTTGCCCATTTAATTTTTGCATTTTTGGTAGAGATGGGGTTTCACCATGTTGCCCAGGCTGGTCTGGAAGTCCTGGGCTTAAGCCTCTCCTCCCAAAGTGCTGTGATTACAGGTGTGAGCCTCCACCCCCAGCACGGCCTAAATTTTTTGACACTCCTTTTCTTTTAATAGCTTTTGGCCAGAACATGCTTACTAGCAACACCTCTTCCCAACCCCTCATGAATAATCATGTAAGATTTCCATAAAGGGAGCCTCCCTAGTGCCAACTTTTGCTGTCTCATCTTTATGAGCAGCCTGCCCTGAATTCTTCTCTCTGCCTATTCTGCACTTCACTTTCAAGATGTTCTTTTTCTTTTGCAAAAATTATTGTATGCTGCATCTCCTTTGCTGTTGTGTCTCTTGTTTAAATTATTTTAAGCTAAGAAGACAAGAACCAAAGTCTCACATCAGCTGCCAACAGTACTCCAGATTATTTCAGGTGGTGTGGGTGTCAAGGCAATTCCATCTTGGGGCCTGATCTACCAGGTTGATGAATGCCAGTTCTCGGAGGGCCTCTGAGATTTCCCATTCATGTCGTGTTTCTAGTGCGGGAGCACCTACTTCCCATAAATCCTGCCCTTAGGACAAAACAACTTTGATGTTATCATATTTCAATTGTCCTACACATCCCTTTGAGGTCACCCCTCCCCTGTGGCCCTTGGTCTTGGGGGGTAAAGCTACCATCTTGTCTCACTGCCACCTGAGACCCAGACATAGCTTCTGTTTGTAAGTCTCTATTAAATGTTTTTTTCTAAGAAACTGGATATGTCAGCAATTCTCCTGCCTCAGCCTCCTGCAGTGGCTCACGTCTTTATAGGAGGCCGAGGTGGGTTGATTGCTGGAACCCAGGACTTTGAGACCAGCCTGGACAACATGGCAAGACACTGTCTCTACCAAAAAATGTAAAAATTAGCTGGGCATGGTGGCATATGCCTGTAGTCCCAGCTACTTGGGAGGCTGAGGTGGGAGGATTGCTTGAACCCAGGAGGTCGAGGCTGCAGTAAGCTGAGGTTGTGTCACTCTACTCCAGCCTGGGCAGCAGAGTGAGACCCTGCCAAAACAAAACAAAACAACAACCAAAAAACCCCACATACTCCTGAAAAGCAGTCTAGGCCACCAGGAGGCTTGCTGTCTTGTCATTTCAACATACATGTCCACTTCAGTTGATGCATTACTGTGGGAACAGCAAGACGAGCTGGCGATTCCACACACTCCCCTTGTTCAGCAAGCAAACAGTGCACAGCTATGCGGTTATCTAAAACTACTCCAGGCTGGGCATGGTGGCTCACGCCTGTAATCCCAGCACTTTGGGAGGCTGAGGTGGGCGGATCACTTGAGGCCAGGAGTCCCAGACCAGCCTCGCCAATATAGTGAAACCCCATCTCTACTAAAAATACAAAAATTAGCAGGGTATTTATGGTGGTACACGCCTGTAATCCCAGCTACATGGGAGGCTGAGGCAGCAGAATCGCTCGAACCCGGGAGGCAGAGGTGGCAGTGAGCCGAGATTGCACCACTGTACTCCAGCCTGGGTGACTAAGCGAGACTCTGTCTCGATAATAATAATAATAATAATAATAATAATAATAATAAAACTACTCCAGCTAAGGAGTCTAGGGACTTGCTGGGCAGCCATAGCAGCCGCCATTTAGCTTGCTTTGATCCATAGGGCAGCCCTCAGGAGCACAGGTCTGTGTCTTGGGTAGCAGTAGTCACTAAGGCTGTCCTTTCTAACTAGGAATCAGTTAGGTTATTACTACATCCAGGCAAAGTCACACCTGCCCGAAAGACTTCCTGACTCATTAAGGCCTGCCCATCAGATGGAGTGCTCTCTGGCTCACCATCAAGGGAAAAGAGGAGCTCGCCTTCTTTTAGCAAGGGTAAGGGAATAGCCCAACTGGGATGCCCAATAGAAACGGGGGCTTCGTGGTCCCTAAAAGGGTCCACGTAAGGAGTACTCAGTCCAGTCCACAATTCTTTTAGGGGTCTTTGGATGTTCAGATAGGGACATGCAAAAAGCTGTGAACTGTTGGGTTAACGGGTCGCTGTGATCCAGGACAGATTGGCTTCGGTGACACATCCAACAGTGGATGAGTTGGCGGATGAAGCAAGAGCTTGTGAAATACTAAGCAGTGAGCTGTCCTTCCATCCAGAGGCAAGAAGGCGCTGGAGAACAGTAACAGCCAGAAAAGCGTATGTTCCCTTTATGATTTCTTAGGGTCTTTGGCTGGGCTTTGAACTCTACCAGTTTCCCCTGGAGGAACTCCAGAAACACTGGCTTTATCTGAGTGTAGTAAATCCGCAGCACCCACAGATGAGTGGGTGCTCAGCAGCACCTCAACAGGGCCGACCACGGTGGTTGCACTGATCTTCAGCCTACTGGAATTTCCAGGTCTTCAACAGAACTTGGTCCCCTGGTTTCAAATTTTAATTTAATTTTTTTTAATTTGAGATAAGCGTCTCGATCTGTCACCCAGGCTGGAATCCAGTGGCTCAATGTTGGCTCACCGCAACCTCCACCTGAGGTTCAAGTGATTGTCCTGCCTCAGCCTCCCGAGTAGCTGGGATTACAGGTGCCCACCACCACACCTGGATACTTTCAGTATTTTTAGCAGAGACGGGATTTCACCATGTTGACCAGGCTGGTCTCGAACTCCTGATCTCAAATGATCCGCCCACATCAGCCTCCCAAAGTGCTGAGATTACAGGCATGAGCCACCAAGCTTGGCCAAGTTTTCAAAATTTTTAAAGGAAGGCCAGACACAGTGGCTCATGCCTATAATCCTATCACTTTGGAAGGACAAGGCTGAAGGATCCCTTGAGCCCATTAGCTTGAGACCAGCCTGGACAACATGGCAAAACCTTGTCTCCAAAAAATTACAATTAGCTGGGTGTGGTGGTTGTGCATGCACCTGTAGTCCCAGCTGCCAGGGAGGCTGAGGCAGGAAGTCCACTTGAGTCGGCTTGGTCGAGGCTGCAGTGAGCTATGATCACATCATTGCACTCTAGCCTGAGCAACAGAGAAAGGGTGTGTGTGTGTGTGTGTGTGTGTGTGTGTGTGTGTGTGTGTGTGTGTGTTTGAGAAGGAGTTTCGCTCTTTTGCCCAGGCTGGAGTGAAGCAGTGCCATCTAGGCTCACTCCAACCTCTGCCCCCCACTCCTCCCCCCGCCCAGGTTCAAGAGATTCTTCTGCCTCAGCCTCCCAAGTAGCTGGGATTATAGGCACCTGCCACCATGCCCAGGTAATTTTTGTATTGTTAGTAGAGACAGGGTTTCACCAGGTTGGCCAGGCTGGTCTCAAACTCCTGACCTCAGGTGATCCACCCACCTCGGCCTCCCAAAGTGCAGGGATTACAGGTGTGACCCACTGCGCCTGGCCTTTATATTTGGTAACATAAGGTATCAAAGAGTTATTAAATACACCATCACTCCCATTTGGTACAGGGCCTATATATAATTATCTATACCTACAGAAAACAACATACATACACAGTAAGGAACAGCCAAGTTATATCTTGAGACCTAAAACAGATGCCATTTCTAATTCAGAACTAAGAAAAAAAACTGTATGTTAAAGAACAAGTGACTTTTTCCCTTGTAAAAGATGTCACTTGATTTTCAATAAATGCTTTCATACAATGGAGAAAACAAAATGTATTATCCTCTCACAAAATTTTTACATGTCAATCCTAGTCTAAACTGTATTTGAACAATTACAAATTTTTTTTTTTTTTTTTAGACATAGAGTCTCACTCTGTTGCCCATGCTAGAGTGCAGTGGCCCAATCTCAATTTACTGCAAGCTCCGCTTCCCGAGTTCAAGTGATTCTCCTGCCTCAGCCTCCCGAGTAGCTGGGACCACAGGCACCCACCACCACACTCGGCTAATTTTTATTATTTTTAGTAGAGATGGAGTTTCACCATGCTGGTCAGGCTGGTCTCAAACTCCTGACCTCAAGTGATCCACCCGCCTCGGTCCCCCAAAGTGTTGGGATTACAGGTGTGACCCACTGCTCCCAGCCACAAATATTTTAATAAATTCCAAAATCTTATTTTTAACCATTACTGCTCTGTAGCAATAGTTGATGTCCCAACCTGAGCCAAAGGCAGTGTCGATCTTGAGCCAAAGACATGTGAGCATCTTTCTACTGTCAACAGATGCAGTTCATCCGAGAAATGCACAAGCCAAGAACGTGCCCCACATCAACAGCACCCACTGCCACAGCGTGGAGGGGAGGGGAAGGGGCTGGGATGTCTCCTGTTTGGGGCTCTCACAGTCAGGCTGCCTGGGCTGGGGCAGCACCCCACAGCCTTCTCCACCCCAACACCAAACCCCCAGACGCTCGCCTGTCTGTCCCTGCAGATACTTGGCTCCAGGAGAAGGTTCTGGGGACAGGAACAGATGGGGTGACCGTGGCCTCTGGGACATCTCGGGGGTGGCAGGACACACAGACTGAAGGCCGCCTGAGGTGGCTGAGCCCTGGAGGAGGGAAAGGCTCCCAGGGCAGGTGCGGGATGTCTTTGGTCGCCTCCCACAGCCAGCCCCGTCTGACGGTGGCAGAACAAAGGCAGCAGTACCCAGTCACTGTCGCTGCGAGGCACTCTGACAAGGGACCCTATTGAGTGTTTCTTTGAAGAAAATTCACTGTAACCAGATCAAATGAGCTTGTTAATCCGGACACCCCAGGAAATGGTGCAGGGGAACAGAGGCCGTGCTCACCATGGCTTTCATCCTAGTTTCTGGCAGCCCTCGGGGACTCCAAGCCACAGAGCTTCCCCCACGGAGGGGGAAGGAGTGCAGACTGGGGTCAGGCTGGCTGGGGAAGGGACTGCCCAGTGGCCGGCCAGCTCTGCTCGGGACCGAGGCAGGTGGGATCTGTGGGTGCTTGGGACACTGGGTGGTCAACGGGGCCAGGCTGTGTCACCAGCAGCCGGTTTCCCCTCCTGGTTTGGAAGGCACTGGAGGGCCCTCCTCCCCTCCCCCAGGCCCAGGCCGGCTCCTCTGTCCAGGCTCCCTTGGCGCTGCCAGGGTACCCACTCACACCAGAGCTGGGCACAGGACCTCACAGAGTGCTGCTTGAGGAACTGCGAGGAGTGGGTGTCACAGGACCCCTGACCCCTACCAGGTCCTGCGGAGCTGGTGCAGAGAGGAAGTGGGGGCAGGGTTGGACATAGTCACATGTGTCAGGGTGATGGGGGCGCTCTCAGTGCTGCATACTAATTCCATTTTTAATCAGGCAGAATGAGACTCCAGCATCAATCTGCCAGGCAGCCAGCTCTGAATTGTGCTGGAACTGACAGGAAGGTTCTGGGTGGTGACATCGGCTCAGCAGCAAGGGTTGGAGCCTAAGCTGGGTCCTTTGCGCTGGGTGCAAGGGGGCATTCCGCTGCCCAGGCTTCCCAGAGGCGCCCCACACACCAGATGGCACTCCACACTTGACTTTGCTCCCTGACATGGATTTACTGAAAAGCCCTCATTTCTTGGGCAGAGGAGGGCAGTGGGGGAAAGGGGGGTTGGCCACTCAGGGGGATGCTGGGCCATTGCTGGCCAGGCCTCAGCCTTCCTTCTAGCCCCACCGTCTTCCTTGCAGTTTGCTTAAAAACTGAGAGGCAAACATAAAATAAAATCCAAAAATAAAAATAAAAACAGGCCAGGCACAGTGGCTCACATCTATAATCCCAGCACTTTGAGAGGCCAAAGCAAGAAGATTGCTTGAGATGAGGAATTTGAGACCAGCCTGGGCAACAAAGCGAAATCCCATTTTTCCAAAGCAAAAACCCAAAAACAGCTGGGCATGGTGGCACAGGCCTGCAGCCCCAGCTACTCGGGAGGCTGAGGCAGGAGGACTATATGAGGTCAGGAGTTTGAAGCTACTTGAGCTGCGATGGTGCCACCATACCCTGAGCCTGAGTGACAGAGCGAGACCCTGTTTCTAAAAAAAAATTAAATTTAAATTTAAAAACTTAAAACATTAAATTTAAGTTAGAAAAATTTAAACATTTTAAAAACAGAATTAAAAATTCCCCTTGGTATCAACAGTTCCTATTTCTAAAAGCCAGCAGGGCCAGATAGCCTCAGTCCTCCTCCCCCGCGGGGCCCAGGTGGCCCTGGGTGCCTGGCCGCTTCAGGACAGCGCTATACTAGAGGGCCATGGCTGCCCGCAGGACCCCCTCCAGCAGGCTGAAGACGGTGATGACCTGTACAGAGCCCGGCTGGGAGGAGACAAGGACGGCAGGGCCTGATGTTGAGGCGCAGCTCCGTCTTGGTCCCTGCAGGAGGACCCCAGGCCCCTCCCTCAGCCTCTGGAAGCCTCTGCTCGCCAGTCAGTAACGGAGGCCTGCTCCAGGATGAACGCCCTGGGTCAGGGCAGAGCTGAGCGAGTCAGAGGCCACGTGTCCCTGATGCATCCTGAGAGCTCCCAAGACTTACAAAATGCAACCTGGGGGCCTGGCTCCACCTTTGGGGCATGTTGTTGGTGCAAACGGTGCCAGAGAATTTCTTGGGTGTAAACTCATAGCTTTCATCAAGTTCTCAAAAGGACCCCAGAAGGCCAGCACCCCTGCAATAGAGGGACAGGCAGAGAGCCCCGCCTCTCTCCACTGTGGTTGTCCCCAAGAGAGGGAAGGTGGTGCCAGAGAGCAGAGCTACAGGAAGGGGGTGGGGGTCTGAGTGAGCTGGGAGGCCCTGGGGGTCCTGAAACCCCACCCGGGAGGCTGCAGTGCTGGGGGAGCCCACCAGGGCACATAGATGAGGGCAGAGGGCACCGCAGGAGGAAGGGGAGGGCTCGCCGGGACTTAGGGGAACGGGACACAGAGGGGGCCACCTGCCCTTCCACCCTGGAGGGCTTCACTGCTTGGAGGCGGCCCTTGGCCCTCAGCCCTGGCCCACCCCTGTCTGGCTGGAGGGAGCTTCAGGGAGGCCCTACCGGCTACCTTCGGCTGAGGCAGCAGGTGAGAGTGACCAAGGGCCAGGGGCGGGAGCTGGGAGGGCCTGTGGCTGTGTGTGCTACAGGGAGCAGGCGGTGGGGGGTCCAGGGCTGACTGCACTGAAGTGGGGACAGAGAACTGTGGCAGTGGAGCACTGCGCTCCCTGCTGGTGCCATCTGTCAGTACAGGTGGGGCTGGACCCACTGCAGGGTGAGCTAGGCTTGAACTTCAGGACACACAGCCCCGAGGGTCAACGGGTGGACTCTGTCGTTCCTCTTCTGCTCAGCTCCCGGTTTACTACACACAACGGGCTGGACACTGTACTCCCAGGGCACTCTGGATGTTAGGAAATTCAAAGCCAGGCACAGGGGCAGGTGGTGACCTGCAGACCCCAGGGTCAGCTGGAGCCAAGCCCCTAAGGCAGCATTAGGACAGGCCCATGTCCCCTTGGAGAGAGAACTGTGAATCAACAGTCACTCAGGGAAGGAGACGAGCCAGGGACAGTTCTCTTCCTACTGCTCAGCGGACACTCCATCCAGAGTGGCCAAGGACCATTCTCTGGCTTCTTCTTTCTTCATGTCCCTTTTAAAACAGTCCCCAAAGCCAAGCAAGCCTGGGGCCGGGACCCTTTCTGCATAAGGGCACCCAAGGGGAGGCCAGGAGGCGGGGAGACCACAGGTGCCCATGCCTCTCTCCAGGAGACAAATCTGGCACCAGAGCAGCTAGATACAGAGTGTCGATCGGTGCATTCACAAACCCTGAGCTAGACACAGGGTGCTGATTGCTGTGTTTACAAACCTTGAGCTAGATACAGAGTGCCGATTGGTGTATTTACAATCCCTGAGCTAGACATAAAGGTTCTCCAAGGCCCCACCAGAGCAGCTAGATACAGAGTGTCGACTGGTGCATTCACAAACCCTGAGCTAGACACAGGGTGCTGATTGCTGTGTTTACAAACCTTGAGCTAGATACAGAGTGCCGATTGGTGTATTCACAATCCCTGAGCTAGACATAAAGATTTTCCACGCCCCCACCAGACTCAGGAGCCCAGCTGGCTTCACTCAGTGGATTCCGCACCGGGGCTGCAGGTGGAGCTGCCTGCCAGTCCCGCCCCGTGCGCCCGCACGCCTCAGCCCTTGGGTGGTTGATGGGACTGGGCGCCATGGAGCAGGGGGTGGCGCTCATCGGGGAGGCTCGGGCCGCACAGGAGCCCATGGAGGGGGTGGGAGGCTCAGGCATGGCGGGCTGCAGGTCCCGAGCCCTGCCCTGCGGGAAGGCAGCTAAGGCCCGGTGAGAAATCGAGCGCAGCGCCGGTGGTCTGGCACTGCTGGGGGACCCAGTACACCCTCTGCAGCCGCTGGCCCGGGTGCTAAGCCCCTCATTGCCCGGGGCCGGCAGGGCCGGCCGCCTGCTCAGAGTGCGGGGCCTGCCAAGCCCACGCCCACCCGGAACTCCAGCTGGCGCGCAAGCTCCGCGCGCAGCCCTGGTTCCCGCTCGCGCCTCTCCCTCCACACCTCCCTGCAAGCTGAGGGAGTTGGCTCCGGCCTTGGCCAGCCCAGAAAGGGGCTCCCACAGTGCAGCGGTGGGCCGAAGGGCTCCTCAAGTGACGCCAAAGTGGGAGACCAAGCAGAGGAGGTGCCAAGAGCAAGCGAGGGGCTGTGAGGACTGCCAGCACGCTGTCACCTCTCACCGGGGCCGAGGAACAGGAGCACCGCAGACCTTCTGGTAACTCTCTGCCATCGGATTCCCGGGCAAGGGCACCTCTGAGCTCCCTGGCAGGCGAGCCAGGAGAATGCAGCCATTCCTGCTGCAGAAATATCTGCATGATTTGTCATCTGCCTTCGGTCAGGCCATCAGCACAGAAATGCTTCAGATGCACACAATCATGCATACTTTTGCCCTCTCGCTCCACAAAGATTACCATGTGCCAGGCACGGACTTTCTCCCCATGGAGTCGGACAATCCTCCTGGGCAGGAGCATCCAGGCTGTTTCCTGGTGCCCCTTCCCCCTCCAGCCCAGCTGTAGGCCTAGGGGAAGAAGGACACCTGGAGCTTCCAGGCCGACCTTAAGCTGCATTTTGCAGTGTGGCCAGCAGGACGCAGCATGGCCCCAGATCGGGCAGCACTGAGGCTGCAGGCTAAGGAGGCCACCAGGCGGGCAGGGTGAAAGAGCAGGGCTGTGTGAGGTGGCCCCTGGTTACTCCTCTGTGCCCATGCCCCACCCTCTATGGGTTTAGGAACTGAATATCTGGGGGCCTCTCAGGGCTGAGCCAGGCTCCTGCTCTCAGTTCCTGCAGGCGCTCTCCACATCCCTTCTCATGGTCTTCAGTAAACACGAGGACAAGGACAGGAGGGAGGGGAAAGGGAGAGGGTGGGGCTGCTGCGGAAGCCCCTGCCAAGACCACAGACCTCAGGCAAGCTGCTTCCCTGGCAACTCCGCTGCCTGCCCTCCCTGGACCCCAGCACAGTCCCCGGAGTCACCTCTGCCCTCGACAGAGAACAAGTGCACTCTTGGTGACCTTGAACGTGAAGCCTGGTGAGGCTTTGGAGGAGAGGCCCACCTTGCCAGGGCCCTTGGTGTGGCTGAGTCTCTGCTTCCCTTGCCGTCTCAGCCTCTCCCTCCCTCTAGGGGGCTGGGGGTCGGGACAGCGCCTGTGGGGCTCTGGCCCAGCCAGTTGGGCCACATCAAGCAGGGACCCAGACAAAAGTCAAGGGCAGTGAGTAGGGAGCTGGCACCGCAGAGAGTCCACTTCCCAGGCGCAGCCTTGGCCATGATGTTTGAGGACAGCTGCAGGGGCTGTTTGGTGCCCTCATGTCCTTCTGATGCTGCAGGTAGCGATGGGGGCAGAGAGAAGAGGTGGGCTCCGAGCAGGAGTGAGCAAAGGTGGGGCTAGCCCCTGGCTCTGGTGATGGCACCCTGGGGTGACTAGAAGGTGGGTCCCCAGTGGAGTTTGGGGACAGAAAGGTGCAGGCCAAGCCCAGCACTCCATCCCCGGAACGGAGAACTGAGCTGAGCAGTGCGGGGCGGGTGGGCTGGGTAGGTGGGAGTCAGGGCTCTCATTTGGGGCTAGCACAGGGACCCCTCGTACAGTCTCATACTCTCCTCACAGGATCCAATGTACCTGCCAAATTGATAAGAAATTCACCCCAACCCTTCCTTTCCCAGGACAGTCAGACTGGCTTTGGAAATGATTAAAAGTTGATCTGGGCCTGGGCAGAAGGGCATGGCTGTTAGCCAAAGCTGAACTGCATTCATCTTCAAAGACTTAAGAGAAGCAGCCCCTTCTACCCTCAGCCACCAGGACCATTCTGTCACATTCTGTGGGAGGCTCCTGCTAATGGAATGAGGCCACTCACAGAGCTTGGTCAATTAGCTCTTGCTGAAAACTGCTAACGTGGAACTTTGGTAAGTATGGCATGCAGGGAGTGGTGTATCATCCCATCATCCCAGCACTTTGGGAGTTCAAGGCGGGAGGATTGCTTAAGCCCAGGAGCTTGAGACCAGCATTGGCAACAAAGTGAGATCCCATCTCTACAAAAAAAAAAAAAAAAAAAAAAAAGTCAGCCTGGTGTGGTGGAATGTGCCTGTTGTCCCAGCTACTTAGGAGGCTGAGGCAGGAGGGATCCCTTGAGCCCAGGAGGTTGAGGCTGCAGTGACCCATGATCGCATGACTGCACTCCAGCCTGAACAACCGAGTGAGACCCTGTCTTGAAACAAAATCAAAAGAATTGCTCCCAGCCAGTTTCACTTTCATTTCTTCTGAACACCAAATTTTCAAGGACTTAGGCAGGTCCTTACTGCAGGCTTGGAGCCTGTGGGCTCTCCTGAGGCCATGAAGGCAGCTGCTGGGCCTGTCTCAGAAGCAGAGTGCCCGAGCACAGCCACTTCTCCGTGGCTGGGCAGCCCTCAGAGCGCAGGTGGCGGCCACCTTTACGCGGGACCTGCCGTGTTCTTAGTGGCCGGAAATTGAGTGTAGTGTGGTAGAAACCGCAGGGCCCCGGGAGGCAGGGGTCTGCAGGGCACTGAATTGCAGGCTGCTGGGGAGGGAAAGTGGAAAAGATCTTGGTGGCTGCTCTGTCCCGGGCCAGGCCAGGTGGGGCTGGGGGCCTGGGAGCTGGAAAGTGGAGGCCTGGAGTGAGGCAGCTGCAGGCAGAGCCCCTGGCCTGGGTCAGGGAGGGGCACCGGGAGGAAGTGTAGCTGCTTGACTGATGGACCCTCGCCCACAGCTGGCCATGCACCCTGCTGCCAGTCTCCAGCAGAGGGTGCCGTGGCCTCTGGGTGGCCCACCAGTCACAGCTCGGGCCTCTCGCTGACCCCTCTCCTCCTGGGTGCACTGCAACCTCCTGAATGCATTGGACGTTCCCATGAAACCACAGAGAAATGAATGGGGCCCAGTTCACAGGCATGGAAAAGCCCAGAGGAGAAGGCCTCTGGAGCCAAACATCACATGCCTGCAGGGGAGGCCAGAGCCAGGTTTCCTAGGCTGGGAGGCTCAGTCCACGGCAGGGCCTTTCTATAGGTGAGTCGGCGGGGCCCTGCTGCAGCCAGGCACATTCAGCTACTGTTTTTCTAGCTCCAAAGGACGGAAGTCCCCAGAGGCTAGGTGGCCACATTTGGGCCCTCAGGCCTTGCCAAAGGGAGGCCCAGTGGCTATAGTGGTTTTGGGGAGGGGGCTTGCTGGGAGCTGGGGCTGGGCTCTAGGCACTCAGGTGTTCAAGGGATAAGGGTGTTCTGGAAAGGTGTTCTGGTGCAGGTCTTTTTCCTCTCTTCTGCCCGCATACACGCTCTCAAATACCAATGCTGCCAGAGATGGCTAGGTAAATGAGATGAACCTGGGCTTCCTGGGACCTCTGGCAGCTTTGCTGCTGCAAATTGGAACACATTTGTTCACCTTTGAAAGGTGCTCTTGCCCCCATGCCTGCTAGGGGCAGGTTCTCTTCAGCAGGGCCACCACCCCAGCCAGGTAGCCCCTAAAGGCTGCAAGAAAATGAGAGCACAGCTGCCATCCTGGGCTGGGCTCTGTGCACTTTCCCATGTACTCCTCAAACCTCTGGTAAGGCTGCCACCTCCCAGCTGCATCCGGCTCTGGCCCCTCTCTTGTCTCAGAGTCGCCCTGGGCTGAGCACAGTGCTGAGCATGTTTGCTTTTCCTGCCCTCAGTCTTCCCATCGCCCGCAGAAGGTGCCAGGTGCTGCCTTTGTTGTTAATGCTCCTCCCACCACCCCATGGAGACTTGATGGGCCCCAGATGTGCTGGGTCAGGATGTTACCACACAGCAGGTGGATCCTGTCTCTCCATGAGTGTATTCGTCCATTCTGCAGTGCTATGAAGAAACACCTGAAACTGGGTAATTTATAAGAAAAGAGGTTTAATTGGCTAACAGTTCCACAGGCTGTACAGGAAGCATGGCTAGGGAGGCCTCAGGAAACTTTCAATCATGGCAGAAGGCAAAGGGGAAGCTGGCACGTCTTCCATGGCCAGAGAGTGAGGAAGAGAGAGAGGAGGGGGAGGGGCTGCACACATTTAAATGACCAGATCTTGTGAGATCTCACTCGCTATCACGAGAACAGCAAGGGGAAAGTCCTACCCCATGATCCAGTCACCTCCCACCAGGGAGCTCCTCCAATGCTGAGGATTACAATTCAACATGAGATTTGGGTGGGGACACAAATCTAAACTATATTGTCACTGGTGGAGGGTTGTGACTGCAGGTTGTCCAGGTTCTTGGCCTATTGAACAAAGAATTGGACAAAATGCCCAGCAAGGCAAAGAAAGAATGAAGCAACAAAAGAATGAAAATGGGGATTTATCGAAAACGAAAGTACACTCCATGGTTTGGGAGTGGACCGAGCAGCAGCTCAAGGGCCCAGATACGGAATCTTCTTGGGTCCAAATATCCTCTAGAAGTTTCCCATTGGCCACATCATGCTCACCTCATGTAAATGAAGTGGTGGCCTGCAATCAGTCTGATTGGTTACAGAAAGCAGCCAACCAGAGGCTGAAGTGAAGTTACAAAGGTTACACTCCTGTTCAACCAATCAGAGACTAGGGTGAAGTTACAAAGTTATACTTCTATTGAAACGAAGATGTGGCCAGCAATCAGTCTGATTGGTTGTGGACAGCAGCCATTCAGAGGCTGGAGTGAAGTTACAAAGTGGCAAACAAAGACTGGACCTTCAATCAATCTGATTGGTTGTGGACAGCCAATTTCCCATCTGCCTAGCAGAAAAGGTGAGGGGGTTGCAAAGGGAGTAGCCTGTGGTCCTTTTGTTACTTAGGCATGGAAAGGTAGGGTTCTGCCTTCAATTTAGTTCTAGGAAGTCGGTGTGAAACAGGCTTAGGTTCCCTGTGTCCAGACCCTATTCTCCTGCCTCAATATTGGTATCACCCAATGATCACCCAGTGACCATAACCAAGGAGGATTTAGCAATGGGATTTTGTTACTTGTAACAGGGAACCAGCAGGGACAGTTCCCAAGGCAGTGTGTCTCTGAGCTGGGCACTGGGTCAAATTTTAGAAGCATAGGCTAACGAGGTGTGATGTTACTGGAAACTGCCATGGGGGTGACACCAGAGCTCCAACTGCTTTTTTTTTTTTTAATTTATTATTATTATACTTTAAGTTTTAGGGTACATGTGCACAATGTGCAGGTTAGTTACATATGTATACATGTGCCATGCTGGTGCGCTGCACCCACTAACTCGTCATCTAGCATTAGGTATATCTCCCAGTGCTATCCCTCTCCCCTCCCCCCACCCCACAACAGTCCCCAGAGTGTGATGTTCCCCTTCCTGTGTCCATGTGTTCTCATTATTCAATTCCCACCTATGAGTGAGAATATGCGGTGTTTGGTTTTTTGTTCTTGCAATAGTTTACTGAGAATGATGATTTCCAACTTCATCCATGTCCCTACAAAGGACGTGAACTCATCATTTTTTATGGCTGCATAGTATTCCATGGTGTATATGTGCCACATTTTCTTAATCCAGTCTATCATTGTTGGACATTTGGGTTGGTTCCAAGTCTTTGCTGTTGTGAATAATGCTGCAATAAACATACGTGTGCATGTGTCTTTATAGCAGCATGATTTATAGTCCTTTGGGTATATACCCAGTAATGGGATGGCTGGGTCAAATGGTATTTCTAGTTCTAGATCCCTGAGGAATCGCCACACTGACTTCCACAATGGTTGAACTAGTTTACAGTCCCACCAACAGTGTAAAAGTGTTCCTATTTCTCCACATCCTCTCCAGCACCTGTTGTTTCCTGACTTTTTAATGATTGCCATTCTAACTGGTGTGAGATGGTATCTCATTGTGGTTTTGATTTGCATTTCTCTGATGGCCAGTGATGGTGAGCATTTTTTCATGTGTTTTTTGGCTGCATAAATGTCTTCTTTTGAGAAGTGTCTGTTCATGTCGCCCACTTTTTGATGGGGTTGTTTGTTTTTTTTCTTGTAAATTTGTTTGAGTTCATTGTAGATTCTGGATATTAGCCCTTTGTCAGATGAGTAGGTTGCGAAAATTTTCTCCCATTTTGTAGGTTGCTCTGATGGTAGTTTCTTTTGCTGTGCAGAAGCTCTTTAGTTTAATTAGATCCCATTTGTCAATTTTGGCTTTGGTTGCCATTGCTTTTGGTGTTTTAGACATGAAGTCCTTGCCCATGCCTATGCCCTGAATGGTAATGCCTAGGTTTTCTTCTAGGGTTTTTATGGTTTTAGGTCTAACGTTTAAGTCTTTAATCCATCTTGAATTGATTTTTGTATAAGGTGTAAGGAAGGGATCAAGTTTCAGCTTTCTACATATGGCTAGCCAGTTTTCCCAGCACCATTTATTAAATAGGGAATCCTTTCCCCATTGCTTGTTTTTCTCAGGTTTGTCAAAGATCAGATAGTTGTAGGTAAGCGGTGTTATTTCTGAGGGCTCTGTTCTGTTCCATTGATCTATATCTCTGTTTTGGTACCAGTACCATGCTGTTTTGGTTACTGTAGCCTTGTAGTATAGTTTGAAGTCAGGTAGTGTGATGCCTGTAGCTTTGTTCTTTTGGCTTAGGATTGACTTGGCAATGCGGGCTCTTTTTTGGTTCCATATGAACTTTAAAGTAGTTTTTTCCAATTCTGTGAAGAAAGTCATTAGTAGCTTGATTGGGATGGCATTGAATCTGTAAATTACCTTGGGCAGTATGGCCATTTTCACAATATTGATTCTTCCTACCCATGAGCATGGAATGTTCTTCCATTTGTTTGTATCCTCTTTTATTTCCTTGAGCAGTGGTTTGTAGTTCTCCTTGAAGAGGTCCTTCACATCCCTTGTAAGTTGGATCCCTAGGTATTTTATTCTCTTTGAAGCAATTGTGAATGGGAGTTCACTCATGATTTGGCTCTCTGTTTGTCTGTTGTTGGTGTATAAGAATGCTTGTGATTTTTGTACATTGATTTTGTATCCTGAGACTTCGCTGAAGTTGCTTATCAGCTTAAGGAGATTTTGGGCTGAGACAATGGGGTTTTCTAGATATACAATCATGTCGTCTGCAAACAGGGACAATTTGACTTCCTCTTTTCCTAATTGAATACCCTTTATTTCCTTCTCCTGCCTAATTGCCCTGGCCAGAACTTCCAACACTATGTTGAATAGGAGTGGTGAGAGAGGGCATCCCTGTCTTGTGCCAGTTTTCAAAGGGAATGCTTCCAGTTTTTGCCCATTCAGTATGATATTGGCTATGGGTTTGTCATAGATAGCTCTTATTATTTTGAGATACGTCCCATCAATACCTAATTTATTGAGAGTTTTTAGCATGAAGGGTTGTTGAATTTTGTCAAAGGCCTTTTCTGCTTCTATTGAGATAATCATATGGGCTTTGTCTTTGGTTCTGTTTATATGCTGGATTACATTTATTGATTTGCATATATTGAACCAGCCTTGCATCCCAGGAATGAAGCCCACTTGATCATGGTGGATAAGCTTTTTGATGTGCTGCTGGATTCGGTTTGCCAGTATTTTATTGAGGATTTTTGCATCAATGTTCATGAAGGATATTGGTCTAAAATTCTCTTTTTTGGTTGTGTCTCTGCCTGGCTTTGGTATCAGGATGATGCTGGCCTCATAAAATGAGTTAGGGAGGATTCCCTGTTTTTCTATTGATTGGAATAGTTTCAGAAGGAATGGTACCAGTTCCTCCTTGTACCTCTGGTAGAATTCGGCTGTGAATCCATCTGGTCCTGGACTCCTTTTGGTTGGTAAGCTATTGATTATTGCCACAATTTCAGATCCTGTTATTGGTCTATTCAGAGATTCAACTTCTTTCTGGTTTAGTCTTGGGAGAGTGTATGTGTTGAGGAATTTATCCATTTCTTCTAGATTTTCTAGTTTATTTGCATAGTGGTGTTTGTAGTATTCTCTGATGGTAGTCTGTATTTCTGTGGGATCGGTGGTGGTATCCCCTTTATCATTTTTTATTGCATCTATTTGATTCTTCTCTCTTTTTTTCTTTATTAGTCTTGCTAGCGGTCTATCAATTTTGTTGATCCTTTCAAAAAGCCAGCTCCTGGATTCATTAATTTTTTGAAGCGTTTTTTGTGTCTATTTCCTTCAGTTCTGCTCTGATTTTAGTTATTTCTTGCCTTCTGCTAGCTTTTGAATGTGTTTGCTCTTGCTTTTCTAGTTCTTTTAATTGTGATGTTAGGGTGTCAATTTTGGATCTTTCCTGCTTTCTCTTGTGGGCATTTAGTGCTATAAATTTCCCTGTACACACTGCTTTGAATGCATCCCAGAGATTCTGGTATGTTGTGTCTTTGTTCTCGTTGGTTTCAAAGAACATCTTTATTTCTGCCTTCATTTCGTCATGTACCCAGTAGTCATTCAGGAGCAGGTTGTTCAGTTTCCATGTAGTTGAGCGGCTTTGAGTGAGATTCTTAATCCTGAGTTCTAGTTTGATTGCACTGTGGTCTGAGAGATTGTTATAATTTCTGTTCTTTTACATTTGCTGAGGAGAGCTTTACTTCCAAGTATGTGGTCAATTTTGGAATAGGTGTGGTGTGGTGCTGAAAAAAATGTATATTCTGTTGATTTGGGGTGGAGAGTTCTGTAGATGTCTATTAGGTCCGCTTGGTGCAGAGCTGAGTTCAATGCCTGGATATCCTTGTTGACTTTCTGTCTCGTTGATCTGTCTAATGTTGACAGTGGGGTATTAAAGTCTCCCATTATTAATGTGTGGGAGTCTAAGTCTCTTTGTAGGTCACTCAGGACTTGCTTTATGAATCTGGGTGCTCCTGTATTGGGTGCATATATATTTAGGATAATTAGCTCTTCTTGTTGAATTGATCCCTTTACCATTATGTAATGGCCTTCTTTGTCTCTTTTGATCTTTGTTGGTTTAAAGTCTGTTTTATCAGAGACTAGGATTGCAACCCCTGCCTTTTTTTGTTTTCCATTGGCTTGGTAGATCTTCCTCCATCCTTTTATTTTGAGCCTATGTGTGTCTCTGCACGTGAGATGGGTTTCCTGAATACAGCACACTGATGGGTCTTGACACTTTATCCAATTTGCCAGTCTGTGTCTTTTAATTGGAGCATTTAGTCCATTTACATTTAAAGTTAATATTGTTATGTGTGAATTTGATCCTGTCGTTATGATGTTAGCTGGTTATTTTGCTCGTTAGTTCATGCAGTTTCTTCCTAGTCTCGATAGTCTGTACATTTTGGCATGATTTTGCAGCAGCTGGTATCAGTTGTTCCTTTCCATGTTTAGCGCTTCCTTCAGGAGCTCTTTTAGGGCAGGCCTGGTGGTGACAAAATCTCTCAGCATTTGCTTGTCTGTAAAGTATTTTATTTCACCTTCACTTACAAAGCTTAGTTTGGCTGGATATGAAATTCTGGGTTGAAAATTCTTTAAGAATGTTGAATATTGGCCCCCACTCTCTTCTGGCTTATAGAGTTTCTGCCGAGAGATCCGCTGTTAGTCTGATGGGCTTCCCTTTGTGGGTAACCCGACCTTTCTCTCTGGCTGCCCTTAACATTTTTTCCTTCATTTCTACTTTGGCGAATCTGACAATTATGTGTCTTGGAGTTGCTCTTCTCGAGGAGTATCTTTGTGGCGGTCTCTGTATTTCCTGAATCTGAATGTTGGGCTGCCTTGCTAGATTGGGGAAGTTCTCCTGGATGATATCCTGCAGAGTGTTTTCCAACTTGGTTCCATTCTCCCTGTCACTTTCAGAGTGACACCAATCAGATGTAGATTTGGTCTTTTCACATAGTCCCATATTTCTTGGAGGCTTTGCTTGTTTCTTTTTATTCTTTTTTCTCTAAACTTCCCTTCTCGCTTCATTTCATTCACTTCATCTTCCATCGCTGATAGCCTTTCTTCCAGTTGATCGCATCGGCTCCTGAGGCTTCTGCATTCTTCACGTAGTTCTCGAGCCTTGGTTTTCAGCTCCATCAGCTCCTTTAAGCACTTCTCTGTATTGGTTATTCTAGTTATACATTCTTCTAAACTTTTTTCAGAGTTTTCAACTTCTTTGCCTTTGGTTTGAATGTCCTCCCGTAGCTCGGAGTAATTTGATCGTCTGAAGCCTTCTTCTCTCAGCTCCTCAAAGTCATTCTCCGTCCAGCTTTGTTCCGTTGCTGGTGAGGAACTGCGTTCCTTTGGAGGAGGAGAGGTGCTCTGCTTTTTAGAGTTTCCAGTTTTTCTGCTCTGTTTTTTCCCCATCTTTGTGGTTTTGTCTACTTTTGGTCTTTGATGATGGTGATGTACAGATGGGTTTTTGGTGTGGATGTCCTTTCTGTTTGTTAGTTTTCCTTCTAACAGACAGGACCCTCGACTGCAGGTCTGTTGGAGTACCCGGCCATGTGAGGTCAGTGTGCCCCTGCTGGGGGGTGCCTCCCAGTTAGGCTGCTCGGGGGTCAGGGGTCAGGGACCCACTTGAGGAGGCAGTCTGCCCGTTCTCAGATCTCCAGCTGCGTGCTGGGAGAACCACTGCTCTCTTCATAGCTGTCAGACAGGGACACTTAAGTCTGCAGAGGTTACTGCTGTCTTTTTGTTTGTCTGTGCCCTGCCCCCAGAGGTGGAGCCTACAGAGGCAGGCAGGCCTCCTTGAGCTGTGGTGGGCTCCACCCAGTTCGAGCTTCCCGGCTGCTTTGTTTACCTAAGCAAGCCTGGGCAATGGCAGGCGCCCCTCCCCCAGCATTGCTGCCGCCTTGCAGTTTGATCTCAGACTGCTGTGCTAGCAATCCGCGAGACTCTGTGGGCGTAGGACCCTCCGAGCCAGGTGCAGGATATAATCTCCTGGTGCGGCATTTTTTAAGCCCGTCGGAAAAGCGCAGTATTCGGGTGGGAGTGACCCGATTTTCCAGGTGCCGTCTGTCACCCCTTTCTTTGACTAGGAAAGGGAACTCCCTGACCCCTTGCACTTCCCGAGTGAGGCAATGGCTCGCCCTGCTTCGGCTCGCGCACGGTGCACGCACCCACTGACCTGCGCCCACTGTCTGGCACTCCCTAGTGAGATGAACCTGGTACCTCAGATGGAAATGCAGAAATCACCCATCTTCTGCATCACTCACGCTGGGAGCTGTAGACTGGAGCTGTTCCTATTTGGCCATCTTGGCTCCTCCCCCCCATCTGCTTCTTAATTCAGTTCTTGCTCCTTGGTTGGAGCACTTAGGTCCTCCCTATGGTGGCATGCTTTGTTCACCTGGGCATGCTCAAGGTATGCGAACTTTAACCTGGGGGTCCACGGCCGCTGAAAAACAACTCACAACTTTGTTACATAAAAATTAAACCAAGCTGGGCACAGTGGCTCCTGCCTGTAATCCCAGCACTTTGGGAGGCTGAGATGGGTGGATCACTTGAGGTCAAGAGTTCAAGACCAGCCTGACTAACATGGTGAAACCCCATCTCTACTAAAAACAATTTCATTCCTCTAACCAAGGCCTACATCCCTAATCAGCAGGAAGTACTAAAAATACAAAAATTAGCCTTGCGTGGTGGTGTGCACCTGTAGTCACAGCTATTCAGGAGGCTGAGGCATGAGAATCACTTGAGCCTGGGAGGCAGTGCTTGCAGTTAGCCGAGATCGTGCCACTGCACTCCAGCCTGGGTGACAAAATGAGACTCTGTCTCAAAAAAATAAAAAATAAAAACAAAGTTGAACCAGATTATTCTGATGCAGTTACAAATCTCCCCCACCAGCTTTGTTTGTTTTTGTTTGTTTGTTTGTTTGTTTGTTTTGAGGTGGAGTCTTACTCTGTTGTCCAGGCTGGAGGCAGTGGTGCAATCTCAGCTCACTTGAACCCTCCCGGGTTCAGGTGATTCTCCAGCCTCAGTCTCCCGAGTAGCTGGGATCACAGGCGTGCACCACCATGCCCAGCTAATTTTTGTATTTTTAGTGGAGACGGGGTTTCACCATGTCGGCCAGGCTGGACTCGAACTCCTAACCTCATGTGCAATCACTTGAGTCAGAAACCTCAAGGAGTCCCCAAATCAGTCCCTCGCCCAGGCCTGAGTGTGGCCTGGGGTCCTCAGCAGGCTAGTGCCCTGAGGGTCCTTGGCTGTCACACTCCCTGGCCCCTGCAGGCTCTCACTGGCCTGTTCCTGGCCTCAGCCCTGTTCCCTTACCAGCCACAAGGAGGTCGGTGCCTCTTCCCCAGGGGCCCCTTGGGGCCTCCTATTAGGTGACAGGTGCCCAGACCCTTAGGCTCCCTGGGTTTCCACACTGCCCCCTCTGCTCCCCATGTCAAAGCCCACCTTCTCCACTCAGCTCCCCATGGGACTGTACAGGTTTAGTTCAGACCCCGTCCTAGGCATCCTCCAGGTACGGACTCACGGAGCCCCACGGCAGCATCATGCAGTAGGGGCTATAATCACCCCCTTTACAGATGGGCAAAATGAGGCATGGCAAAGTCCCCTGGGGGAGCCACCCTGTGTGTGTGTGTATGTGTGTACACGTGTGTATATGCATGTATGTGTGCATGCACGTGTGAGTGTATATGCACATGTGTGCATGTGTGGGCATCTGCATGTGTGTGTGCATGTGTGTTCAAGTATGTGTCTGCATGTGTTTTTAAAGGAAAAGGGAGAATCACAGGATTGTTTTGTGACGATTATTCTTGTCTACCAGGACACGGGTGGCACCAGTCTGAGGCTGGACAGGCAGTTGCTGGGCAGATGTCTTTGCAAAAGTGTGTATATTTTTTGTGAAGGTTGCCATGGCCTTTGCGCAAGTGGTTGTTTGCAGTCTTTTGTGATAGTTTTCATCAGGTTTTGTGCCCGAGGACTCTCCACTCATGGCCTTTCCTGCCTCTATTTGTCAGAGTTTTTAAGAAAAGTGACTCCATTTGGTTTCTGACAACTTTCACAGGCAAGACTGGCTGGGATCTGCCTTCCTCAGGGAGGAGACGGAGGTTGGGATTCGGAACCTCTCACCTCTGCCCTTTGCACCCTCCTGGGCCTTCTCTCTCCAAGGCAGCTCTGGCCACAGCCTCCACCCCCACTGCCCCCAGCCCCTACCGCCAACACCCACGCTGCGTATCCAGCTGCCTCACTCAGGGCTTGGCTGAGTTTAGCTGGGCACCGCTGTGGCCTATCATTCTCTTGCTTGTGAGTCAAGGGGTCACTTTAGCAATTAGGGGTGGGGGACCCCAAAAGAGTGAGGGAGCCGGAGGGCTGGCTGCTTCCCTTTATGTGAAACTGCAGAAGAGCCAAGGAGCTGGGCCTCGGAGCCCCCAATAAAGGCAGTCTGTGCAGGGTGACCAGGACTGTGTGGTCAGAGGCTAAACCCACGTCACCTCCTATTGGCCGCGATTGCTGTGCTCTGGGTCAACTGTGCATTGGTACCATGGGGGCCGCACTCGCAGGCCCAGGCCTTCTTCTGGCAGGGCTCTCCGTTGCTCTCCCTGGATCAGGAGCTGGGGGAAGGGGGCGAGGCCAACCAGAAGCCCAGACCCCCCGGGGAGAGCTGATCCTGGACAAGGTTTCCCAGGAGGACAAGGAAGCTCCCTGGTGAAGGTGCGCTCCGCGCAGGCGCTGTGCGGGCAGCCCGGGCACTCCATCAGGGCCCCCTTATCCTTTAGGAGGAGTCCTCCCTGGGCGGTGCTCCAGGGCTGTGGGCTGGGGCATGACGGCCCCCAGCTGCGTAGCTCCAGCCCCTTTCCAGCAGGCTGGTGGGCGGCTCCGAGTGGGGACCTGGGATCGGAGGGGACTCCTCCCGGGACTACCCGCTGCCTTCACTTGTCCCGGGACGCAGCTGGACCCCGAGTCACCGACTGCAACCCGCGCACGACCCTCGGGAGCCTGTCTCCGCGGCCGCCAACCCACGTCCGCGCTGCCGCCGCTGTGCCAGGCGGCCCGAGGGTCGCAGAAGGAAGGAGGGGAGCGCGGGGCGGGCGAAGAAGGGTGGAGCCGCCATCGCGTCCCCCTCCTCGGGCCGACGGGCGGGCGGGGGTGAGGCAGAAGAGGCAGAGGGCGCTGAGAGACACAGGCAACGGCGCCGCTCCAGGTCCTGCCTTGGGTGGGCACCTGCCGGCTAGGTGGCCACCACAGCGGCCACCTCCGCCGCCCTTGCGGCCGCTGCGCGGAGCCTCCTGGCTTCATCTACTTCCTCGCGGCTCAGGCTGCGGCTCCCAGGCTTCGCTCTCGGGCTCCACGGACTGAGCGGCGCGGCTCCAGGACTCCGGGCGCACCCGGCCAGCCCGCGCCCCGCGAGGGGGTGAAACTTCACCCAAGTTTGGGTTCTGGGGAGAACCTGTTGAAGCCGGGATTGGCCCGGGGCAGAGACAGAGACGAGGGTCGGGGAGACTGAGCCGGTCTCGGGTTCTCCATCAGGGCCGTCCAGAGGGTGGGCTGTGTATTCGCCACCCTGGGGCGTTGGCGCGCGCCGGTGAGGAAGGGGCGGGTGAGCCGTCGGGCCACCGAGTAGAAGGAGCCAGCGAGCGGGGTTGGAGTGGTCGATCCTGCGGACTTCTGCGAGGACAAAGTTTGGTTCTTTGGCCACTTTGTGGAGCGTCTGTCTGGGTCCAGCGCGGAGAGCTGAAAGTGCTGCATAGACGGGCCCCTGACCGCACCTCCTCACTTCAGCCTCGGCTCCTTCCCTCTCACCCCACCCGGCCTTGGCTGGGGTAGGTCGTGGACAAGAAAGGCGAAGGGAAGAGGGATGGCCTTTCAATGAAGGCCCACTACGTGCCAGGCCCCGTGCCCGGCCCCTCCCGCTTCCCATCAAGGCCCTCCCAACCCAGGGACCGACACATGTGTGCAGGGAGGGGACAGGGGAGAAGACTCCACTGTGCACGCGGGGTTCGTGGCCCCGCCGAGCCCTCCTCGTCCCTGGTTTCCGCGGTGAATGAGGTCCGCAGCTGGGGCCTCTGTACCCAGACCTGCGTCCCTCCTCATGGTGCCCGGGAGCTCCGTCAGGCTGCGGCGCCTCCTGAGCTTGACACTGTTTTTCCCGCAGCTGCGTCCCGGGGCCAAGCGGAGGCCCACGAGGAGGCCGGCGGCCGCGCGCATCCCGTAGCCCAGGTGGCCCAGGGCTGCACCGCGGCGGCCTCGGCGCCTTGGAGTCCCGGTATTCGCTGAGGGCGCACTACCACGAGTTCCAGGAGGTCAAGTACTTGAGGCACTGGGGGCCTGTGCGGGGCCTCTCTGCCCCTCAGGCTTCTCTCGGGAAGCAGCGCCACCGGGGCTGGGCCGGGCTGCAGCTCTGGAACCCGCGCGAGGTGAGCCTGCTGTCGGGGCTGGTATTCGCCGCCGGCCTCTGCGCCATCCTGGGGGCTTTGCTGGCGCTCAGGTACCTGGACCGGTCGCGGCGGGCGGCGGCGCCTGCCCCGAGTGCAAGGCCTTCGCGCGCGCCGCTCGCTTCCTGGCGGCCAACCTGGATGCCAGCATCGACCCGTGCCAGGAGTTTTACTGGTTCTCAGAGGAAGAGGAGGTGCTAGTGCTGGCGACGGACTAAGTGTAGCAGGTGACCCAGCTCATCCACTCCGCACCCCATAGGGACGGCTGCAGATCCGCTAGCCCCTGTCCACCGGCCTCTAGGACCTGTCTGCTGGGTGGGCTTTGAATTCCCACCTCCACCTGTGTCCGGTAGCCACACTGAGGGAGGCAGCTGTTGAGCACTAGAATAGAAATCCAGAGCCCTAGGTTGACATCCTGGCTCTCCCCGCTGCTCTGCATTTTCTGGGATGACCTCCTGCCCCTTCTTTGTGGGGTTGTCTGGGTCCTGGGTCCAGCCACAGGCTGGGGGGCACAGGTGGGGGTGGTGCCCTTGGTGGCCCATATGCACGTCTGTCTGGACATCCACTGGCTTCACCTGGCCCGAGGATCCTGCACAACTACCTAGTGTGGCGCGTGGTGGTGGTTCTGAGTGAGCACCTGTCCCTGCCATTCCATGAGGCACTGCAGGAGTTGGCACGGGAGACAGAGGGAAGCCACAAGCTGCAGGAGCTGGCCGAGGTCTGCCTGGGCCAGGCCAACCACCACTTTGGTATGGCACTTGGTGCCCTCTTTGTACATGAACACTTCTCGACTGCCAAGGTGGGTTACCCTGGTTTAACGTGGGGAGGCTGGTGCTGAACTGAGGGTGGATCCCTCCTGAGGCCATGGTCCTAACAAGGGGAGCCCCACACGTCCCCCTGCAGCCAGTAGCACCAGGCCCTGCTAAAGGCTCAGCCTATTCTGAGGCTCCAGGCTGCTCCTCCACAGGCCTCCTCCTCCAGGAAGCCTACCTGGTCTGTCAGCGGAAGGTGACCCACTCCACGAAGCCCCTGCCCAGCCTTCTCAGCCTTGCTCGGGAGGCATGGCCTTAAGGGATGTCCAGGGTGGTTACTGGGGCAGTTTCCTCTTCTAGCCTCTGAGCTTATTGTCGGGGGTGCAGGGCCTGGATCCCCATCTCCAGCGTTTCCTCTTGGTGCTCAGAACCAAGCTCTGGGCTTTGTAAGTGGTGCCTAAAGATGGGGACACTCCTCATGCCAGGAGCGATGGACCAGAGTGAAAGGCTGCTGGGCTGACCCTTGCTCCCCGACCCGACTCTGCAGGTGTGGCAGCTGGTGGAAGACATCAAGTATGTCCTGGGCCAGCGCCTGGAGGAGCTGGACTGCACAGACGCTGAGATTAGAGTTTAAATCAGGGAGGACTGTGTCCCGGCCCCTTCCCTTGTTGCCAGCTTGACCCTGCCCCAGGTTGGTGACCTGAAGCCACACTGGCTGAAGGGAGTGGCAGGCTGTGGCTTGCCTGGCCTGGGGTCCTGAGAAAGGCAGCTCAGGGTGGGCCCCGGTGTCTGCCAGGCAAGAATGGGGTGTTGGGGGCAGATGCCATCTGGGTGAGGGCAGTGTGCATCCTGCAGCCAGAAGCCACCCCCACTCCCACTCACTGTGTCTTGTGTGGAACAAGACACCCTGTCACTTGTTCATTCACCCATTTTTTCTGTATTTCCTGGGAGCCACCTACAGCCAGACCCTGTTCTGGTGCTGAAGGGAGGTGAAGCTCGAAGCACACAGCCCAGGCCACAGTGTGGGTTTGGCCTCCTAATGCCATGAGTCCTGGAGACAGCGGGAAGTAGGTAGGTAGGGTGGTCTGGCAGCCCTGGCACCCCTTGGTTTCTCACCGGCCATGGCCCAGACAGGTGGGGCTGGCAGGAGCCTGGGCCCAGAGTTCCAGTGCTGTGGGAAAGGGTGGGGCAGGTGGTGACAACATTAAGTGGAGCCTTGTCTTTGTCATGATTGCAGCCTGGGCTGGGCCAGCCTTGCCCACGTGTACACGCCTGTGGGTGTGCACACCTCTTCCTGGAGGAGGAAGCCGGGGGAGGGACCAGTGCCCTGGGCCAGCCAGGCCTGGGCTGCATCTTCTAGAGCAGCTTGTACACTTGAGTTTGACCCCGTTCCCTTGCACAGGTAGATGAAGCTCCAGGGAGAGTCTATTCTCCAGCAGCCCTGGGCACACCCAGAGGTGTAGCCTCAACCAGAGGGTTTGGTAACCTCAGGCTGAGTTCAAAAGTAAATGTGTGAAAAGGCGTCCAATCAATGTGGGATAAAGCACATTGGGGTGGGGTGGAGAAGGTATCACAGACTCCAGGTTGGCAAAGACCTAAAAATCCACCCATAGTAGGGTGGAGGGAGGTGGATGAATAGGCGCCCCACACACCAGACTCAAGAGCATCATTCAGGACGTCAAGTTGTGCACATCCCAGGATACAGCAATTCCATCCCGGGAAAGTGTCCTGCAGAAACTTGGCACACGTGTCCCAGGATGTAAGCACCAACGTGTGCAAAGTGGCATTGTTTAAATAGCCAGACACTGAAAAACCCAAATGCTCATCAACAGCAGAAAAAGTGTCAGGAGTTTCATAACTGGAATATTATACAGCAATGGAAATGACCAGGCTTTTCTAACATACAACAGATTAAATCTCACAAACATAAAGTTGAACAAAATATACAAATCACAAAGGAACACATAGGATAGAATATATCTTACACATACATGAAGTTCAAATGGGGCAAACCTAAACTATATGGGGGATAAAACGATGAAAAGAGGCTGGGTGCAGTAGCTCACACCTGTAATCCCAGTAACTAGGCTGAGGTGGGCAGATCACCTGAGGTCAGGAGTTCAAGACCAGCCTGGCCAACATGGTGAAACCCCCGTCTCTACTAAAAATACAAAAATTAGCTGGGTGTGATGGCATGTGCCTGTAATCCCAGCTATTCTGGAGGCTGAGGCAGGATAATCACTTGAACCCGGGAGGTGGAGGCTGCAGTAAGCCGAGATCATGCCACTGCACTCCAGTCTGGGTGACAGAGCAAGACTCTGTCTCAAAAACAAAACAAAAAAACTATGAAAATAAAATGAGTATCCAAATATTCAGTGGTGGTCGGGTGTGGTGGCTCACACCTGTAATCCCAGCCCTTTAAGAGGCCAAGGCAGGAGGACTGCTTGAGCCCAGGAGTTTTAAGACCAGCCTGGGCAACATAGTGAGACCCCATCTTTAAAAAGAAAAAGAAAAAAAATTCAGTGGTAAGAAAGAATAGTGTTTTCGATGGGAAAGGTATGGGGTGGTGTGGGGGAACCCTGGCCACAATCAATTTCTTGATCTGGGTGGCGGTTACTTTGGTGTTCAATTCTGTAATTCTTCTTTAGGCCATACCTTTCTGTTTTCTGCACTCTTCATCGTGTGTGACATATCTTAAAAACAAAGACAGAAAAAGGAGTGAACACTATGCAGTGATGCAGTGTGATCCGGATTAGATGATGGGTTCCAGCCATGTTTCCCATTTTCATCGCAATCAGCATTTTCCAAAATGTGACACACACTTATTTCCAAAGTGTGGTACTCCAGATTAGGTGGTATGGGGCATGTTTTAGCTGCCATCAGACAAGACATTAAATAGTATTAAACTTCACGATGAGAAAGTTATTTTTTAGACAGGATCTAGCTTTGTCATCCAGACTGGACTGCAATGGTGTGATCTCAATTCACTGCAACCTTGGCCTCCCGGGTTTAAGCCATCCTCCTGCCTCAGCCTCCTGCGGAGCCAGTATTTTTTGTAGAGACGAGGTCTTGCTGTGTTGCTTAGGCTGGTCTCAAACTTCTGGGCTCAAGCGATCTGGCCACCTTGGCTTCCCAAACTGCTGGGATTACAGGCATGAGCCACCGCTCCCAGCCGGTTATTTTTTGATTGTCTTCCAACCCTTCTGATAATGTCAAGGAGAGAATCTCAGTTGGTTCTATGTCTTCACTATCACCCTAACTTTGCCATCCCCCCTTTAACAAGATAAAGCATGCTTTAGACTCAGAGCATCTAAGGAGGCTGTAAGAACATTGCTTTTGGTGTGTGTGGAATACACAGTTGCTTCTGTTTACGGCAAGAGATAGTGGTCTTCCATTTTTCAGTTATAGGTTTCCTAACAGATTTAAGGAAAATCTGAGCTTATGTAGAGAAAAATATTCAGCAAATCATACCACAGGCAGTAATGTGGCTACGGCAAAAAGTTGTCAAGGTGATACGTGACTAGCTGAGTGCTAAGAAGCATGGATTTAAAAGAAGTAAATTAAATAGGCTTTGGATCTGAGCTGAAATTCTCTGTCCACCACTTACTGAGTGTCCTTCAGAACGGAACCTCTCCAAGCCTTAATTCCCTCATCTATGAACGAAAAGAATGATAGTCCTGTCAACCTCAAGAAACAGAGGGAGGCTCTCCAAAACTATGGAGTTTAACTGGGAATAAGCAGCAGCACTGCATGCAGAGCCCCGGCCTTAGTAAACTAGGGGCGCATCGGAGGAGGGGAGGCAAGGGGGGCTTTGAAAGGTGAAAGGAGCAGTGCATGGTCGGTTTTTTGGGGGTGGTGGTGGTGGTGGTGGTGGTGGTGGTGTTTTTCTTGAGTTGCTCTGTTGCCCAGGCTGGAGTGCAGTGGCGCGATCTTGGCTTACTGCAACCTCCATGTCCTGGGTTCAAGTGATTCTCCTGCCTCAGCCTCCTAAGTAGCTGGGATTACAGGCACCCACCACCAAGTCTGGCTACATGGTTATTTTGAAAGGAAGAGAACACTGGTTCCAGGGGCTTATCCCAGGAGTGGACGTCAATTTACGAGTGGACACAGCGTATCAGGCAAGTGTTCTTGTGCAGCCGGCTAGCCGTCCTTGTGACTCACGTAGTGAGCTGCAAAGTCCTGTAAAGTCCTGGCAAAAGGTCTTGTTGCAGGCATCTGTGCCCTTCCCAGAGGCTTCGGAAGGGCTCTGATCATAGGCAGGTGTGCGGGAGGGCCCTCCTTCAGAACCTCCCGGCCGCATGATTTTGTTGTTGCTCTTAGGGTTGGACAGAAGTGGCTCCATTCTGATTCTGACAACTTTCACAGAGCCTGGGTCTCGGGGCTGTTGCGGGGACTTAATTAGTCCAGGGCCTGCTGCAGAGTTAGCAGGGGAGCAGGGGGAAGAGGCGACCCCTGACCTTTATGAACACGAGGCAAGTCCTGAACATCCTTGAAACCTGTTTCCAAGCTGCGGGTCTGCACAGCACACAGTTGGCCAAATGGTAGCGGAAGCAGCTCCTTCCTAGAGCACAAATCTCTAAATTCCTAATTAAGGGCTGTGTAGGCAGGACCTCCCTCTGGGCCATCCCACCTACCAAGGAGGGACATCCAGGCATTCCTCATGCACAGGAGAACTTGGGTCAGGTACCTGGGGTGGGAACAAGAAGGGACTGTCCCACCCCCAAGGCAGGAGACACCCCAACCTCCTCCCTATGGGCTTCCTGGGGAGGCCTCTCAACAGGCCATTCAGCCCCCTCAGCAGCACGAGCAGGGCACTGGGGCCTCAGCCTGTGGGAAATTGGGGGCACAGGAACGGGCTCAGTGGAGGGGGCGCTCAGCCAGGCGCCCCGGGCCCCAAGTGGGCTGATCCTTCACCATCGCTGAGGTGGCAGGGGCCAGGCCTCCCCTTGGCCCAAGGATGGTGGCACAGGCAGGGGCACCTGGTAGGTGGGTGGTTCAGCCAAGTCCTAGCTCCTGGTTGTCCTTTGAGAGTGCGGGACGAAAGACTAAATTCTGCCCTGAATGGTGCTTTGGGCATCTATATGGATGCATGGAAAGGAAAGCTTATGAAGTCAAGGATGCTGTAACTGTATTCAGTGGTTTAACCTTGATCTTGTATCATAAGAACCAGGAGAACAATTGTATTCCAACAGCACCCTGGTGGGTTGAAAACCTGTTAAGCTGAATACACTAATGGAGAGTTTCTCTTTCCTGTTCTATTTTGCACTTCAATTTCTGGTGCTTTTTAAATTATTTGGCTAACTAATTTCCAAAACCAAGCAATACACAATTTGTGAATGTTAAAGAACACAACTCAGTTCATGATCCTCGTTGAGTAAAACAACTTTCTGAAGTAAAATAAATTATTTAAATGGATGTTTCTCCTAAAATGACTTTTTAAATATTAAAAAAAAATGCCACTGAACTGTAAAAACCCTTAAAAAGAGAGAAGGTTCAAAGAGATGATCTTACAATAAGGGTTTAAATTCAGAACCTAAACTCAGGCATGTGCAAATTGAAGCTCATCATTCCAAGAATCATCTCTCTTCTCCAGAACCTTCTTGAATGTGAAAACCATCGCATCCTGTTACCTCCACCAGGGCTCAGATCTTTTTTTTTTTTTTTTAAACACAATTACTTTATTGATTTCTTACAATCAAATACTGCCAACTAGAATTCCTTCCACTCACGGATCACTAAAAACAAAGAAGACTTCCTTGGTACTTTCAAATGATGCCTTATACAATAAAGTTAGAACTTAAAATGCACCCTCATTAATTATGTAAACTGGTAATTTGTGTTAAAAAGCATAACTAATAATTTGGTTTCTTTCTTCATAACACGGAAATTTAAATATTTCTCCTGATGGTCTTGAGGTTATCACCGTTATGAGTAGTGCACAGTGCGGCACATATGGTTTCATCTGGAAAGGTGTGTCTCACACCTTATACAAAACGCCAGTAACAAAATGCATACATACGTCAACGCCTGAGACAAAGCATGTTTCAAATACGAAGCAGCCCCTCAGGCTGCCATAATATTTAGGTTTTGCATGATCACTTATGACATAACAGATTAATTATACATAACATACTTTTATACATTTTAACCCTGAAGATAAGAAAAATAATTGTTGCTTGAAAAAATTCTTTCAGGCAGCCATTTGGTTGGTGTCAAGAGAAACTGACCCTCCACGAGTTTAGTGTCTGCCAGGTCGGCATCATCAGCTCAAGTCAGTGAATCAGGTATGTGACACGCTTCACAGCGACTGTTCCCCACATCCTGGCAATGCGTCTTCTCCTACAGTACACCAGATGACGAGGCATTTCCAGGATTACCCTTGCCTGTGGCTTTCCCTTTTCATTTTTTGTTGCTGGATTAACTGTATGACTTAGTATTATTTCCTCTTCTCCCTTCTTCTATGGCCTTCCATTTTAGTTACTCATAAATCCTTTCAGAATATCCTCAGAAAGCTCCATAAAGGGAAGCTCTGGAGATGGAAAATCTGAGGGAAAAGATTGGGTATTGGAATGTACTTGGCTTTCCTGGCATCTGCTGCAAACCTCTGCAAGGCTGAAGAGGGTATAGCAGTTTCTGAATGCAGAGGCGAGCTCCGTAACTCTGACTTTTCCACAAAATCAGCACCCACATCCAGCTCCTTTTCTACTGGACCTTTTAGAAGTCTGGCCTTTTCAGCCTTTACCTGTTTACTTTCTTTCCATAATCTTTCCTTCTCCGCCACAAGGAATTCCACATGCTTCTTCAAATCTGCAACTGGGTTGTCTGCTCCTCTACTCTTATCGTGTTTTGGGGCTTTGCTTCCAATACACGGCTCTGTTGCTGAAGGAAAAACAGTCGTGTGTCTGGATCCCTGTCACATATGCCCCGAGTCTCAGGCAGGCGTTCCTCTGTGGAGGGCTGTGCTTCTGCATCTTCAGCAGAGGGGCTGTGAGAGGCCTGAAGATGGGCAGCCCCATCCTTGTCTGCGTTCTGCTGGGCCCTTTTCCGTGTCTCCTGGATGAGGAGGCGCGGTTTCATGTGGCTAGGCCTTTGCAATTCCAGTGAAAGGTGAGCCTACTCAGCCTGCGTCAGCTCCATAGCTTCAGAAAGATACAGCATGGCCTTTTTGTGACAGGAAATAGCCTCTTCATATTTGCCTGCAGCTAGTCAACAGTCTGCTTTGATGATGAGCCAGGTTGAGGGGGCCTTCAGTTACTTCCAGAAGACCCCAGGGTAGGCGGCAGTGCCGGGGAACATGGAGGGGACAGCAGAGCAGTGTGATGCAGCTGTGGACACAGCAGCCCCTCTCAAATCTTTAACCTGCCTCAGCCCTCCCAGCCCCCCCACTCTGACTCCTATCAGCCCTTGAAATCTGTGATTTCGACCCATGAACACCTCTTTGATCTGTGCCCAGCAAGGGCTGGGGCACACTCTTCTGCAGAAAAGACCCATCGACCGTGCAGCCCTTCCCCAGGTGGCACAGCTGCTCCTGGCTCACGGAGCTGCCCAGGGACTGGCCCCTCACCCTGGGCTCCCAGGGGCCCCAGCCCAGCCTGGGCTCACACATGAGCCTAGAGGTTCTATGGAGGCAATGAGGATTTGTCACTGCCATGACTGCTACTTGAGGCTTTAAGTAGAAGACCATACGCAGCCTTCTAAACGAGTGGGAACCTGAGGTTGCGTGTCAGTAGGAATTTTATCTGTTGCTAGAATAGTGGACTCTTTCATACACCCTATGCTGAATGTACAAGAAGCCTTGGAATCCAATTGTGGATCATTCCTGTGCTATTAGCATGAATACATTTTTTTCAACTTCAGTTTTTACTTTTGTCCAAGTTATATGTGAATGTAGTTTAAAGTATCAAACAGATCTACAAGGTTTGTTAAAACAAACAGCAGTTCCGTCTCCCTCCTTGCATTTTCCCATCTCTGAGGCAACCACTTTCCTCTCTCTTGGTGTTTTACTATTTACCACTGTTGCTAAATAAGATACTTCTTCATGTCTGAATTTGAAGCTATGTGTATATATGTATATATGTGTATATATGCATATATGTGTATATATGTATATGTGTATGTGTGTATGTGTATATATGTGTATGTGTATATATGTATGTGTATATATGTGTATATATGTATGTGTATATATGTATACGTGTATATATGTGTATGTGTATATGTATATGTGTATATATGTATATGTGTATATATATATGCTACACACACACACACACACACACAGCCTACTGATGTTCTATTATCTATCGTTGTGTGACAAACTACCCCCAACAACCTTAAAAAACAATCATCTATCGTCTATATTTTGATCACAAAACTGCCATCTGGGCAGGGCTGATGGGACTGCCTGTGTGTACTGAGGCCTCAGCGGGCCTGGCTTGCAGGTTGGGGGTCTGCGTGGCTGCCCAACTGGTGCTGGCTGTGGGCTGAGAGTGGGCCCCTCCATAAGGGCTTCTCCAGAGCTGCTTGGGCTTCCTTACAGAAGGGCAGGTAGGTTTCCAGAGACAGAGAGGGGAAGCTGCCAGTCTCTTAAGGCCTGGGCCTGCAACTGGCACAGTGTCCCTTCTGCCATATTAGCTTAGCAGCCCTGGGGCCTGTCAAGATTGAAGAGGCGGAAAGAGAGTTTACAGTCATCTTCAAGCCACAGCTTCCCACTGAGGAAAATGAGCATTTAGCTTCCATTTCACCAACTGCATTCCCTGCATGTGGACAGCGTCCCCATCTTCCAGTCCTCCTGATAGAGTTCTGCAGTAAACTAGATCCTGACTCGGCATTTCTATGGTGATGACTGTGTAAACGCTATTGCCAGATCGTAAACTGTGACTAGCTACCTCTTCTTGCTTGCACTGCTGTTTTCTCTGGAGCCAATCATGGTCTTATCTTCACATGTGGATCATTCTGTATGTACTACTAATCCAACCCGAGGCTCTATGCGAAGTACTTCAATGTCCTCCAGGCTCTTCTGGGGAATTCAGCTTTCTATCCATGTCACTCTACTGCTGCCCTGGGTGGGACGTCCCGGGGCGGGTTGCCAGGCACCACCTGGGGCTGAGCTGCTCCCTCACCACTGTCCCGAGCGCTTGCCCCACCGCAGCTTGAAGGACCCTGGGTCCTGTCACTACGGTTTCCTCTTTGTGGCTTCTGCCCTCATTACTGCCCATCTTTCCTGAGAAGGCGAGGGACATGTATCTGTTGAGAGCTCACCTGTCTGCAGTGTTTTTACTCTAGTGGCGCTGAAATGTGTCTCCACGGTGGCAATCATTGTGCCTCCAAGGGCCCTTGTTTTGCTCTCTAGGAACTTTTTGGAGCAACCTCCTCTCGTTTCACGATGGCTTTCTCACCTCCAGGAAGGCATTCATCATTTCTTTTTCTACAGCTTTCTTTTTCCTCTATGGTCTGTGTTCCCCACGGAGCTTGTTTTTTGTTTCATGAAGTTTTCCTCCACGAAGGGCAATCCCTGGCTGTGCACGGATAGGCATGAGCAGTGTGACTGGAAGCTCTGAGCACACCAAGGGGCTTGCAGACTGAGATGCTCTGGAGGGTGGCCTGGCTGGGTCTCCGAGTTGAGGAATCTCTGAGGTTGGGTTCTTTGTCTCCTGCTGGGATGGAGAGAGAACTGAGAGCTTTGCCAGTCCCTGGTCATGGAATGAGATTGGATGGAGTCTTCCCATCTCTGGCCTGGATGGGGAGGGCCTGGCTATCCATGCCCTGAGCGCTGCCTGGGCACGAGGGCTGTAGTCTCAGCATCCCTTATGCACTTAGCCACACATCCCCCTGAACAGGCCTGGTCCTGGCCCAGAGACCGTTCATTTTGCCTCTGTAGGAGATGGCTCTCCAGGGCCGACCAGTAAGAGGTCGGGACAGGTGCTGGCCTCTGCAGACCACGGTGGGATCTAGGGAGCTGCCTGCCTACTGAATTGTTTGCAACAATGATTCCAGCCATCCCTCTTCACCCCAGCCCAGAGGTCCCCAGAGCTGCTCTCAGTCTCAGAGCTGGGGGTCCCGTGGTGCAGGCTGGGGCAGTTCCAGCTGTTGCTGCTGCTGGCTTTGGAGTCGCCTTTCTCAGGTCAGCTACGCCTGGGACACTCACCTTCTGCTTTCCAGGATCCAAAAGTGCTGTTTGCTCCTCTGCTCTCACCTGCCATGCGGTATGGATAGGCCTTAAAATCCTCCCTTTCTTGCCTCTTTGTGGACTTGGAGGAGGGAGTGACAGCAGGAGCGCGCTACTCTGCACTCTCCGCCTATAGTAATGACTTGCAGCCAGTCAGGCCTGGCCCCAGGCACAGCTAAACGCGCCCAGGCCACCAGGGCCACCCCTGGCTCTTCTCACAGTTGCAGCAAGTGTACCCTGCTCTCTCCATACCTAGCCAGGCTCCAGCTCCCCTGACCTGGCCTGTTCCTGGCTCTCCTTCTAAGGCCCAACTCAATCCACTTCCTCCCAGGTCCTCCCGGGACCTCCTGGTCCATTCTGGCTAGAAGAGACCTCCTCTCCCCAGCCAGACGGAGTTCTATGCCGGGCAGGTCACAGCTGCACATCCCATCCTGCCTGCGCTCCCAAAAGGCACTGCTGGGCAGGCCCGGCTCTCTCGTCCATGTGGCTTTCCTGCTTCCCACCCCGGCCCTGCATGCTCAGTGTTCTACTGCCCAGCTGCAGGCACAGCAGATCCTTGTAGGCCTTGTTCTCTGAACACCCTGCAGTGGCCTGGAGAGGCTCTTGTCCCACAAAGGAGCCCAACCTGTCACTTCGGCTGCATGTGCTCACCATGGGGCCTCCTTGCTGCACTGTCCTCAGGCCACACACAACTCTGGCGGAAGCCCATCCCCACCCGTGACTTTCGCAGCCTGTCCCTGTCAGGCCTCTCTGGACATCTGCACTGTCCCCTCTCAGCCCTTCCTCCTGGCACCTGGGCAATCACAGCCCCTCCTGCCTGGCCTCCCACTTCCTGCCTCCTGGCGGCGCTGCTGGGTGGTGGAGCCGCTGCAGTGGCCTCTGGTGCTGCTTCTGCAGAGGCCTCGCCTCCTCTGGCGCCCGCTTCCCAAGCTTCATGCCCGTTCCTCCCTTCTGCGGCCTGACATCCTCCTCAGGGACCAGGAGGCTGCCACCCCAGGCTGTGTAATTCCAGTTCTTTCCTGAGGTCCTTCCTAACAGGAACTGGGGAGGCGTCAGTCTCTCCCCAGGAGGGTGGCTGCAAACTCTTGAGAGCTTCAGCTCCTTCCTCAGGCTGGGCCACTGCCTGCACCATCTTCCCCCTAGGTCCAGGGGGCCAGCACTGACCCTTCAGGGCAGGGACACACTCACTGGCTTCTGAGCATCGCCAGGCCCTGGTCATGGAATGAGGTTGGTGGTGTCTACCTCTCCCTCCCTCCCCCACGGTGTCTCCTTGAGGAAAAGACAGTCTCGCTCTGTGCCCGGGCCCTGGCCGGCAGGTGCTGTGGGACAGCCCAGGGAATGGCCAAGTCCTCCTTTAGATGAGGGTCGGTGCCTGGTCACTCTTTCTGTTGAGTCCTTTTAGCGAGGGGCCACATAAGAGGCTGGGCCCCAGTGGACCCATGGAGAGCCATCCTGTGAATGCGCGGCACCGGATTCAGTCAACCATGTTCCTTAAAGGAGTGAATGCAGACGCGGGGCTCGGTGTGACTGGTGTGGGGAGAAGGCTGGGCTGCCTTCTCTGAGCTCTGGGTAGGGTGTGGCGGCTGCCTGGGCCTGAGCCCAGGTCCTGGCTGGGCACAACCTTGCCAGGTCACTGGAGGCAGAGACCTGACCTGACCCTCGTGGATACGGTTTCCACTTCCCCAGATGGGGTGGGGTGGGCTGGGGCTGCCATGGCCTCCACAGCTCCAGGGACCCGCCATGCTCTGGGGCCAGCACGGAAGGTGAGGCTCTCTGAAGAAACTCTGAGCCCAGCATCTGCTTCCCAAACAAGCCCAGGCAGCAGGAACCCCCTTGTTCACCCCCCTGGCTACTCCTCACTGGGGCCTGGGGGCGCTGGGACATAGGGACAGGTGTCCGTCCGGGTCTGTGCTGCCTGTGAGGGAACAGCTCCCATGCTTCGTGGGAGGCCCTGGGGGACAGGGTCAGCCTGGCCCGAGAAGCCCAGAGAGGAACTTGGCCACTGCTCCTCAGAGGGTGGGCAGCATGGAGGGGAGGGGAAGGGCCCTGGTCCTTCCTGTTTGGGGCTCTCCTGTTTGGGGCTCTCACAGTCAGGCTGCCTGGGCT